>NC_000012.12:101702552-102005582 GCF_000001405.40 Homo sapiens | reverse complement strand
CATTGTATATCTGACTTTCAGCACAGCTTCCCTATGGCTGAAGGGATAATAGCCTTTTTAAACACTGCCAAGGAGGACTTCTGGCTTTCACAGAGTGCCCTAAGTTGATAATTGGCTGATCCGGGCCTGCCAGGTTTTTTTCAAGGCTTCCAAGGCAGTTGACAAATGTGAGCCAATTCCACAATCCTTTGTCTCCATACCATTGTAGTGACAGAGCTACCAGATAACCCACTTCTTCTCACGCCAATCTACCACAGGTAAGATTCATACAAATTAGGATGCGCACCAGGGGTTATCACCATCTCACTTATCCCAGCAAAAAGGGTAAGTGATCCAGTTCCAGAATCCCATCCTAAGATTTGCCCTCAAGGGTCATGCCTCATATCAAAGTTTTACATTTCTCCTAAAGCAGAACCTGGGACAAACACTTGGGTGCAAGGAATTTATTTGGTAATCCCAGGAAGCAAGAGTGAGAGAGCAGGAAGAGTGAGAGAGCAGGAAGAGTGAGAGAGCAGGAAGAATGAGAGAGAAGACAACCTAATAAGATGTATATTACTGTGATTGCCATTATGGGCATGTGGGATTTGATTCCAGGACCAGCAGCTCCTTAGAAATGAGCAGTGCTTTTAGAATTGTCCACTGGAAGGCCTGATGGCTGCAGCATTTGTCCACTAACCTGGACCCACTGGTGGGGGGCATTACTCCTCTATACTCATGGGATTACCTGCACACAGGTATCAAGGAAAAGAGTCAAAATCTATAAAATATTTGAAAAGATTTATTATGAACCAAATACAAGTGACCAGTGTCCTGTGACACAGACTTCAGGAGATCCTGAGACCATGTACCCATCACGGTTGGGCCACAACTTGGTTTTATACATTTTACGGTGACAGAAGACATCAACCAATGTAAGATGTACATTGGTTCAGGCTGGAAAGGTAGGACAACTGGAAGCAGGTGCTTTCAAGTCACAGGTGGATTCAAAGCTTTTCTGATTGGCAATTGGTTGAAAGAGTTATTATCTAAAGACCTGGAATCAATAGAAAGGAATGTCTGGGTTATGATAAGGGGTAGTGAAGTTTTATCATGCAGATGAAGCCTCCAGGTAGCAGACTTCAGAGAGACTAGATTGTAAATGTTTCTTATCAGACTTAAAGAGTCTGGTCTATCAGTAATTCCAAAAAGGAGAAGGGCATGTCTGGCTTCCCCTTTCCATCATCCCCTAAACTAGTTTCTCAGGATAATGTTGGAATGCCCTTGACTGAGAGGAGATGTCCATTCAGGTGGCTGGGGGGCCTTGGAATTTTATTATTGGTTTACATAGGCCTAGGGTGCTCCCATGACCTTGGAAAGGATACAAGATCAGAAACTAGAGAAATGGGGCAATCATTTAAGGTTGGTTGCTGTCACCAAAAAGTGAATCAAAAATTGAGTGGAACTCTCCACTATAGCTGTGGCTGAAATCCAAGGTGGGCCTGGGGATATATTTCAGAATACCACCAGAAGTATCAGCTACAGACAGTTCTGCTTCCAAAACACCAAATGGGCCTGAGATTACCTTTATTTAAAATGCACACTTTTCTTGTTGGATATAAAGACAAGTTGGATAGTAAGCCACATTCAAGATTTCCAGAACTTTTTATTAAAAATTTTTAATTTTAAAAATCTTCCAAGAATGAGCAAAATATAAACAATGACTAAATCTGTATCTTTATAGTCTGCTGTAATTATAATACAATTTTTAAATGTTTCCTTTTACACATACCCCACAGTGTTTTTCTGTGAAACTTTTATATCTGAACCAGAACATGGCTCCTGTTAAAGAATAAATTGTGTCCATGTGCTCTTGAAGACTGTCCAGACAGCATAATGTTCAGTAAAACTCTTTTGTTTCTGAACAAGTTCCTCACAAAAACAATCTTGATTTCCAGGGCTTATGAGGAGCTTAGATTCACACAATTTAATCCTCTACTTTAATAGCTGCTGCAACAGTGCCAAGGTGTCTTTTCAAAAACACTCGCTTTTACCTTTTTTGTTGGTAAGATTAATAAATGAGAGGACTGACACCAAAGCAAGTCTCACTCTGACTTGGATTTTGGGCAGATTACTTAAACAAGAGACATCTCTCTTCCTTTGGAACATGAAGTATAAAGATTAATTTGTGACTCCATTTCCTCTCTTCCCAAAACAATATTACTTTAGATTAGCAGCTTACAAGTAAATAAATGTGGAAAAAACTCATTTTACAGTATCTATAAATTATTTGCTAGGCATCTGTATATACTTATGTTCCAATTGATATAATTATTTTAAAACAATTTAGAGGTAAACACTTTGTTTTACAGTTAACACTGGAAACTTTTTTTTAAAGTTGAGGTCTAGAAGAAGTCTTAGCAAAAATCTAATCTAATTGACCCATTTTTACCAATGAATAAATTGAGGCCCAGAGAAGTTGAATGATTCCCCCAAGAAATGTGAGAAAGAAAAGAGTTTTATTATATAAACAAAAATGTTTAATATACCAGTAATATTCTTATAATAAATATTAATAATTTTAGTTATCTATACAAGACCAAATACTTAAAATTTTGGTAATCTTATTAAAATTTCACATTGTAATCTGCAAAGTGAAGTTGTGAAATGTTTTTTATGTGTCTCTTAAGTACATTTTAATATTGATCTCTCAATTTTTCACCTGCATTAAAGGATGTGACACTGTGGCAATCCAGTAAAGCTACTTCTACATTTTCTTAGGGACCTCTTAATTATATTGGTTTATACTTTGCTATACTGTCATTCTAGTTTTAGAAATAAAACCTTAGAAAATTCTGAGAAGCTGGAAGAATAATTTTTATTTTGTATTTTAAAATATTTCATTGACAAAATTGTGTATATTCAAGGTGAACAGTGTGATGATTTGGTATGAGTATACATTGTGTACTGATTACTACAGTCAAATTAATTAACACATCCATCATCGCCCTTCTTTTGTGTGTATGTGTGTAGTGAGGATGCTTAAAATGGCCAGAATAAACACAGAATACCTAGATAGAAAAATAAAAAACAACTCCATGGCTAAAATCTATGAAAAAATTTCTTAAAGAACACAAACTATCAAAAATTACTCAAGATTAAATAATTTGAACAGCCTTATGTCTACAAAAGAAATTGAATGCAGAGTTTAAAACATTCCCATAAAGAAAACTAGAAACGCACATGGTTTCAGGAGTGAATCCTACCAAACATTTAAGAAATAAATAAAGCCACTTCCACATAACCTCTTGCAAAAAATTGAAAAAAGGAAACTACTTCCTAAGACATTTTATGAGGCCAACATATGAAAGCAGACAAAGACATTACAAGAAAAGAAAATTACAAACTAATATTCCTCATGAAAACGGGGTAAATATTCTTTAAAACATTTTAGTAAATCAAATCCAATATTATAGAAGATATATAGATATCAACAAACATATGAAAAAAGGCTCATTGTCATATAGCATTAGGGAATTATAAAGTAAAACAACAATGAGATACCATTACATATCTACTAGAAAGGTTAAAATCCAAAACACTGACACCACCAAATGCTGATGAGTGTGCAGAGAAATAGGAACCCTCAATCATTGTGGTAGAAATGAAAAATAGTACAACTACTTGGAAAAATATTTTGGCAGTTTTTTTTACAAATCTAAGCATAATTTTGCCATGTTGCAATCACACTTCTAGATATTTGACCAAAACTTTTGTCTTCATAAGAACCTGCACATGAATGTTTACAGCAGCATTATTTATAAGTTTTATAAACTTTATTTGCTTATAGCTTTGCCAAACCTTGGGGCAACCAAAATGTCTTTCATTTTATTTTATTTTTTATTGATTGATTTATTTTGAGATGGAGTCTCACTCTGTAGCCCAAGCTGAAGTGCAGTGGTGTGATCTCCGCTTACCGTAACCTCCACCTCCTGGGCTCAAGCAATTCTTGTGCCTCAACCTCCTGAGTAGCTGGGACTACAGACATGCGCCACCATGCCCCACTAATTTTTTGTATTTTAGTAGAGACAGGGTTTCACTATGTTGCCCAGGGTGGTCTCGAACTCCTGAGCTCAGGTGATCCGCCCACCTTGGCCTCCCAAAGTGCTTGGATTACAGGCGTGAGCCACCGCACCCAGTCCAAGATGTCTTTTAATAGGTAAATGGATAAACAAACTGATAGATTTACACAATGGAATATTACTCAGCAATAAGAAGAAATGAATTATCAAGCAATAGACACAGAAAAACCTTAAATGAATATTGCTAACTGAAAGAAGCCAGTCTGAAAAAGTTACATATTTTATGATTCCAACTATATGACATTTTGGAAAAGACAAAACTATAGAGGCAGTAAAAGATAAGTGGATGTGAAAGGAGGAAAAAGAGGATTGAATAGGTGAAGCATAGAAGATTCTTAGGAAAGTGAAACTATCCTGTATGAAATTATAATTATGGACACACCCCATTATACAGTTGTTGAAACCAGTAGAACTGTAAAACACAAAGAATGACTCTTAATGTAAACTACAGACTAATTCATAATAATGTATCAGTTGTTCATTATTTGTAACAAATGTATCATGAAAGCAAGATTTTAATAGTAGGAGAAACTGGGGAGGAATAGCCTGAGGTAGATTTATGAAACTACATATACTATCTGCTTAATTATTCTGTAAATTTACAACTGTACTAAAAAGAGAATCTATAATTTTTTAAAAAATAATACATCATGTCCCAGTGGGGTTTATCCCAGCAATGCAAGAATGGATTGGCACTTGAAAATCAATCAATGTAATTTGTTATATTAACAAACTAACAACAACAACAAAAAAACATATGGCAGTCTCAATAGGCACAGAAAATACATCTGACAAAATCCAACATCCACTGCCGATTTTTTTTTAATTCACAACAAACTGAAAACAGAAATGAACTCCCTCAACCTGATAAAGAGTGTCTACAAAAATCGTAGACTTGACATCATACTTAATAGTGAAAGGCCAAATGCTTTTCCCCTAAGATCAGGAACAAGACAACAATGTCTGCGCCTACTACTTCTGTTCGACACTACATTGGAGATTCTAGCTAGTAAAATAAGCAAGAAGTGAAATAAACAGCATACAGACAGAGGAGGAAATAAAACTACTCATAGATGACATTGTCATCTATATCTAAAATCTATTGTAATCTATTAAAAAGCTACTAGAACTAATAGGTAAGTTTAGATATATTTTTATGTATTGATCTTGACCAGAAACATGATCCATAAAAACCAAGTTGGTAAATTGGAACACAAAAATTAAAAACTTCTCTTTGGAAGACACCATTTAAAAAATGGGCAAAGGGCCAGGTGTGGTGGGTGACACCTGTAATCCCAGCACTTTGGGAGGCCAATGTGAGTGGATCGCTTGAGCCCAGGAGTTTGAGACCAGCTTGGGCAACATAGTGGGACCCCGTCTCTACAAAAAATACAAAAATTAGCTGGGCATGGTGGCATGCCCCTGTGGTCCCAGCTACTCAGGAGGCTGAAGTGGGAAGATCACTTGAGCCCAGGAGGTTTCGGCTGCAGTCAGCCAAGCTTGTGCCACTGCACTATGGCCTGGGTGATAGAGCAGGACTCTGTCTCAAACAAAAGGACAAAAGATTTCAACAGATACTTTACCAAAGAAGATATACAGATGACAAACATATGAAAAGATGCTCAACATCATTAGTCATGAGGAAAATGCAGATTAAAACTATAATGAGATGTTAATGTACACCTATTGGAATGGCTAAAATTTAAATGACTGAACATACCAACTCTTGGCAAGAATGTGGAGAATTTGAGATAAAGTTTATATATATACAAACTTTAGATATATATTTATTATATATATGTATATATCAAAGAAGATTCTACATACATGTTATAGGAGTTCATGAAGAAGAAAAAGAAAGCCATACGATGTAACACAATGTTAAAAAGTACAATTCAATAAAACTTTTCTAAAACAAAAATGATTACATATTGAGAAGGCACACTATGTATCTGGGAAAGTAGACCCAGAACAGCTAACATCAAGACATATTTTACTAAACCTATTAAACAGTAAGAAAAAAAAATCTTATAGGCATCCAGGCAAAAAGACCAAGTCATTTCTAATTGAAATAACATTAGATCATCATCAAACTTTTTGGTAGTAATAGTTTATGCTGAAAGATAATGGAGTAACATATTTAAGACACCCCAAGGAAAAAAAAATGAGCTAAATATTTCATATCCAACCAAATGGAACTTCAAATATAAACATACAAACAACACTCCAACTCAGCAAAAACAAACAAACAACCCAATTTAAAAATGGACAAAGCACTTGAATAGCCATCTCTCAAAAAAAAAAAAAATCAAAGATGTATATATATACAAATGGCCAAGAAGCACATGAAAGGATGCTCAGTATCATTAACCATTATGAAAATACAAATCAAAACCACAATGAGATACCACCACCCACCCATTAGGATGACTATTATCAAAAAATAAAACAAAAGACAGCAAAAGCTGGCAAGGATGCAGATAAATTAAAACCTTTGTGCATTGTAGGTGGGAATGTAAAATTGTGCTGCCACTGTGGAAAGCAGTAGATCAGTGCCTCAAAAAAATAAACATAGAGTTACTATATGATCCAGCAATTTCACTTCTGGGTATATACCCAAAAGGAGTGAAAGCAAAGGCCTAAACAAATATTCATCTACCCATGTTCATAGCAGCAATATTCACAATAGCTCTAATTGGAGCCATCCTAAATGCCCATTGATGGATGAGTGGATAAACAAAATCTGGTATATACACACATTGGAATATTGTTCAGTCTTCAAAAGGAAGGCTTTCTGGTATATGCTACAACATGAGTGAACCCTAAGACATTGTGAAAAATAAAGTCAGCCAGACTCAAAAAGGACAATTTTTTTTTTGACACAGAGTCTTGCTCTATTGCCTAGGCTGAAGTGCAGTGGCATGATCTCAGCTTACTGCAACCTCCACCTCCCGGGTTCAAGTGATTCTCATGCCTCAGCCTCCCAAGTAGCTGGGATTGCAGGTGTGCACCACCACGCCTGGCTAATTTTTTGTGTTTTTAGTAGAGATGGGGTTTCACCATGTTGGTTAGGCTGATCTTGAACTCTTGACCTCAAGTGATCCACCCGCCTCAGCTTCCCAAAGTGCTAGGATTACAGACGTGAGCCACTGCGCCCAGTCAAGGACAAATGTTTTATTACTCGACTTGTCTGGGGTACCTAGAGTAGCCAAATTCATGCGGACAGAAAGTAGAATGGTGGCTGCCGGGGACTGAGGAAAGAGAGGAGTAGGGCATTAGAGTTTAATGGGTACAGCATTTCAGTTAAAGAAGATGAAAAAATTCTAGAGATGGATGGTGGCAATGGTGCACAACAATGTGAATGTAGCTAATGCCACTGAACAGCAGACTTAATAATGATTAATGATCTAGGTAGGGTGGTGTGCACCTATGATCCTAGCTACTTGGGAGGCTGAAGCAGGAGGACTGCTTGAGCTCAGGAGTTTGAGACCAGCCTGGGCAACATAGTGGACCTCATCTCAAAAAAAAGAGAAAAACCAAAACCAAAACAAAACAACCACAACAATAACAAAAAGAAATTAAGATGTTAACTTTTATTTTATGTATATTTTACCACAATAAAATACTTATAAGAGCATGCAAGAACCTAATTACAGAATATTTTTCCCGTAAGATTTTTCTTAGGAATCCAATAGAGAATGAGCTTCAGGCCACCAAAATAACTGGAGAAACATGACACAAAGAAGTTGCCCTGGCCGGGTATGGTGGCTCACGCCTGTAATCCCAATACTTTATGAAGCCAAAATGTAGTATCATTTGTGCCCTGCCAGGAGTTTAAGACCAGCCTGGACAACATGGCGAGACTGTGTCTCCATATAAACTTTTTAAAAGTTTAAAAAAGAAAGAACTGTTGCCCTTTGTGCTGAAAGACCTAAAAATCATGATCAATTTAATATCAGTGAGCATCCTTAGGTTATGACTTTTGACTTTTTACCATTTCTCATAAGAGGAATCAAGTCTCCTGGGAAAAATAGTTGATTCTAAGCCCAGGGTAGAAAATATACAAAATGAACCTGGACAAGATGTTGTCATCCTCAGCAAGCGTGAAAGCTATTAGAAGCCAGGCTTGGCTGGGTGTGGTGGGTCATGCATGTAATCCTAGCACTTTGGGAGGCTGAGGTGGGTAGATCAGTTGAGGTCAGGAATTCGAGACCAGTCAGGCCAACATGGTGAAACACCGTCTCTACTAAAAATACAAAAATAGGACAGGCACAGTGGCTCGTGCCTGTAATCCCAGCACTTTGGGAGGCTGAGGCGTGTGGATCACCTGAGGTGAGGAGTTTGAGAACAGCCTGACCAACATGAAGAAACCCTGTCTCTACTGAAAATACAAAATAAGCCGGGTGTGGTGGCACATGCCTGTAATCCCAGCTACTTGGGAGGCTGAGGCAGGAGAATTGCTTGAACCTGGGTGGTGGAGATTACGGTGAGCCGAGATTGCACCATTGCACTCCAGCCTGGGCAACAAGAGTGAAACTCCGTCTCAAAAAAAATACAAAAATTAGCCAGGCATGGTGGTGCATGCCTGTAATCCCAGCTACTTGGGAGGCTGAAGCAAGAGAATACTTGGAAGGCTACTTGGGAGGCTGAAGATGAGAATCGTTTGAACTCAGGAGGCAGAGGCTGCAGTGAGCCAAGATTGCACCATGCACTCCAGCCTTGGCGACAGAGGGAGACCCTGTCTCAAAATAAAACAACTATCCAAGAACTGGCTTGCATAGATTTCCACTGGCCAAATAAGATAATTGAGGATCAATAAAGATAATAACTGCAATGACTTGAAAACACTTTAAGTATGTTTAAATCCATTAGATCACAAAGGTACAAAAAGTTAAAAATAAAAATATACTATTTTTCTTTGAAGAATGCAAGTGAACTAACTCATTACTTTGAAACAAACAAAAAAAGAATGTTATATTTTCTATACAAATTGTTCTTTAGGGTAATCAAATAGTCAGTGAGCGAAAATGTGTCTTTTTAGAAACATTCCAGCTTAGAAAAAATAATCAAAATAAAATATCACCATTTTGTTACCTCTAATAAATTAGTAAATCTTTGCATTATTCAGATAAAGAAAACAATTTATGAAATAATCCCAATTTATTACACTCCTCTCATAAATTTTATTTTTTAACAGTGTAAACATCTAATTCTTAACTTGAAATGATAAGACCCCCAAGGTTGAGTTTCAAAAAATGATTTTGAGTATGTGTAATGCTATTCACACACCCTGGTATTATGCCTCACTTTTATAAAGCATTTTGTTTGTGGCTTATGTTCAGCTGGCAATAAACACACATTCATCAAATATCTTTTATGTGGAAGGCAATATTCCAGGTGTTGTGGGACCTTACACCTGCCCTGATGAATTTGCAGTATTGAAGAGATTTATTTATTCGGTATAGTATATGCCAAAAAAAATATGCTAAGCACTGGAGATACTGAGATAAACAAAATACAGTCACCTTGAGGAGTTACAGTCTTGTAGTGGTGACAGATGAGTAAACGAGGTTGCAGTAGAGTGTAACAACCCATATTATGTGTTAGATACTGCAGTAAGTGCTCAGGGCGAAGATTTATTTGTTTACTTCACAAATGACTACTGAGTGCTTACTACGTGCCAGATACTGTTCTAGTCTAGATGTCAAGGATATTGCAGTGAACATAACAGGTAAAACATCTCCACCTCCATGTATCTCATATTCTTTTTGAGGGATAGAGACAAACCTAGCATGCCAGATGGTGATAAGTACTTGAAGAAAAACTAAGCCAGGGCAGAGGATAGATAGTAGAGAGGGCAGGGAGGGACTCACAATCTAGTGATGGGAAAACCATGAACAGATACTTTTTAAAAATCAAAGTCAAGTCTTCACAGATAATATATATGGACTATTTTCTACATATACCAGGAGGGGCGCCCAATCTCAGCTTGGAAAAGGGGAACGTCAGGGAAACTTCAGACGTGGAAGTGTCTGACCTGAGTCTTGAAGAATGCCATGAAGAGGTATTAGTAGCAGGGAGCAAGACCCAGCAGAAGGAACAGCATGTGGAAATACTGGGATCTATGAGATAGCATGGGGCATCTAGGGAACTGAGTAATTCAGAATGTGGTAAGAGATGAAGGTGGCAGGTTAGGGTACTATGGGCCATGGTGGCGAACATAAGTTTTATCTGGAAGCCTACAGAGAATTATTTATTTTTAAATTGTGTGGAAACAATAATAATTAGATTGTATTAGGTTGGTGGTACAAAAGTAATTGTGTTTTTTGCCTTAAAAATGGCACACACAAAAATCACAATTACTTTTGCATCGACCTAATATTTCAGAAAGGTCATTTTTTGTTTGTTTGTTTGTTTGTTTGCTCTATGGGACTAATTGAAAGAAACCAAGGTCAGAAGCAGGGAGATAAGACTAATAAGTCCTAAAGAAATGATAAGGTCTGAAGTAAGTCACTGGCTGTAGGGGTAGAAAGGAGACCCATTTGAGAAATGCTTAAAAGCAAATAAACAAGATTTGGTGGCCAATGGTATGTGGGGTTTGAAGGAGAGAGAAATCAAGGATAATGCCAAGACTTAAGGCTATGGTGAGTAGGTCCCATTTACTAGATTAAAGAGCTCAGAGGTGAACAAATTTAAGGGAAAGAATAATTCCATTTGAGACTTGTTTACTTTGGAGCACTTGTGGATATCCCAGTGAAGCTGTCCAGGAGATATAGCAATTCTGGAACTTAGGAGAAAAATCTCAACCTGGCATATATATTTGGAAGTATCAGCCTAAAATGGACAGATAAAACCATGGACATGGATGAAATCATGAAGGAAAACGTAAGATATAAAGTGGGAAGAGGAGAAAGGATGGACCTGCCAGGAATAACCAGCAGAGACACCCAAGTAGTGAGCCATGAGCCTTGGGTGAGACTCTAAGACTGATGGCTTCAGGTGAGACTCAGTACATTCCCATCTGTTGTAGTTATGGGGATAGACTCCTTCTGCTTGAGAAAAGTGGAGAGAAAAGTAAAGGAGATTTGTTTTGCCCTTAAGTATCAGCTCAGCCATTTGGGGGTAGAGCACCAAGCAGGTTTTTGAGGTCCCCACTTCTAAGACTTGGCTCTTGGATGGCATTTCTGGACCTGCTGTGGGCCAGAGGGAGCTCACTGTTCTGAAGGGTGAGTTCCAGGCCAGGCTGCATTTGCCACAAGCTGACTGAAAACCCCTTGGGTCTTAAGGGAACATCAGTGGTAGCCTGGCAGTATACCCTGTGGGCCTATGGTGGTGGTGGTCATGGAGTGAGGCTCCTCTGCCTGTAGAAATGGGAGGGGAAAATGGGAAGGACTGTGTCTTGTTGTTTGAGTGCCAGTTCAGCTGCACTACAATAGAACACCAGGTACACTTCTAAGGTTTTTGACTCCAGTCCCTGGCTCGCAGACTGTACCTCTGGACCTGCCCAGGGACCGGGGGAGCTTGCTACCCTGAAGGGAAGGACACAAACCTGACTGGCTTCACCACCTGCTAATTGTAGAGCCCCAGGGCCTTGAGCCAACAAAGGTGATAGCCAGGTAATGGTTACAGCAGGCCTTGGGCAAGTCTCAGTGATGTGCTGGCTTCAGGCCTGACCAAGCACAATGCCAGTGGTGGTGCCCACAGGGGTGCTTTTGTTGCCCTACACCCAGCTCCAGGAACCTTAGAACAGAGAGAGAGAGAGAGAGAGAGAGAGAGAGAGACTCTGTTTGGGAGAAAGTAAAAGAAGAGAACAAGAATATCTGTCTGGTAATCCAGATAATTCTTCCAGATCTTATCCAAGACCACTAATGGTCCCTTCATGAGTCTGCAAGAACCACAGCATTACTGGGCTGGGGGTGTCCCCTAATGCAGATAAGGCTTAGATAAAAATATTCCCAAGTCCTTTCAAATACCTGAAAATAGCTGTACCCAAGAAGGATGGGTACAAGCCCAGACTGTGAAGACTATAATAAGTATCTAACTTTTTTTTTTTTTCTTTTTTTTTTTTGAGACGGAGTCTCGCTCTGTCACCCAGGCTGGAGTGCAGTGGCGCGATCTCGGCTCACTGCAAGCTCCGCCTCCCAGGTTCATGCCATTCTCCTGCCTCAGGCTCCCGAGTAGCTGGGACTACAGGCGCCCGTCACTGTGCCTGGCTAATTTTTTTGTATTTTTAGTGGAGATGGGGTTTCACCATGTTAGCCAGGATGGTCTCGATCTCCTGACATCGTGATCCTCCTGGGATTACAGGCGTGAGCCACCGTGCCTGGCCAATACCTAACTCTTTAATGCCCAGACACAGAAAAACATCCACAAGCATCAAGACCATCAAGGGAAACATGACCTTACCAAATGAACTAAACAAGCCACCAGGAACCAATCCTGGAGAAACAGAGATATGTGACCTTTCAGACAGATAATTCAAATAGCTGTTTTGAGGAAACTCAAACAAATCCAAGATAACACAGAGAAGGAATTCAGAATTCTATCAGATAAATTTAATAAAGAGATTGAAATAATTAAAAAGAATCAAGCAGAAATTCTGCAGTTGAAAAATGCTATTGACATACTGAAGAATGCATCAGAGTCTTTTAATAGCAGAATTGATCAAACAGAAGAAAGAATTAGTGAGCTTCAAGACAGGCTATTTGAAAATACACAGTCAAGACAAAAGATAAAAGAATGAAGCATGCCTACAAGATTAGAAAGTAGCCTCAGAAGGGCAAATCTAAGAGTTATTGGCTCTAAAGAGGAGGTAGAGACAGAGATAGGGGTAGAAAGTTTATTCAAAGAGGTAATATCAGAGATCTTCCCAAACCTTGAGAAAGATATTAATATCCAAGTACAAGAAGGTTATAGAATTAGGTCCAACGTTTTTTAAGTTGGACCTAAAGGTTTTTCTGTACATCATGAGCTATAAGTGGAGGTGTAACCAGACTGTAGCCTACACTTGTGCCAGTCACTGAGTTTTGGTCAATCAAATGTAACCAACTGTTTGAACTGTGTTCAAATAAGGCAAAAGCCAAGCTGTAACCAATCCAGCTGTTTCTGTGCCTCACTTACATTTTCTGTACATCACTTTCCTTTTTCATCCACCATGTGGCTGTTCTGGAATCTCCAAGCCAACTCTGGCTGGGAAGGCTGCCTGATTCGTGAATCATTTATTGCTCAATTAAACTCCTTTAAATTTAATTCGGCTGAAATTTTTCTTTTTTCAACACCAAGCAGATTTAAACCAAATAAGACCACCTCAAGGCATTTAATAATCAAACTCCCATAGGTCAAGGATAAGGAAAGGCTCCTAAAAACAGCAAGAGAAAAGAAGCAAATAACATACAATGTTATCAGCTTAAAATGATGAGTTATAAGATAGTATTTGCAAGCCTCATGGTAATCTCAAATCAAAAAACATAGAACAGATACACAAAAAAGTAAACAGCAAGAAATTAAATAATACCACCAGAGAAAATCACTTTACTAAAAGGAAGACAGGAAAAAAGACCACAAAACAACTCGAAAACAAATCACAAAATGGCAAGAGTAAGTCCCTACTTATCAATAATAACATTGAATGTAAATGGACTAACTCTCCAATCAAAAGACATAGAGTGGCTGAATGGATTAAAAAAACAAAACCCAGTGATCTGTTGCCTATAGAAAACATACTTCACCTGTAAAGACACATAGAGACTGACAATTAAGTGATGGAAAAAGATATTCCATGCCAATGCAAGCCAAAAAAGTGCCAGAGTCACTACATTTATATCAGACAAAATAGATTTCAAGACAAAAACTATAAGAAGAGACAAAAAAAGGTCACTGTATAATAATAAAGGGGTCAATTCAGTAGGAGGATACAACAATTTTAAATATATATGCACCCAATACTGGAGCACCCAGATATATAAAGCAACTATTACTAGAGCTAAAGAAAGAGACAAATCCCAATACAATAATAGCTGGAGATTTCATGATCCCACTTTTAGCACTGGACAGATCTTTGAGACAGAAAATCAACAAAGAAACATCAGACTTTGTCTGCACCATAAACCAAGTGGATCTAATAGATATTTACAGAACATTCCATCCAACTGCTGCAGAATATACATTCTTTTCTTCAGTACATGAATCAGTCTCAAGGATAGGCCATATGTTACCACAAAACAAGTCTTAAAACATTCATAAAATTGAAATAATATCAAGCATCTTCTCTGACCACAGCGGAATAAAACTAGAAATCAACATCAAGAGGAATTTTGGAAAGTATACACGTGGAAATTAAACAATATAATCCTGAATGACCAATGAATCAATGAAGAAATTAAAAAGGGAATCAAAAACTTCTTTAAACAAATGATAATGGAAATACAGTAGAACAAAACCTATAGGAAACAGTGAAAGCAGTACTAAGTGGGAATTTTATAGCTATAAGTGCTTATATGAAAAAAGAAGAAAAACTTTAAATAAACAACTTAATGATGCATCTTAAACATAATTAAACTAGACAAAAGCAAACCAAACCCAAAATTAGTAGAAGAAAAGAAATAATAAAGATAAGAACAGAAATAAATGTATTTGAAATGAAGAAAACAATACAAAAGATCAATGAAACAAAAACGTGGGTTTTTTCAAAAGATAAACAAAATTGACAAGACTTTAGCCAAACTAAGAAAAAAAGAAAGAAGACCCAAGCAAATAAAATCAGAGATGAAAAAGGAGACATTACAACTGATACCACAGAAATTCAAAGGATCTTTAGTGTCTATTATGAGCAACTATATGTCTTATTTATTTTATTTATTTATTTATTTTGAGAGGGAGTCTCGCTCTGTCGCCCAGGCTGGAGTGCAGTGGCGTGATTTCGGCTCACTGCGAGCTCCGCCTCCCGGGTTCACGCCATTCTCCTGCCTCAGCCTCCCGAGTAGCTGCGACTACAGGCGTCTGCCACCACACCCGGCTAATTTTTTGTATTTTTAGTAGAGACGGGGTTTCACTGTGTTAGCCAGGATGATCTCGATCTCCTGACCTCGTGATCCGCCCGCCTAAGCCTCCCAAAGTGCTGGGATTACAGGCGTGAGCCACCGCGCCCGGCCGGGCAACTATATGTCAATAAATTAGAATACCTAGAAGAAATGGATAAATTCCTAGACACATGCAACCTACCAAGATTGAACCATGAAGAAATCCAAAACCTGAACAGACCAATAACAACTGATAAGATCAAAGCCATAATAAAAAGTCTCCCAGCAAAGAAAAGCTCAAGACTTGATGGTTTCACTGCTGATCTCTGCCAAACATGTAAAGAAAGATACCAATCCTACTTAAAACTATTCTGAAAAATAGAGGAGGCAATACTTCCAAACTCCTTCTATGAGGCCAGTCTCACTCTGATACCAAAATCAGACAAAGACATATCAAAAAAAATATATAGGCCAATATCACTGATGAATATTAATGCAAAACCCTCAACAAAATACTAGCAAATCAAATTCAACAATATATTAAAAATATCAGTAATTATGACCAAGTGTAATATATCCCAGGGATACAAGGATGTTGATATGATACATTAAGCAACAGAATAAAGAACAAAAACCATATGATCATTTCAATTGATGCTGAAAAAACATTTGATAAAATTCAACATCTCTTCATGATAACTCTCAAAGAAATAGAAAGAACATATCTCAACATGATAAACGACATAAGCAACAAACCCACAGCTAGTATCATACTGAATGGGGCAAACCTGAAAGCCTTTCCTCTAAAATCTGGAACAAGACAAGGATGCCCACTTTTACCAGTTATTCAGCTTAGTACTAGAAGTCCTAGCAGGAGCAATTAGACAAAAGAAAGAATAGAAATAAAGGGCATCCAAATTTGAAAGAAAGAAGTAAAATTATTAACATTTGCAGATAATATGATCTTATATTTAGAAAAACCTAAAGACTCCACCAAATCTCTATTAGAACTGATAAACAAATACAGTGAAGTTTCAGGATACAAATCAACATACAAAAAAGAGTAACATTTCTATATGCCAACAATGAACAATCTGAAAAAGCATTGTAATCCCATTTGCAATAGCTAAAATAAAATAAAATAAAATAAAATACCAGGGTTTTAACTTAGCCAAAGAAGTGAAAAATCTTTACAATGAAAACTATAATTGATGCAAGAAATTGAAGAAGACACAAAAAATGGAATGATATTCCATGTTCATGGATTGAAAGAAATCAATATTGTTAAAATGTCTGTATTATCCAAATCAATCTACAGATTTAATGCAATCAATTCCTGTCAAAATACCAATGACATTCTACAAAAAATAGAAATAACAATCCTAAAATTTATATGGAAACACAAAAGACTCAGAATATCCAAAGCTATTCCAAGCAAAAAGAACAAAACTGGAGGAATCACCATTACCTGATTTTAAATTATACTACAGAGCTACCTATAGTAAACGAAATGGCATGGTACTGGCATAAAAAGAAACACAAAAATCAATGGAACATAATAGAGAACCCAGAAATAAATCCATAAATCTACAGTGAATTTATTTTTGACAAAAGTGCCAAGAACACATATTAGAGAAGGATAATCTCTTCAATAAGTGGTACTGGGGAAAGTGGATATATACGCCAAAAAAAAAAAAAAAAATGAAACTAAACCCTTATCTCTCACCACATACAAAAATCAAATATAAATACATTAAAGACTTAGAATCTGATACCTGAAACTATGAAACTACTGTAAGAAAACATTGGGGAAACTCCAGGACATTGGACTGGGCAAAGAATTCTTGAATAATACCCTACGAGCATAGGCAACCAAATTGAAAATGGATAAATGTGATAACATCGAGTTAAAAAGCTTTTGCACCCCAGCCTGGGCGACAGAGTGAGACCCTGTCTCAAAAAATAAAGCACAAACAAACAAAGAACCTTTTGCACAGCAAAGGAAACAATCAACAAAGTGAAGAGACAACTCACAGAATGGAAAGAATGGGAAAAAATATTTGCAAAATGCCCATCTGACAAGAGATTAATAACCAGAATATATAAAGAGCTCAAACAACTCTATAGGAAAACATCTAATAATCTGATTTTAAAATGGACAAATGACCTGAGTAGATATTTCTCAGAAGAAGGCAAACAAATGGCAAACAGGTGTGTGAAAAAGTGCTCAACATCATTGATGATCAGAGAAATGCAAATCAAAACTACAATGAGATATCATCTCACCCGAGTTAAAATGACTTTTGTCCAAAGACAGGCAATAACAAATGCTGGTGAGGACATGGAGAAAAAGAAACGCTCATACACTTTTGGTGGGAATGTAAATTAGTGCAACCACTATGGAGAACAGTTTGGAAGTTCCTGAAAAAAGAAAAATAGAGGTATCATGTGATCCAGCAATCCTCATTGCTAGGTGTAATATATACCAAAAAGAAAGGAAATCAGTATATCAAAGAGGTATCTGCACTCTCATGTTCGTTGCAGCACTATTCACAATAGCCAAGATTTGGAAGCAACCTCAGTGTCCATTAATAGGTGAATGGATAAAGAAAATGGGGTACTTACATTCTCATTAAAAAAGAAATGAGATCCTGTCATTTGCAACAACATGGATGGAACTGGCGGTCACTATGTTAAGTGAAATAAGCCAAGGACAAAAAGACAAACTTTACCTGTTCTTACTTATTTGTAGAAGCTAAAAATTAAAATAATTGAACTCATGGAGGTTGAGAGTCGAATGATGATTACCAAAAGACGGGAAGGGTAGTAGGGGTCAGGGGATGGGAGTGGGGATGGTTAAAGGGTACCAAAAAATAGTTAGAAAGAATAAGACCTAGTATTTGATAGCACCACAGGGTAAGTCTGAAGTAATTTAATTGTACATTTTAAACTAACTAAAAGTATACTTGGATTGTTTATAACACAGAGGATAAATGCTTGAGGGGATGGATACCCCATTCACCCTGATGTGATTATTATGCATTGCATGCCTGTATCAAAATATCTCATGTAGTCTATAAATATATACACCTACTTTGTACTGACAAAAATTAAAAATAAAAAAGAGGAGAAAAAATACAAAGATTAAGCTAAAAGAATACACTGGATTTGGTAGCAAATAGGTCACTGGTAACCTTGATGAGAAAAATTTCGGGGCAATGATGAAGATGGAAGCCATATGGTAGCATGTTGTGGTATAAATGGGGTATGAAAAAAATACAGAAATCTTTTCAGTGCCTTGGTGTGAGGGGAAAAGATAAAACAGCCAGAAGTCAAGTGGGGTAGAAGGGTCATGGTAGGCTTTTTGACCATTAAACCTTTTATACTTCAAAAGCTCGTAGAGATCTGAACAGGAAAAGAAGAGAATTGAGGGAGAAAGTATCTTGTGAATTGGGAAGAAGACAGAATCCAAAGCTTGAGTGGAGGAAAGATACAAACATGGCAAATTTAAAAATGCATACAAATTAAAAAGTCAACTATAGAAACAAGTATTCATTGCAAACAAGAATTCAGGTATTCATTGAAACAAGTATTCATTGCATCTGGCCAAAAAGTTTCAGTGTTCAGAAAAAGACTAAATCATTTGGACGGGTCTAGGAATGTTCTTTTAGAGGATTACTCTGAAAGTGTGTTAGGTGAAGGTGAAGAAACAGAGCAAGAGCATTCGAGGTGAAAGGACAACAGAAGTAGTGGTTTATGATGAGAAAAAGGCCCTGTATCTTTTAAGCCATGCTCCGAATTTATCAAATGTGGAAAATTTCAGCCATTGTTTCTTTAAATATTTTTTTCTGTCCCCATCTTCCTTTCTTCACCCTTTGGAACTCCAATTATACTTGTTATGCTACTTGATGTTGCCCATAGCTTGCTCACTGATGGTCTATTCATTTTTTCCCCCAACTGTTTTATTGTTTGGTTGGTTTTGCTTCTTTCTTTGTTTTTAAGATAGGATCTCAGTGTGTCACCCAGGCTGGAGTACAGTGGCATGATCGTAGCTCACCGGAGCCTCAGCTCCAGGGCTTAAGCAATCCTCCCACATCAGCCTCCCAAGTAGCTGGGACTACAGGTACACACCACCATGCCCAGCCAACATTTTTATTTTTTGTACAGACAGGGTTTGGCAATGTTGCACAGGCTTTCCCCCAATGTTTTAGTCTCTGTGTTTCGTTTTAGGTAGTTTCTTTTCTTTCTTTTTTTTTTTTTTAGATAGTCTCACTCTGTCACTCAGGCTGGAGTGCAGTGGCTGTGATCTTGGCTCGCTGTTGCCTCTGCCTCCCAGGGTCAAGCAATTCTCCTGCCTCAGCCTCCCAAGTAGCTGGGATTATAGGCATGCACCACCACATCTGGCTAATTTTTGTATTTTTAGTAGAGACAGGCTTTCACCATGTTGGCCAGGCTAGTCTCGAACTCCTGACCTCAGATGATCCGCCTGACTCAACCTCCCAAAGTACTGGGATTCCAGGCATGAGCCACCACACCCAGACTTCATTTTAGGTAGTTTCTATTATGAACTTCTAGTCCGTTGCTCTTTTCTTCTTGTGATGTCTGATCTGCTGTTAATTTCAGCTACATTCAGTGCACTTTTCAACTCTAGAGGTTTGACTTGGGTCTCTTTTCATAGCTTCCATTTCTCTTCTTGTCACGCTCATGCTTTCCTCATACACTTTAAACATATGGGATAAATTTATACTAGCTGTTTTAATGTTGTTGTCTACTAATTCCATCACCTATGTCACTGAGTCTGCTCCTATTGATTTTCTTCCCATCATGGATCTTATGTTCCTGCTTCCATGCATGTCTGGTAATTTTTTATTTAATGTCAGATATTGTAAACTTATTTTTTGAGAGATGCTGGATATGTTTGTAATCCTTTCAATATTTTTGGTCTTTGCACAAGAATGCAGTTAAATTACTTGCAAACAGGCAAGTAATTTAGCGGGTAACCCCAGCACTTTGGGAGGCTGAGGCAGGTGGATCACTTGAAGTCAGAAGTTTGAGACCAGCCTGGCCAACATGGCGAAACCCTTTCTCTATTAAAAATACAAAAATTAGCCACTGGGCATGGTGGCACATGCCTGTAATCCCAGCTACTCAGGAGGCTGAGGCACGAGAATCACTTGAACCCAGGAGGCAGAGGTTGCAGTAAGCTGAGATCACACCACTGCATTCCAGCCTGGGCAACAGAGTGAGACTCCATCTGAAAAAAAAAAAAAATTACTTGAAAACGGTGTGATGTTTTCAAGGCTTGCTCTTTAGCTTTGTTTGGTGGGTGCAGAACAGCCTTTAGTCTCGGGATAATTTGACACTACTATTGAGGCAATATCCTTTGGAAGGCTCCACTCAGTTTCTTTTGTGTTAAGAAGTCTTTCTACTGTAGCTCATGGGAACGTAAAATATTCCCAGCCCTGTGTGTGCTCCAAGTATTGCTCTACCTGCTCCTTTTCAGTGGTTTCTTCTCGAGCTTGATAATTTCCTCAAATTTATGCACTAATTATTACTCACCTAAAGACTCAAAGGGACCCTCTGCAGATATCTGGAGCTCTCTCTCTCTCTCTCTCTCTCTCATTGCAGCTTCCTTCTATCCTGTACTTCGCCCCTCTATGAAGTCTAGCTGCCTTGGCCTCTCTGAACTCTGAATTCTGTCTCTTCAGCTCAGGGAGATCACCAAACTAGGCTAGTTCCCATTCCTGTGCAGTGACCTGGAAATTCTTTAGCCAGTAATCTGGGTCATTCTTCAGGTTCATCCTGGCTTTTTTTTCCCTTTCGGGGGAATGCCTTTTTTCTAATGTCTGAAAATCATTGTCTCATAGATTTTTGACCAATTTTTAATTTTTTAAGAAAGGAGGGCAAATTTTGTTCTGGCTACTCTATTATGGCCATAAGTGAAACTTCAATGTTTTAACTTCAATTAGAGTCTTAAATTTAGTTAGAATGTGAGCTTATTGAAATTAAGCTAGCACCTAGAATAGAACTTGGCACATAGTAGACATTCATTAAATATTTTTTGAATGAATGAGGTCTGCTTCCTTCAGTATTGTCCTCAATAAACTTTTTTTCTTTTACTTCTAACCATTTCTCTAACCATTTGCATTTAGGAAGTAAACATTATCAGTTCCATTTACTCTCCTGAAATATTGACTCTCCTATATCCATCTTGGTGTGGTTAACATACTTCCATAAAATTTATTTTTTTAATTTTTTTTTCAGAAACGGGTCTCATTATGTTGCCCAGGCTGGTCTTGAACTCCTGGGCTCAAGTGATCCTCCCACGTTGGCCTTCCGATGTTTTGGGATTACAGGCATGAGCCAATGCAACCGGCCTTCCATAGAACTTTTAAAATGTTTAGAAAAAAATTTCCAAGAGAGGACCTAAATAAACTGTAGATTCCTCTGTTTGACTTAATCTGCTGATATCTTTGTGAGCAGAATCTCTCATCAGTTGTGTACCCATCAAACAGTAGTCTAATCCAGTGGCCTAAATTTTCCTCAGAGGAAATGATTCGTACATCTGATCTGCCAAAATAATTTAGCGTGGCCCTGGTCTCACATTATAATTTATGCTCTGAACACTAGAAAGTGCTAGAGAATGGCTAGTATTGGCATATTGCCTCTGTCTCTTACACGCTACCAGGCTACCTGCTTAAAAAAAAAATGTCTTGGGTAAAATTGTCTCTTAAATCAGAAGAATAAAGTAAATTCAGTTCAAAGTTATTAACTGTGTTAGCACATAGTAGGCATTTAGGCTCCCTCCATCCTCACTACAGCTGGTCTTCTTTTATCCCTACTGGCATGTTTGTAATTTGAAATGACAAGAGTTGAATTGCATACATCATTCCAGCATTAAAAGAAAAAATAACACTTTATTTGGATTAAAAGAATCAGATGTGAATTAAATGAAAATGAATTTTAAGTGAAAATAATTTCACTTAAATATATTCTCTTAACATATTCTCCTCAACTTAAAGTGGAATTTAGTGAGAGTACCAGCAGACAGCCACAGCATAAACGACTTATCACCGCTGCTTTTAAAGGGAGCATTTCCTGATGTATTGCTTTTGCTCTACATTTATTTTTTACTTTAGAATAATAAATCTAGATCCTTAAGTCCTAGAAGGAATTGGCTTCACTTAACAACTTGAATTGTAGTCCCTAGACTCCGAGGGCTTATCACTAGCAAGATAGATCAGGACTGGAAGTATGATTTGTTTAGAGAGGTTTTTGGATATTTCTTTTCAGTTTTCAATGAAGAAGAGCAATAAGTTTGCTTATTTGGGCTTACTGTTGAGTCAAAGTTAAAACACACAGCCTTTTTTTTTTTTTTTTTCTGAGACATAGCATGTTAATAACTGAAAGTTTTCTTCTAGGTGAGATGCTCAAGTCACAATTTAGCTCTTATTATACATTGCCCTCACAGTAACCATACATTTCTGGAAGCGATCTCACTTTAAACAGTTGAAACCGAATGGAAATGAAAAGGATCTCTTAGAGTTTCTTATGTTTAAGTAAAAGAATGCAATTATTTTTCAACTTTAGGAACTACACTGCCCAAACAGGCTAGTAAAGCAATGATAGTAGTAGCAAAACACAACTCTGTAAATTTAATTTATTAGCAGAAACTTAGTTTGATTTTCCAGATGAAAAAGTGCTGAAACATTTCGAGCACAAAACTTCCAAGGTGCAGGTGGATGTCATCCATCACATGGGGGTGGAAGGGCCAAGTTTAATTTATTTTTCCCTCCTTTTATTTGTACTAATAATTTGAGGGCAGAGCTTTTCAATGTTGACTGTAATTATTAGGCCAAGAGATTTTAGTCGACAAGGTTACAACATTCAGTGCAGAGGAAAACCGGGACAAATCAAAGTCAAAATAAGTTTCTCCTGGAACTATTACACGAGTGGGAACAGCTTGTTCATTAATTGCACAGATGAAGTCATTTTTGTTGTGCTGATATTAAAGGCTTGACATGAGAATCTTTCAGTCCCATCTCGCTCTGCAATATAACCCTGGTGACAGGTATTTAGGAACTGCCCGTTCTTCCAAAATGTTCACTGTCTACCAAGTACTATCAGACTGTCCATATACATAGTTAAACTGCTCCCAACTTTTTTAAAGCACCGCAGACCTTCCATGTGGTAGGCACGCCTCAGGTTGTAACTCTTCCCTTTGAATTGGATAGTCATTATTTAACTTTTGAATTTTTTTTTTGCTTGCTTACACTTCAGAAACAGTGAATAATGCTTTGCTTTTTTAAAGAGACCACTTCTATTTAAAAGCAAACTTACTTCCTAAATGCAAAGAGCCTTGCAAAATGTAGTTAAATACTTTACAGGATGT
The DNA here is from genome assembly GCF_000001405.40 of Homo sapiens. NCBI lineage: Eukaryota > Metazoa > Chordata > Mammalia > Primates > Hominidae > Homo > Homo sapiens. The sequence goes on along the minus strand of NC_000012.12, from coordinate 101,982,054 downwards.
CTCAGACCCTTGCTTAAGTTTATTTTCATTGGTGGAGACTCCTTGGGGCTATTTCACATTCTGTTCAATGCTAACACGTACCAAATTTGTAGAATCATGGGAGATTGTTGGTATGAAGCAGGAAGGTTTGCAAAATTAAGACAAATTAAGCTGAATGTCAGTGTTATGACCAAACATGACAATTTCCACTAGTCCACAGGAAAGTAATAATAATTGGAAGCCCTGCAGTTGAATCCAGGAATGCCCTTTCTGAAGTTGCTTGCTGTTTACCAATGTGAAAGCAAAATGATCCTTCAAGTACTGTTTCTTGAGAATTTGCTATTGTTATGTGATCTTCTAATAGAGATATTGGCTCCAAGCTCTTTGCAAGAGTATTTTGCAATAACCTCTTCTTTAAAAAGGTTGACTCGATGTGAACATGTCAGACTACAACTTGCCTGACATGAAAGTTATTATTATGAGACCTTTTCCCCTCCTTGACTTTTTTGCTTTTTAATGTCCCCAAATAATAAACCATCTCAAATTTCTTGTTTAAATAATTTTTATAATATGCAAACTGTACTGAACACCATGGCTATCAAAACGAGCCTGCAGTTGCACTGATCTCCATGGAAACATTAAAATGCAGATAAACAATCCTAGACAATAGATAAGAATGCATTAACCTGTTTATTACAGTTTGAATTTCTTCCTAGTACACATATTGGCAAGTTCCCTAAGAGGAAAAAAGTTCAGAAAAATCAGAGGAAATAGAGCAATTTTATGATTGCAATATGAACTTTCTATAGAAGTTCTGACCAATAGTATAATAGGCCATAGAAGTTATTTTAATTTTGTCTAAAAGCTATATTTTTCAAAGTAAAAAGAAACATTTATTTTTATAATATATGTTATTTAACCCAATATATCTGAAATTGTATTCAACACGTAGCTGGTACAAAAAGCAGTAATGAAACATTTTATACTTTTTTCTCATATTAAGTCTTTGAAATATGGTAAACTGTATTTGACACTCAACGGCAAATCTGAATTCAGACTAGTCACATTCAAATGCTCAATAGCCACATGTGGCTAGTGCTACCATGTTGGAGAGAGCAATTCTACAGGATAGAATTGCTTGACATATCTACTGCATTTAAAAAAGGAATAGAGTCTCTTTGGTGTATAGCCCTTGCAGTTTTCCCCTTGGACTTGTTTAGAAACTATATTATCCCCCTCACTGACCCCCAAGGACCTGATATGTTCCTGTCCAGAATGATTAGGGTGCTATGCATGTTACAAGATGGCATTTTGCTTCCCTTTGTCTTCTATATTAAAATTGTGCCCCAAGCCAAAAGTGAATCTTGGTTGCTGGCTGTAATATTAATCTTCTGGAATCTTTCCCACTTCAAGGCCTCTGTTCCCACAACCTACTGCTGAAGCTGATTTGAACCTAAGAGGAGGCTCATCCAATTCTGATGGGCCAAAAGCTGTTGTCAACATGAACAGCCTATTAGCGAGCACACATTGAGTGCCACTGTAGGCTGGTCAGTAGCTTCATTCATAACCTCATTTGCTCAGATCCTCATTTGCTTCCAGCAGCACATCAGTAGCGTAGTGTCCATCTAGTTCCCTAATTGTACAGCATCTCCCCATGCTCTCTCTGCAGGTGCTCCAGCCACATGGAAATCGCTTCTTGCCAGTTCTTGACCATGCCTTATCATTCTTATCACACCAGGTTTATATACGCAGTTTCCTTTGTCTAGAATGAACTTTTCCCTCTTATTTACAGGTCAAAATCCTACACATCCATTCTATGAAATCCAGTGCAGTGTCTTAGCTTCCCTACTTATTCCTGGTGAGTTGCCCTGCTAATCCAAAAACACCTTTGTTTCTGATGAGAGGATCTACAGCTACTTCCATGAGCTAGTCCAAAAATGCTCACACTTTGAAGAGCATTAATGCTTCCGTCTTATCAAGACTAGTCTCTTAGAAAAAGAAGTAAAAGCTTTATTTTAAAGGTTCACTTGGAAGCATTTGAAAAGAAGAATTAATACTTTTTACCATAGTCCTATCAAGAAGGGACTAAAAATGAGACATGGACCTTCTAATGCCTTTTTGTGGCCTGAATCCACATAAGCACTCATTTTGTGAGTATTAATTCTCTCTTTAGTATTTTTCAGTGTCGTTTCCGTTCATGTTTTTATTATTTTATTTTTATTTATTTTATTTTTGAGATGGAGTCTCACTCTGTCACCCAGGCTGGAGTGCAATGGCACAATCTCGACTCACTGCAACCTCCACCTCCTGGGCTCAAGCAATTCTCCTGCCTCAGCCTTCTTTGTAACTGGGATTATAGGTGCCCACCACCAGCCCAGCTAATTTTTGTAATTTTAGTAGAGATGGGGTTTCACCATGTTGGCCAGGCGGGTCTCGAACTCCTGAACTTAAATGATCCACCTGCGTTGGCCTCCCAAAGTGCTGGGATTACAGGTGTGAGCCACCAGGCCTGGCCTATTTCATTTATTTTATTTTTATTTATTTATTTTTTTTTTTTTTTGAGACGGAGTCTCGCTCTGTCACCCAGACTGGAGTGCAGTGGCGCAATCTCGGCTCACTGCAAGCTCTGCCTCCCGGGTTCATGCCATTCTCCTGCCTCAGCCTCCCAATTAGCTGGGACTACAGGCGTCTACCACCACGCCCAGCTAATTTTTTGTATTTTTAGTAGAGACGGGGTTTCACTGTGTTAGCCAGGATGGTCTCAGTCTCCTGCCCTCTGGATCCACCCGCCTTGGCCTCCCAAAGTGCTGGGATTCCAGGCGTGGCCCACCGCACCTGGCCTATTTTATTTTATTTTATTTTTTAAGACAGAGTCTCACTCTTGTCACCCAGGCTGGAGTGCAATGGTGTGATCTCAGCTAACTGCAACCTCCACCTCCCGGGTTCAAGTGATTCTCGTGCCTCAGCCTCCTGAGTAGCTGGGATTACAGGCATGTGCCACCAGGCCCAGCATTTATTCATGTTTTTACAGCAGAGGTATCAACAGTTCACTCTCATACCTAAGCATATTCCAGATCAAACTCATCACCATCTCTCTAAAACCTGTTCTTGTGGACTCTCTAAGTTATCAAAAGGACATTACTTGGAATTACACTCAATGTGTCCCTCTGTGTCACTCCTGACAACAAATACATTGCCAAGTTTTCTTATTCTACCTCTGCAGCATCGTTGGCAATTATTCCGCCTTGCTGTTTCCATTGCCAACATTCTAGTTCAGGCCCACATCACTTCTCACCTATACCCTTGGAATCACCTCTAGCCCTGTTTCCCTTCAACTCCTAAATTTCAACTTCTATCAAGGTGATGTTTCTAAGGCCCAGGTCTAAGCATGTTGCCTCCCAGCTCAAAAACCCTCAGCTCCTTCCCTTCACCTAATAAACACAGTCCAAATTCTTTAGCCTGATAGTCAAGGCCCACCCATGCTCTGACCCCAATATAACATTATAATGTGATCTCCTCCTACTCCCCTACAGGCTCTCCAGCCAAAATGTACTCATCAACTCCCAAATACACCCTACCCATTCTAGCATCTGGGTCTTGTCTGCAGTGTTCTTGTCCTTTCTTACTTCCCTAACTTCTCGCTGATTGAAATATGACACCATCCTTCAAGTCCCAGTCAAAGCTACTATCTCTTCCAGGCAGTCCTTCTGGATTTTTTTCAGCAGAAAATAATCTTTTGGTCTTTGTGTAGACTTTAGTTGTATCTCTATGATGACTTGCTCTGTAGTTTACATTGTAAGCTTGTTTGTGTGTGTAGTATGTGAGTATCTCATCACTGCCCAAATTATAAGATTCATTTCATTTGTTCAACTAATATTTTTATTGAGTATTTGTGCTGTGCTAATGCAATATAGAAAATGGTGAGCCAGACAGATATAGAATGTTCATTTTAGAGGGTCATCATACAGTGCCTAGCATGCATCTTGCACTTTGCAAACAATGTTATTTGTTGAATACCCGACTGAATTTATCTGAAACATATATATCCAGAAAGTTTTATTTTCAGAACAGAAAAGTAAGAATAGAGGATAAATTTAAAAGTCTTCGGAGCAGCCAAACTCGGCGTTCACAACATAGATGTGTTTGACTCTTGCCCAGTTTGGCCATGGAGACTCCGGCAAGCCCTCACACAGAGAGCCCTTTTCTCTTCGTTTACACACATTTCTAACAATAATAATCATGACAACAACCACAGTGAGCTTGGGCATCTGATTTCCAACTCATTTTAGATGAGAAGCAGCAAATTAGGATCAGGGAATAGAAATGGCACACTCACATGGACATCAGTGAGATGGACAGCGGCAAGGGAGGACTCAGAAGAGCCAAAAAAACAAAACAACAATAAAAACACAGAAATCTGCAGCCATTTAGAATAGGGACAAACAGTTCTGCAAACCTCAGAGGGGCCTGAGGGCTTCTCAGCGTTATAGGCTTTAATGACAACCCCGAGTCCTCTGGCTGGATCATGTTCATAATGCACTATTTGAGAACGCAGTTAAGTTTGCTATACTGGAAATGTTTCCATCCAAGATAATTAAAAGTAAAACTTTTGATGTTCAAAAAGATAAATCCTCAGCCATCCATTAAACTCACTTATCCAGAACAACTCTCACCCCACCCTGCACCCACAGCCTCTGGATTCAGGGTTTTATTGTGCTTCCCCGTACTACTTGATTCATTTGCCTTAGAACATTTGTTGGCTCTTGGCATCCAGTCCAATTTTCATTCAGTAAGTTTTATTCCCATTTGATGTGCACAATACTCTAAGAGAGCCAGTGGAGGACACAAAAGATTTTTAACATCTAGACCCTAGGCTTGTCTTGGGAATGCTCAGGGTCTAGTTGAAGAGATAAGACCTACAGCCTTGAACCAACATAAGGACACAATAGAGTGAGATAGATGTGAGTGCATGGTGAAACATGAAGTTTGTAATGAAGGATCATTTAGGAAAGGACTAGGGCTAATCAGGCAAGATTTCTTAAAGATGAGCCTCTCAGCTAGAAGTGGAAGATTGGGGGAGGGCATTTTGGGTAAAGAAAACAGCACAAGGAGGAGTATGTAGTAGAGGCAAGAAAGAGCAAATTGTGTTCAGGCAATGGTAAAGAGCCGGCCTGGCAGACTGGGGTTGAGGGGCCCCATTTGGATATAATAAGAGATAAGTTTAGAGCGTTTCCGTAATTTTGTACAAATCCCTGTGATCTTTCTAAGATCATGTCTTAGTTGGCTAGGGCTGCCATAACAAAATCCATAGACTTGGTGGCTTAAACCACAGACATTTATTTCTCACCATTCTGGAGGCTGGGAAGTCCAAGATCAAGATGCCAACCAATTCAGCTTCTGGTGAGATCTCTATTCCTGGTTTGCAGATGGCAGCCTTCTCACTATGTCCTCACATGGTTGAGAGAGACAGAGCAAGCTCTCTGGTGTTTCTTCTTATAAAGGCACTAATCCCATCATAAGGGCCCCAACCCTCATGATTTTGTCTAGCCCTAATTACCTAGCAAAGGCCCCATTGCCAAATAGCATCACATTAGGGATTAGGGCCTCAACATATGCATTTTTAGAGAACACAAACATTCATTTCATAACAGATCATGTGAATGTAAATTTCTGCATTGTATGAAAATCCCCCCAATCAAGTTTAATGTATAGACTGTTATTGTCTTCAATCACATCATTTTGCTAGAGAGTTTAAGTGACAGCTAATTGCAAACTACAGAGCTGCCTTGATTTGCCGTCTCTATGTTCATTTTACGAATACAACCATAGGAAATGTAAAGTTCTCCTTTGGCTAGACACCCTGGAGGATACCACATCTAGAAGACACCACCTAGTGAAGTGTGTGAAGTTTTGGGTGATGGTTAATAGATTCATGGGTAATTGGGTATGAACACAAATATTTTTCTAACACTTATCAACTAATAAGGACTGGAGACTTATCAGCCTGTTAAAATGAGGTTCTAACAGCTGTACTTTTACCTTTTTCACTAGACTATAGGCTGTGGGAGGATGAAGTGTTTTCCCTAGTGTCTAGCCCAGTGCCTACCAGCAAGATGGGATTTAGTATTACGTGAACAACTGAAAAAATGATTAAATGTAAAACCAATTTATTTGTTAACACTTGACTAAAGTAAAATCATGTATTTCTCAAAATAAACTTGGTCTGAATTGGCTGAGACTTTTGTGACTGCTGGATCATGCTTTTTGAACGAATTAGAAATAAACCACAAAATCAGGGATTTAAAAGTAATTCTTCACAAACGTGTTCGTTATAAATCCAATTCACGTATCCTGCTGAATTGGCTGCTTTGTGTAATTGAGGGCCAATTTCAACGTTCGCATGACAATGAAAATCTCAAGCTTAAATTTATTAATACGTTGCCTTGGCAGAACACCAGCCCTCTTAATAGCAAAATATGGAGAGAAAGGATATTAGTCTCCAAAGACTTGAGTTTGATTTTGAAAATAAGCTGATGTTCATTTTTTAAAAATCATTCATAAGAAGACATAACTGTGGAACTATAAAGTTATTTACATGGAAAATAATTTAAAGGACAGAACCAAACAAAATGTTAGTACAGTGTTTAGTTGGAGTTCCTGTTTAAGGAGAGCCCAAAGATAAAGATATTTAAGTGTTTTGGGGCCCACCTGAGCAATTCAAGTCTTGAATAGCTGCTAGCTCACTAATCAGATAACTCCTAATCTAGACATAACTGACAAATAATTTGCCAAATACACCAAGATATGAAGCAGAAGCACTGCGTGGTTAACCAGACAGATCCCAGCAAAAGAGATGACCACATTTCTAATAACTGTGGCTGTCATTTATTATCAGCACTATATCAAGTGCTGGACAGTCATCATTTTATTTAATACATACAAAACCCCTAATGAGCAGATGAGAAACAAAGGCTTAAAAATAGTGGAAATAAATTACCTCAAATCAACAAATCTTTAAACAAGAAAGCAGGATTTAAGCCCAAGATTGTTTAATGGCAAAGCCTTTGCTATTGACCACTCCATATTATTTTATTGTTTCTCAAAGGATGGTAGTTGAATTGGCAACATCAGCAACAACTGAGAATCTATCCCAAAGTCTCAAATTCTACCCAGGTCTACTGAATCAGAATCTCTGGCTATGAGACCTACAAGTTTGTTTTAACCACCTCTCCAGGAGATTCTAAAGCTCACTAAAGTGTGAGAAGTACACCTCTACTCTATTTCTCCAAGCTTAAGAAAATATATATAATATTTCACTTTGCCAGTGAAGATTCTTACAAAACCCAGAAAATGCATATCACATCCATTTCCTTGTTTAGGCTATGTGATCAATTGTCACTATAATTCCTACAAACAGAATATATAAAATGAGCTCCAAGGAAAATGACACGATAGCATTATTAACCACCTAAAATATGAACAAGGGCTACAATGATTGGAATTCTTTCAAGACCTGACTACACATATTGATTTGGGATTAAAACAGTATCACTTAGCTCACTCTCTAAGCTTTAACAGATAAAACAAAATTTTAATATAATCTGACAAATGAGTATCTTGCCAAGAGGGCAAGAAAAGTCAAGAGCAACCATCCAGTGTGCTGTGATGAAAGTGAAACACATGAAAATGACAATCTGAATTTCAATCTATTGCTATGAGTGGTTATCTTGCCAAATAATGAAATGTATTGACCCTAGTGCTGCGCTGTCATTGGCATGTTATACAGACATTGAAATTTTCTAAGCAAAGTTGCTGGAGGTCATTCAAATATTTATAATGGTGTAATAGGTGAACTGAAGACTCTCTTTCAAAAAATTGTTGTTCCAAATTCCTTGATGAAAAAATGTTTGGAATAAAGCAAAGTTTATATGCAAACTTATATGACTGAAATTGACTTTTGTTTCCCTGGGAATTTAAGAATCTTTTTTAATAGTTGAGAGCTGGTGTACAGCTGCAAGAGGATGTCTTAATAAGAACCCAATATTTATGCTTTCTTGATAGAACAAATGAGAGTTCGCGCTCTGTTTTCTATCTTACTTATGCTGAAAGCCTGGCAACGCTAGAATATAATACTTGCTCCTTCAAAATGTTTCTAAATTGTTGTTCACTGTTTTGTATTTCATCTCAGTGCTGCTTTATTTATAATATTATTAAACCTCAAAGAAACCCATATGGTGGAAGAGAATGAAGAAATTTTGTGATTTCACTGTTTTATTCCTTTATGAAAGAACTGACTTGAAAGTGAAAATTGTTTTAGTCTGCTTTTTATTCACAAGGACTGTGTCCCTGCTTTGCAATGGGATGGCTTAAACAGACAGGTAAATTATATTACACAATAATTTTTTTGACTGATGTATAATTCTAGAGAAATTGTCCTCTTTCCAACAGGTATGTGAAAGTTTATGTAGATAGTTGCTGTTTATATTTATTTATTATTTTTTTAATTGTTTTGTTTTGTTTTTGTTTATATTTAAATAAAGCAAACCCAGCCTTGCAAAAACACAAACATTTTTGTCCAAATACAGACAAGGAATATTGCTACCAGCAGCCCCACTCCTTAAAAATTTCTCGGTTCTTTCTAGCATTACATATTTATTCCTACTGCTTACCATTTTTTCCACTATATTGAGGACCTATAAAAAGCTAGCATTTTTAAGCTAACTTATTTATTTTCATGAGTTCATAATTGTTATATATATTTATGGGATACATGAGATGTTTTGATACCAGCATATAATGTGTAATGATCAAATCAGGTAATTAGGGCATCCATCACCTCAGCTATTTATCACTTATTTGTGTTAGGAACATTCTAGTTCCACTTTTTTTAGTTATTTTTAAATATACAATAAATTATTGTTAACTATAGTCACCCTATTATGCTACTGAATACTAGCTCTTATTCACTTTATCTAAGTGTATTTTTGTATTTATTAACAAGTCCCATTTTATCCACCCCTGCCTGTTACCTTTCCCAGCCTCTGGTAACCATCCTTCTACTCTCTGTCTCCGTGAGTTGTCTTTTTTTTTTAGCTCCCACATGAGTGAGGAAATGCAATATTTATTTTTCTGTGCCTGGCTTATTTCACTTAACGTAATGTCCTCTAGTTCCATCCATGTTGTTGCAAATGACAGGATCTTACTTTTTATGGTTGAGTAATATTCCATTGTGTATAAGGATCACATTTTCTTTATCCTTTCATTCACTGATGTACACTTAGGTTGATTCCATATCTTGGCTGTTGTGAATATTGCTGAGAGTACAGATATCTCTTTGATATACTGATTTTCTTTCTTTTGGATATATACAGAGTAGTGGGATTTCTGGGTCATATGGTAGTACTATTTTTATTTTTTTTAATGTTATACTGTTCTCCATAGTAGCTGTACTAATTTACATTTACACCAACAGTATACAAGAGTTCGCCTTTCTCCACAACTTCACCAGCATTTTTTATAGTTTGTCTTTTGGATAAAAGCCATTTATGGAGAGATGATATCACATTATAGTTTTGATTTGGATTTCTCTGATAACTAGTGATGTTGAGCATTTTTTATTTACCTATTGGCCATGCGTATGTCTTGAGAAATGTTTATTCAGATCTTTCGCCTTTTTAAAAATCAATTATGGCCAGGTACAGTGGCTCATGCCCATAATCCTAGCACTTTAGGAGGCTGAGGCGGGTGGATCACCTGAGGTCAGGAGTTCGAGACCAACCTGGCCAACATGGTAAAACCCTGTCTCTACTAAAAATACAAAATTTAGCCAGGTGTGGTGGCATGGACCTATAGTCCCAGCTACTCAGGAGCCTGACGCAGGAGAATCGGTTGAACTCAGGAGGTGGAGGTTGCAGTGAGCCGAGATGGTACCACTTCACTCCAGCCCAGGTAAAAGAGCGAAACTCCGTCTTGGGAAAAAAAAAAAGAATTATTGGTTGTTTTTTTTTTCCTATTGAGTTGTTTGAGCTCTTCATATATTCTGGTTATTAATCCCTAGTCAGACAGATAGTGTGCAACTATTTTCTCACATTCTGTGGGTTATCTCTTCACTTTGTTGATTGTTTCCCTTGATGTGCACAAGCTTTTTAGTGTGATGTGATTCCATTTGTCCTTTTTTTTTTTTTTTTCTTGCTTTGGTTAACTGTGCTTTTAAGGTCTTACTCAATAAATCTTTGCCCAGACCAATGTCCTAAAGTGTTTTCCCAATGTTTTCTTCTAGTATTTTCATAGTTTCAGGTCTTAGATTTAAGGCTTTAATCCATGTGATTTGATTTTTGTACATGGTAAGAAATAGGAGTCTAGTTTCATTCTTCTGCATATGGATATCCAGTTTTTCAAGCACCATTTTTTGAAGAGGCCGTACTTTCCCCAGTGTATGTTCTTGACACTTTCATTGCAAATGAGTTCACTGTAGATGTATGGATTTCTTTCTGTGTTCTCTATTCAGCTCCATTGGTCTATTTGTCTGTTTTTATGCCAATACCACACTCTTTTGGTTACTATAGCTTTGTATTATAATTTACAGTCAGGTAATGTGATTCCTCCAATTTTCTTCTTTTTGCTCAGGATGGCTTTGGCTATTCTGGGTCTTTTGTTGTTCCATATAAATTTTAGGATTTTTTTGTTGTTGTTTCTGTGATGTATGTCCTTGGTATTTTGATAGGGATTGCATTGAATCTATAGATTGCTTTGGGTAGTATGGACATTTTAACAATATTGATTCTTCCAAATCATGAACATGGAATATCTTTTCCATTTGTCTGTGTCCTCTTCAATTTCTTTTGTCAATATTTTATTGTTTTTATTGTAGAGATTTTTAACTTGTTTGATTAAAAAGATATTTTACTACTAGGTATTTAATACTAGTTTTTTGGTTTTGTTCTGTTGTTGTTGTTGTTGTTGTTGCTGCTGTTGTTTGAGATGGAGTCTCTCTCTGTTGTCCAGGCTGGAGTGCAGTGGTGTGATCTTGGCTCACTGCAACATCCACCTCCCAAGTTCAAGTGACTCTCCTGCCTTAGTCTCCCTAGCTGAGACTACAGGGACTACAGGCACACACCACCATGCCCAACTAATTTTTATACTTTTTAGTAGAGATGGGGTTTCACCATGTTGGCCAGGTTGGCCTTGAACTCCTGACCTCAGGTGATCTGCCTGCCTCAGCCTTCCAGAGTATGGGATTACAGGCATGAGCCACTGCCCCAGGCCTAATACTAGGTATTTTACTTTATTTGTAGCTATTGTAAATGAGATTACTTTCTTTGTTTCTTGTTCAGATTGTTACCTTTTGGCATATTGAAATGCTACTGATTTTTGTATGTTGATTTTGTATCCTGCAACTTCACTGAAACTGTTTATCATTTCTAATAGATTTATTTAGTGGAGTCTTTAGGTTTTTCTAAATCTAAGATTATGTCATCTGCAAACAATGATAATTTAACTTTTTCCTTTTCAATTTAAATGTCCTTTATTTCTTTATTTTGTCTAATTGCTCCCACTAGGACTTCCAGTACTATGTTGAATAACAGTGGTAAAAGTGGGTATCCTTGTCTTGTTCTAGATCGTAGAGGAAAGGCTTTTTCAGCTTTTGCCCATTCAGTATGATACTAGCTATCGGTTTTTTGCATATGTCTTTTATCATGTTGAGGTATGCTCTTTCTATTTTTTGACAGAGTTTTTATCATAAAGAGATGTTGGATTTTATTGAATGTGTTTTTGGCATCAATTGAAATGATTATCTGGTTTTTGTCCTTTATTCTGTTGATATGATGTATCACATTAACTGATTTGTATATGTTGAACCACCCTTGGATTCCTGGGATGAATCCCACTTGATCATGATGAATGATCTTTTAAATGTGTTGTTGAAATTAGTTTTCTAATATTCTGTTGAGGATTTTTGCCTCTATGTTTATCAGAGATATTGACCTGTAGTTTTTCTCTCTTTTGTTGTGTCTTTGTTTGGTTTTGGTATCAGGGCAATACTGGCCTTGTAGAACGAGTTTGGAAGTATTCCTTCATCCTTAATTTTTTGGAATAGTTTGAGTAGGATTAGTATTAGTTCTTAAAATGTTTGATGGAATTCAGCAGTGAAACCATGAGGTCCTGGGCATTTCTTTGATAGGATAATTTTTATTACTGCTTTTATCTCATTACATGTTATTGCTTTTTTCAGGTCTTCCATTTCTTCATGGTTCAATATTGGTAGGTTGTATGTATCCAGGGATTTATTCACTTATTCTAGGTTTTCCAATTTATTGGCATATAGTTGCTCATAATAGTCTCTAATGATCCTTTGAATTTCTGTGGTATCAGTTATAATGTCTATTTTTCATCGCTGATTTTGTTTATTTGGGTCTTTTCCCTTTTTTTCTTAGTCTGACTGAAGGTTTGTCAACTTTATCTTTTCAAATGACCAACTTTTGTTTCATTGATCTTTTGTGGGCCAGCATTATGCTGCATGCTTTACCTGAGATCATATGTACAGGTGCAGAACTCTGACACATGGTAAGCACTCAAGCAAATGTTCTTATCTATAAAATAATACTTGTACTCTCAGCAGATGTGCCTGTAGACAAAGTAATTTATGCTTCTTACCAGCAGAGTTTTGACATAATGTGCATCATCTATTTTTTTTTTTTTTTTTTGAGACAGAGTTTCACTCTGTCACCCAGGCTGGGGTGCAGTGGCACGATCTCAGCTCACTGAAACCTCTGCCTCCTGAGTTCAAGCTATTCTCCTGCCTCAGCCTCCCAAGTAGCTGGAATTACAAGCATGTGCCAACACGCCCGGTTAATTTTTGTATTTTTAGTAGAGATGGGGTTTCATCATGTTGGCCAGGCTGGTCTCCAACTCCTGACATCAAGTGATCCATCTACCTTGGCCTCCCGAAGTGCTGGGATTACAGGCATGAGCCACTGTGCCCAGCCAATGTGCATCATATTTTATCAAAAAGATTAAGAGCAGGAATCCAATCTGTTAGTATAAAGTAGTGGTTAAGATCATGTGCATTGGTGCCAGACAGCCTTGGTGTCAATTCTTGCTCTACTGCTTACTACTTATGTGAGTCACTTAGCTTCCTGTGCCTCATTTCCAATCTCATAGGGTTGTGGTGAAGATTATCAAAGAGAGTGCTTGGAACAGTGCCTGGCACAAGGTAGGTGGTTGATAGATGGTAACCATCATTATCATTCTGTTGGCCTCATTTTTATCACCTATAAAATGGAACTAAGACCCTCCAAAAAGGTCTATTCAGTGGCATCATGGAATAACTCCTTTCTTGACTAGAAAGCATTGGACTGGAAATCCAGATCAAGATTCAAGTCCTGGCTCAACTATTTCCTAGTTGTTTGCCTTAGACAAGTCATTTCACCTCTTTGAGTCTGTCACTTTGATTGTGAAATGATTTATTTGGGTTGAAAGATCCTCTTCTAACTCTGGATCTCTACAATTTTAGAAAATATGTCCTAATTTTGTTCCCGAACATATGAACAATTTTTATGATCTATCCTTCATACACACACACACATGCATACACACACACAAATGTGTCTGTATGAGTCAACAGTGCCTGCTCAAAATTTTTTCATATGATATAAAAATGTTTCTTCTGAAACAGTGAATTCCTTTCTCCTTTTATTCTTTGTTGGTGATACCTGCAGGAGAGTCGCCCATTTAGATCTGGCTTCCTTATTATATTAGAAATGATAAATGTTCTAAAAGGAAGCCTTGTTCTTTTTTCATCTATATCAGCCCAATGTTATTCCCCTCCTCCAGACTTGTCTATTGCCATTTCTCATATATTTAACTGATCGTGTGTGTGTGCATGCATGTGTGCATATGTGTGTGCTGTCTCCCTATATAAGAATAGCTATCACTAATTAAGCAGCCACTATTTTCCAGGCACCATGCTGGAAAATTTTCTAATTCTTATAACCATCCTGAAAAATTGCAGTTAGGAAAACTGAATTTAAGTGCTTAAGTAGGTGCCCATGTTTAAACCATAGTCATTAATGGAGCCAGAATTTGAACCCAGGTCTGTCTCACGAAAGTCAATGTCCTTTCTACACCGTACTGTGTTTTAAACAGCTGTTTGCATTGTCAAATCTCAACAGCCTAAAAACTTCCCTGGAAGCAGCTCTGCTTATCATGTTTATTTGAACTATTCCACCACACACACCATGCACACACAGAGAAGTATACGTAGTGGGTGCCTAGTGAATGTACGTTGAGAAAGTACAAGAAGAAAGGGGCACAGTCGGCCTTCTACACTTTGTGGTCTTGTTTTTCTCCCAAAAGCTCTTTTTGGGGATGAAAACAGGAAGTGGTAAGGTTGTGACATAAATACAAATCACAGAGTAGTGACAAGTGCCATACTGCTTCTAAGGCATCAAGGAACTCAAAGCTTGGTCCCTCTTTTGCAACATTCAGCAGGCCTGAACCTCAGTATCCCCATCTTATGACAGCCTCTGTAAACAGCAGCCTGCTGTGGAAGGCTCGAGCACTGTCCTTACCAGTGACGGGGATCCCTGAGATCTTTTCATACCCTATGCCTAATAGTTTTCTCTAGGTTCATTAAAGTATCTCTTAAGAGAAATTGATATTTTTGGGGTATTATTACCACTCACATATTTTGAAGACTATAAATGTAAGCGATTGAACAAAGCTATTATTTCTAATCACAGAAATGAGAGAGTTTATACTTAAATGGATTAATAAATACAGTTTTGGAATCTTTTTTATGGGGTACTTTTTTGAAAAGTAGGTAATTATGATCAATCTAGGAAGGTTATATTAAACTTAGTACTTAGATTAGTCAAGATAAGCTAACATTTGTAACAAGCAGTCCCAAATTCAGAGACTGTACACAATAAAAGTTTATTTCTAACTCATGCATTAGTATCATGCAGGTGTTCTCAGTCAGCTATTAATCCCCCTAATAGCAACTCAGGGGCCTAGGCTCCTTCTGTCTTGTAATTCTACCTCTTATAGATCTTCAGGGTCCTCTCCATTAAGCTATCGGATGTAGAAAAAAATATAGATTAAGCAGAAGGTTTTTATAGGCCAGATATATATATATATATATATATATAATGTATAATATATGTCATAATATATAATATGTATTACATTATATATATTATATATTATATATTTATATATATAATCACTTCCTGTCCACATTCCATTGGCCAGAACTTAGTTACATGATCACACCTAACAGCAAGGAAGGCTGGGAAATATAGTCTAGCTGAATGGCCAGTAAGAAAATCGAATGGGGTTAGGTGAACATACAGCAGCCTCTGCCACAGCTCTAAATGTGTACTTCTCACCCAGCATGTCAGAGTTCACAATGTTCTATGTAAAAAGTCAACAAATGATTACTCTTGTTACTATTTGTACATCTGACTAAATCCAATAACCATTATCTCAGCCCTGTATGGTGCACATTCTAGTGTTAGTTGTGGGCTATGATAAATAAAACATTACTTCTGCCTTTAAGAATTTTGCACTAAAATAGAGCTCTCAACCAATACTGATATAGAGAAGATGAAAGTAAGGACAAAATAAAGGTGAAAGATTTTTGTAATATACATTATATGTGTGTATATATGTAACATACATGTGTATGTATATATGTAACATACAGATTATATGTCTATCTGCTCTAACTTTAACCTTCTTGAGGCCAAGACCTAATAATATTCATATTTGTGTCTGTGATCTTTTATCAGTGCCTGGCATATAGTCAGTGTTATAAACGTATGCTTAGGGAACAAAATAAAGAACTGTATTGAAGGAGTACAGAGAACAAAATAATTACTTATGACTGGAGCTTGTTATAAGTTGTACATTGTACAACTCTAGGAAGTGCAACTTACATTGTAATTATGAATGGCTCTCCTTAGAGTTGTGTGGTACACACTGCACAGGTATATGTGGCAGCCCTAGGGAAAAGAGCAATCAGAAAACACATCCAGGAAAACATGAAAATTGAACTGGGCTTTGAGATACTCAAAAAAATTCTACATGTGGAGAAAGAGTGCAGAGTCATTCCATACTGAGGAAAAAGTCTGTACAGAAGCTCAGAGTCAGGGAAAGGCAGCTAGTAGACCAGGTAGCTGAGAGTTATGTTGTGATAAGGAGGTAATGGATGACAGGTAGAGAAGTTACTTTGCCACTCAATAGTGGCGGACATTGCCTGCTATACTAAGAGTGAGATTTTCCTGGTGAGCATTCAGGAACTATTGCTGCTTTTGAAGGAGAGAAATAATGTGAACCTACTCATGTTTTAGAAAGCTCACTCTGGCCATTTTGTGGAAGATGGACTAAAGAATAAAAGGCAGAGAGACCATTGCGGTAATGCAGCTGAGAGATGATAAAGTTATTATTAGGTTAATGACAAAAAGGATAGAAAGAAGAAGACAAAAAGAATGTTGTGACTTAATGGCTGCTCCAGGTGAAAGAGAGGAATAAAAAATTATTCCACGGGTGACTTGGTAAACAATGGTACAATTAATTGCAAAAGGGCACAGGACTTTTAAAAAGGGAGCTGATGCGTTCAGTTTAGCAACAAATGTATTGCATTTGAGGTACCAGCAGGACGTCTACATAACTAACTGGTGTAGAGCTCAGAAAAGAGTTAAGATTAAGATTTCTGAAGTATCAGCTCATGGAGGGTGGCTTAATCCATATAGGCCAGGTGGGCAGCAGTATAGGATGTTACTGGTTCTTAACAGGGTTAAGGCCAGGGAGACAATATAGGTTCTTCAGTGGTTCTATTTTTTTTTTTTTAGATGGAGTCTTGCTCTGTTGCCCAGGCTGGAGTGCAGTGGCACAATCTTGGCTCACTGCAACCTCTGCCTCCCAGGTTCAAGAGATTCTCCTGCATCAACCTCCAGAGTAGCTGGGATTACAGGCACATGCCACCACGCCTAGCTAAATTTGTATTTTTAGTAGAGATGGGGTTTCACCATGTTGACCAGGGTGGTCTCGAACTCCTGACCTCAGGTGATCTGCCCTCCTCAGCCTCCCAAAGTGCTGGGATTATAGGCCTGAGCCACTGCACCTGGCCAGCTTCATCAGTGATTCTTAACAGGATGGTATGTGTGTATAGGTAAAGAGGGTTGGTCTAGTTCACCTATTGTTGAGTAACAAACTACCCTAGAGCTTAATGACATAACACAACCATTTATTTTGTTTATGATTTTGTGGGTCAGGCATTTGGAAAGGGTATAGCTAGGTAGTTTTGTTCCACATGATATTGGCTGGGCCTGAAGGATCCACTTCCCAGATGGATTCTCCACTCACACATGGGATCTCATCCTTTGCAGCTGCTTCACATGGCCTAGCTTTCTCATACCATGGTTGTCTCAAGATAATCACACTTCTTACAAGAGGTAGGAGGTGAAAGCTACCAGACCAATAAAGGGCTATGTCTAGAACTAGCACAATTACTGCTATCACATTCTATTGGCCAAAGATATCACAGGGCCCCACTATATTCAAGAGGTTGATAAATAGACTTTATCTCTTTTTTTTTTTTTTCCAGGTTAAGCATCTGTTTTATTCAAACCTGGGTAAGTCAGAAGCTTTAGGCAGCCTGTTTTGCAGGAAATTTAGTGCTGGAATGTCTTCCTACCTCACTCTCCCAAGAACCTGCTCCTGCAGATGAAACCTCAGAACCCCTCCTTCTTGTCAAAAAGGGGCTGGTCTTCAGCCTTGAAGTCCAGGTTGGGGCTGCCAAACTCATTGAGAATTGTCTGAGCCCTGTAGCTGACAATTGGGTGTTTGGCTTTGTACACACTGGTGAAGACATCATCCATGGACTACAACTTCTTGGCTATGAGACCTGTGGTGTGTCACAGGTAAGGTCTACATGATCCAAGGACACCTTGGCTACCCCTCTAGCAGAGTCCTTCCTGGTCAAGGCATTGTAGGGGGCTCTTTGTCCATAAAACCCCTTTCCAGAGGTGACATCAAGCCCCACTCCCTTCACTGCCAAATAGATGGGCTGATCCTTCTCCTGCCATAGTAGACCAGCCCCCCAGGCTAGCACCAGAATCAGGACTAGCACTGCCAGCTGCTGCAGCCACTGCCCTGGCATGGGGCCCACCACAGTGAACACGTGGTGCAGAGCAAAGGCAGCCTGGCCAGCCTAGACTTTATCTCTCTCTTGATTCTCTTGATGTGGGAGTGGCACACATTGCAGAAGGACATGTGGGATAGGAGATATTTTGGAGCCATATTTGTAAAATACTGTCTGTCATAGAAGTGTTCACCAAAGTCACCTGAGGAGCTTTTGCAAATTATAGCAATTATGCTTCCAAGTTTTAAATAAATTACATAGAGGCTTCTGACACATATGCCTGACCAAGACCCACTAGAAAAAGTGGCTCAGGACTGACATGTGTAAGGAGGGGAGCAGCTTTGAATATGGAGCTCCTACTGTAGACCAGAGAGGAAAGAAATGAACTAGAAGCAGTATGCAAGCCAAAGGAGAAGAGAATTTCAAGGAGGCTGAGGTCAGAAGCACTAACTATGATGGAGACAGTGAGGATGAGGAGAACTAAGCAAAGGCTGATGAATTTGGCTTTAAAAGCTCTCCAGAAATCTTTGAAATCTGTTTCAATGGGGTTGAAATCTGAATTCAGAAGCTTGCAAACTGAATTTGCAACCAAAATAAGTTTTTTTCCACTAGAAGTGTGGCTAGCCTCATTAAAATCTTATTTGTAAAGACTGAAATAGCAGTTCTATGACAATATACCCAGTCTGCAAACAAAGTGTTGTAAAGGCAGCTAAGGTGTAAACTTTAAAGGCAGCTAAGGTGTAAACTTCAAGCAAATGGAGATATTTTCCTCTTGCTACTTCCTTTTATCTTTGCAAATACATTGCTTGGTATTAACTTTGATGTTTTTCTTTATTTGGGATATCAATTCAGAATCATGTAGTGTATCAGTTAGTTCTTGTTGTATAACAAATCACCCAAAACTCAACGCCTTAAAATCAGGGGTCAGAAAACCATAGCCTGTGGTCCAGATGCCAGTTTTTGTGAACACAGTTTATTTAGACACCACCATGTCTGTTCATTTACACATGATCTATGGCTATTTTTTTGCACTACAGTAGCAGAGGAGAGTTACAACACAGGGTATGCTGCACGAACCTATATTATGTACTATAGGGTCCTTTAAAAGTAAAGGTTTGCTGAATTCTGCTTAAAACAATGAGTATTTGTGACTGCTCATGAGTCAGCTGGGCAGTTTTTCTGGTCTCAGCTGTGCTCACTCAAGCCTCACTCATGATCAGCTGTAAGCTCTGGCAATGTGGGGTAAGCTCTCTCATCTGTGGTGGTTGACTGGTTGTTGGATAGCTTAGTATGGCTTTGACTGGAATCACTGGGATCTTCTCCATGACTTTTTATCTTCTAAGTATAGCCTAGTGCTATGTCCTGAATGTGTCCTCCAACAACCCATATGTTGAAACTTAATCACCACTGTGATAATATTAAGAGGTGGAGCCTTTAGGAGGTGATTAAGTCATAAAGGCAGAGCCCTCATGAATGGGATTAATTACCTTATAAAAGAAGTGCAAGGGAGCTGTTTGTCCCTTTTCCCCTCTGTGTCTCTATTTCACCATGTAGGGACACAGCATTCATCCCATTTGGAGGAAGCAGTGTTCAAGGCACCATCCTGGAAGCAGAGACTGGGCCATCACCAGGCACCAAACCAGCTGGCACCTTGGTCTTAGACTTCCCAACCCCCAGAACTGTGAGAAATAAGTTTCTATTATTTATAACTTATCCAGTGTCAGCCATTTTCCATAGCAGGAGGAACAGACTAAGACACCTAGACTTGACCATACAGTGGTAGTAAGTTTACTGCAAGCAGAAGCTCACAGGTCTCTTGGTGCCTGTGCTCAGAAGTGTACCATCATTTCTACCACATTTCACTGGCCAAAGCAAATCACAAGGCCATCCCAGATTCAAGAAGTGGGGAAATAGTCTACCTTGAGATGAAAGGAATTGCAAAGTCATATTGCAAAGGACGTGGATATGGGGAGGCCCAAAGGATATGGGGATGGCCATCTTTGCATTTATCTGGAGTAGTGCATTCTGGAGTACAAAAAGTACACCAGACTGGGACTTGAGAGAACTGAGGTCAGATTCTGACATGGCTGCAAAAACTCACTCTGTGACCTTATACACATCACTCATCATCTCTGAGCCTCAGACTCCTTAGCTCTAAATTAGTATTTTTAAATGCCATACTCTGTTCTTGTTTGCATTCAACAAATGTTTATTTTCTTGAAATATCTTTTAACAACTCTTGAAAATACTCTCTATTTTCTAATGTGGTATTACTTGGGGCCAACATAAAGGAAAACATCTGCTTTTTTTTCACTGCTTTGACAAGGATTCTAAATATTTGTAATTTACGTGAAAAAAATTACAACAGTCATACTGGGTTTCTTTCAAATGTGAAGAAAGAGCAAAGATTTTTCAAATGAGAATGATAGAAGCCACCTTCATGGGAAAATATTCTGAAGATGGTGTTTGCTCAGAATGGCTCAAGTCCTTGCCTTCATCAGGCAGTACTGGTAGAGTGGTAATATAAGAGAGATTTAGGTTAATGAACTCTCTAGAGCATTCTACAATAAGAGTTATAATGACTGGGTTTGTCATATGCTTAGCAATCCATTTCCAAATTAAACTAGAAAGACAGTGGTGTGAACCTGGCCCTTCCTAGACCTGCCATCAGGGTGAACTTCAAGCAGCATCCTCCCCACCCAGCCCCTGAAAAGGCTCTCCAACATCCACCTTCAGCAAGGCCAAGTCTTGAAACAGAGTTTGCATAGATGGGCTGGTGTCATGAGGATCTTCATTCTTTGTAATCAGGTTCCCAGTGCTACAATGGGATATTTATAAAGATGGGGAACCAGCGGGGTGCCATGGCTCACACTTGTAATCCCAAAACTTTGGGAGGCCCAGGTGGGTGGATCACTTGAGCTCAGGAGTTTGAGACCAATCTGGGAAACATGGTGAAACACCGTCTCTACAAAAAATACAAAAAACAGCTGGGTGCAGTGGCATGCATCTGTGGTCCCAGCTACTCGGGAGGCAGAAGTAGGAGATAAGAGAATTGCTTGAGCCAAGGAGGCAGAGGTTGCAGTGAGCCGAGATCGAGTCACTATACTCCAGCCTGAGTGACAGAGTGAGACGCCGTCTCAAAAAAAAAAAAAAAAAAAAAGATGGGAAACCAATTGAGTTATTAATCAGTCCTACTGTTTCCAAATCACTTCAGCCTTGTCCTTCTTCCATCCCCTAGCTACTACTTCCTGCTCATTCTTGTTCATATTTTATCTTCCTCCCCTTTCTTTGTCTCTCTGTCTTATTCAAATCCTAATCAGACTTCAGAGTCAGGCTAAATTCTGCTTCTCCCTGGAAGCTTTCTTTAACAATTATAGGTCTCTCTGACATCTTCCATACAAGCATGGGTTACTCAATAGGGTGAATAAGTATGTGTTCAAGAAGTAACATTTATTCTGCATTATATGGGGAGAAAGCACACAAAAAGTGTATGTTTTTTAGTTTCTGGCTTTTAGAGCTCTTAATTTTGTTCTGATCTTTTCTCTGAAATTATATTTTACTTGTTGTGTTTTCCATACATATGGGCATGTAATTGTATATTGTCTTGTGTATGTGTATGGCCTAGTGGCTGAGAATATGTATTCTGAAGTTTGATTTGTGTGGTTTGAATCTTAACTCTGACACCTGACTTGTTCTGTGATTTTGGCAAAGCATTTGTGGTAGATAGTCTCCAATCATGGCTGTCATCAACTCCTTCCCTCCTATATATTCACACCACTTCTCCACTGAAAGGTAAAATTTCTATCCCCTTCTCTTAAATCTTGGTGGGCCTGTGACTGCTTTGATCACTAGATAGTGGCAGAAGTGACATTCTGAGATTTCTGAGCCCAAGCGTTAAGAGAACTAGAAGCTTACATGTCTTCTCTCTTGGAATGCCCCCTTTTGGAACACAGCTGCCATCCTATGAGAGGTACATGGAGAAGCATGGGTTTGTGCCCTTATGGACGGTCACAGCTGTGCTCCCAGCTGAAAACCAGCATCAACTGCCAGCCATACAAGGGAGCCATCTTGCATGTTCCAGCCCAGTTGAGCCTTCAGATAAATGCAGCCCCAGACAACAGCATGTGGGGCAGAAGAACCACCCAGCCGAGCCCAGTCAACTCACAGAATCATGAGATACATTAAAATGGTGGTTGTTTCAAGCCACTATGTTCTGGGGGTTGTTATGCAGAATAGATAATTTCCATCTTAAACAGTATTTAAACTCACTAAGATTTGTAAAATTGGGTCAATAATGGTACCTCTCTCATAGAATTGTTTTGAGGATAAATGAAGTTATATGTATGGTAAGTGCTTAGGGCTAGTATGTTACTTATTTATATAAGGGAGAAAATGAGTGGAGCTAACATTTATTGGACAGCAAGTAGGTTGGTGCAAAAGTAATTGTAGTTTTTGCCGTTACTTTTTTTTTTAATCTTTTTTTTTTTTTTTGAGACAGAGTCTCACTCTGTAGCCCAAGCTAGAGTGCAGTGGTACAATCTTGGCTCACCGCAACCTCGACCTCCTGGGTTCAAGTGATTCTCCTGCCTCTGGCTCCCGAGTAGCAGAGATTACAAGCACCTGCCACTGAGCCCAGCAAATTTTTGTATTTTTAGTAAAGACAGGGTTTCACCATGTTGGCCAGGCTGGTCTTGAACTCCTGACCTTATGTGATCCACCTGCCTCGGCCTCCCAAAGTGCTGGGATTACAGGCATGAGCCACCAGGCCTGACCTATCATTACTTTCAAATGGCAAAAACCACAGTTACCTTTGCACCAACCTAATCCTACTAGTACTACTACTATGTGCCAGGTCCTATGCTACATTTTCACACACATGATCTCTCTTGCTCTTCACGAAAACCTTGTTAGGCATATATTTTTGTCCTTAGCATTGAGCTGAGATTCAAAGAGGTGAAGTGGTTTCCCCAAGATCTTACAGCTAGCAGGTAGTGCAAGTAGGCTTCAAACCCCTGGCTGTCTGACTGCAAAGCCCATTCCTTTTTTCTACCTTTCCACACACTTTGGATAGAGGGCCTTCCTGAAATCTTCCAGAGTGTAATAAATATTTTCAGTGAGAAATTACATAATCAGTCAGATCCTATGCAACCCAACCAATATTCTGCTTCTGACATGAATATTAAGGAAAACTTAAAAACATTCCCTAAAGCATTTCACTCCCACTAAGAAAAGTATTTGCAAATCTAGTAACAAAGAATCTAGATAAATCTTTCATGGAACTTTTCATGGTTACTTTCAGCCTATGCCACTTCTCTGGGAAGCAATTTCCAGGCATCTAAAGTGGTATTTCCTTTTATTTTCTCTCAAATATTACCTTAAACCCTCCAGGAAAGGCTGCCCCCTCATGTGTGTATACATTGCTACCTAACTTATAAATGGGAAGGTAAATTAACTGGCTCCCATTTCTCATAGAGCCAGTTTGCTTGGTAAGGTCAGTACAAAGCTGACAAGAAAACCCAAACTAGGTCCCCCATACCAGGCCTCCGACATCCTGGCTGCAAGCTCACCAGAGATCTGTGTCCAACAATAAAATCCTCCTCAAATCTGGGAGCACTCAGCTTATTCCTGCCTTCTCAATCTTTTAAGTGCCTCCTTCCCATGCTCCTTTTTTTCCTTTCCCGTATCTTGCAAAATCTTGTTCCAAAATGTCAGTCAACCGTCAGCTAATGGGATCAGAAGTTGCCTCACAATCACAAAAACCTCCTGATCCCAGCCAAGGGCCCCCCATCACATCCAGTGTCCCAAGATGAACTCCCAGCCTCCATGACATAAGAAGACATTTCAGAGAAACTTTATAAATAGAGAAACTCATTCGTTATTTTTTCGAAAGACCAAGGAAAGAAAATGCAATGACCAAGGAAATTGTTGGTGGGTCATTGGCTGGGACACTGACATTCGAACATTGAACAATTAATTTGAGGATAATATAAACAGGTTTCATTACACCGATTTTAAGAATATGATATGAATAGTCTGTTGTTTTGAATTCTAGAATGTCCCTCCCCCTACCACACACCGTCTCCCTTCCTACTGGCCCCCTTACTATGAGCTGGCACTTCTCACTACTCTCTCTCCTGCTGGTTGTTTTCTTCATCCATGTCTGCTGTTAGAGTACAAATGAACTCAGTCTGCGACTGGCTTCCTGTGGTTGCCTTGCCTACATTTATTCTGGTTTTCTATTGTGTTCCTGACACATTTTTAAGAGTTCCATTATGTTGGAGCTTTTTTTTTCCTACTCTCTTCAGAAAAAACAAATGACTTTTCAAAAGGAACATCTTTTAAAAAATGTTTTTGTTTAAAGAAATAAGGTTCCCTTTAGTTCTTTGTGCTCTTTCACAATTACAGCCATGTAATCCATAAGGAATCCATTAATGTGTAAGAGGCTTTGAAGCTATCACGTGTGTGTGTGCGCGTGTGTGTATGTGTATGCATGCGCACGCGCTGTTTTTTCTTTTTCTCTTTCTTTCAGAATATTGCTGCTGCCAACCACTGATTTAGGAATGTTTAGAGGTATATGCCAACTCAATAATCAAAATCATTTTGGTACTGGGAACCCAACCACAGTCTCTGTAGACCAGTGGAATTTATTGCTTGCTCCAGTTTATTAAGTAAGAGTACCAACAGCATTTTGAATAAAAAAGAGTCTGATAAGATGTGATAGAATGTCAGGATAATTCATTTTCATCATAAAACAATGCTTGTTTTGAATCTGAAATGTTAAAAGCACAAACAGCCTGATGATCACGTTTTCCATCCCTTGACCTGGTATGGGAATATGATTCATAACTGTCTTCAGGAAAGAAGCTCAGTATAAACTGATGGTTTTCTGCTACACACACATCCCTGTTTTTATTCCACAAATACATATCTAATACCTATTGGGAACAAAGCACCGTACTCGGCATTGGGACCACAGTGGTGAAGAGAATAAACACAATTCCTGCCACATGGCACTCACAGAGGGAAGCTATCTTGGCCGCATCAATTACTTAAGACATTTGAGACGCACACAGAGTAATGCTGAGGCTTGTGGACTCTGGAGTCCAATGTAACTGTGTTCTGTTCCAGGCTAGACCACTCCAAGCTATTTTATTTTGAACAATTTTGCAGCCTTGCTCAGCTTCAGATTCCTAAATTGCGGTACTTACTTCATAAGGTTATTTCTAGGATTAAGTGGAAAAATGCTTGTACAGCTTTTAGCAAAGTGCCTCGTTAGCCAGTAATAGTAGTAGCACTAGTAATAGTAATAGTATGAGATGGGCCATATCTGGGGTCCCCAAGCCCCAGGTCACGGACCAGTACTGGTCCGTGGCCTGTTAGGAACTGTGCCACACAGCAGAAGGTGAGTGGCAGGTGAGTGACAGAGGCTTCATCTGTGTTTGTAGCCACTCTCCATCACTCACATTACCGCCTGAGCTCTGCCTCCTGTCAGACTAGCAGCAGCATTACATTCTCATAGGACCGCAAACCCTATTGCAAACTGTACGTGTGAGGGTTCTAGGTTGCGAACTCCTTATGAGAATCTAATGCTTGATGATCTGTCACTGTCTCCCATCAGCCCCAGAGGTGACCATCTAGTTGTAGGAAAACAAGCTCAGGGCTCCAACTGATTCTACATTATGGTAAGTTGTATAATTATTTCATTATATATTGCAATGTAATAATAATGGAAATAAAGTGCACAATAAATATAACGTGCTTGAATCATCCTGAAATCACCCCTCCCCCCACATTGGTCCATGGAAAAATTGTCTTCCATGAAACTGGGCCCTGGGCGCCAAAATGCTTGGGGACCACTGGGCCATATGAACCTTCAGTAGAACAGGCTCTTTCCTTATCCTTGGTATTTCAAGTTATTAGGTCCACCTGTTACCATGAGGTCACAGATCCATCCTACCCTGGGATTCTGTTCCATTTGAGGGAGAGATAAAAAAAGGCTTGCCCAATGCCCAGAAACACATTTTCTGCCTTCTCTTGCAGTGCCTCTTCTTGCCCATGGAAGGACATGCAGCTTCTTACTCCTCTGCTGCCCAACACAGTTTACTGGCTGGCCACTCCATGGCTAGGATCCTTCACACTACCTGAGACCTGATGTCTCTGGCTCCAAAGGACGCAGCTCTGCTCATCCCCCAGTGAGGCCTGTCATGAGTTGCTGTGGCTGTGGAAGCCTGCCATCCTGGGATGGAGACTTTTCCCACCACCCTGTCCCTTTAATTTCAGCAGGCACATCATCCCGCCTCATGTGGATCCCCAGAGCAGCAGATCTGGAATCTCCTGTGATGCTGAGGCCTTCAGGGACCACAGGAAACCCATCTTAATGATGAATCCTGGACTTTCTTTGCCCTTGGAACAGTCCTGGTTTCACACATTTACCTCCAAAAGAGCACTTAACAGCTGCCACGTGGCTGCCCTGAGGTTTGGGCTGAAACAACATGACCGTCATACCTTCCCAGAGTCCTCCCAAGAATGGTCTCTAGGTTCTCCTTCGCACAGTGGGGTACGATGGGCTACTCTGCCCAATCTGTGTACTCTCCTTGGGCTACTCTGCCCAAACTGTGATTTGGGGCATATAGCTATGCCTTCTCTGGTTCCTCTGTACCAAGGTCTCTCCAGTGGCTACCTCTTCTACTCAGCAGGACAGAGAAGCTCTCTTGGTTTTTATTCTTAGGATCCAGGTTCAGAAAACAAATAAACAAACAAACAAACAAAAAACCTCATGGTAGCTAATCTGCCCCCTCCCTTCTCTATGAAATGGGCAGGCAGAGAAAATCCCCCTGGCCCTGCCTAGCCCATCCATTCCTAAGGGACCTTCCCATAGCCAGATTGCAAGAGGAGAGCAAATTTAAATGAAATAAATATGAATTTCCTCCTAACAATAATAGTTCCATTCATTCAACACTTACTGAGTTCCCAATTACCTACTCAGTGCTAGAGGACAGATAAATCCCAGCAGCCTTCCTGGTAGTTTAGCAAGAAGCTGGCTGAGCAGGTCTGTGTTAGTTCAAAGGAAAAGCAGGCTGATGCCTGAGGCTAAATTCTAAAAGGTCTCTCTTCTAACAAGGCTGCTTCTTCAACCAAGAAGTTCCCAATATCTGCAGTGTGCTAGATGTCCTCTGCCATCATTTCCCCAAAATACATAGAGCAGTAAGGGGCAGGGTCCTTTCCCAGGAGCCACTCCCGGGAAGCTAGCATCCAGCTCTGGCTGATCAAGCACACAGTTTTTGTCAATGATTACAGCCAGGGTACTATGCATTCTGCTGCCACTCCACATCGAAGCATCCCCAGTAAGCCATATTTCACTCTCTGCTACATGTCACTTGTCAGGTGTGTATCTGTGCCACCTTGGCAGGACAACATCAGACCCCAGCAGATTAGCCATACAAGTGTGAACTCAAGGTCCTCATGCATAAAGAATTCATAGTCTTGTGGAAAAGAAATCAAAGACAATAATAGATGCAAATACATTTATAGACATTTCTTAATTTAAAAAATGACTTTAACAAGCTGTTACTCCACCCTCACTCCATGCAACAAATATACTATGTGCAGTGATTGTAATCTTAACTAAGATGCATATTTCTGCCTGCTTAGCAAAGTCCTGTAGGACCACTCCTTTGAGAAACATAAAGAGACCAGAATTGGTTCCTGGATCCTCACTTTCACTCTCCAGGTATTAAAACAAACAAGCAAACAAAAGATCCGCTACAGAAAACTTTATCCTAACAAGAACTTCCACTAGGAAGAAACTCCAAAGGAGGACGCTATGGTCTGAATGTTTATGTCCCCCCTGAATTCATATATTGAAATCCTAACCCCCAAGGTGATGGTGGTGGGGCCTCTGGGAGGCGATGAAGTCACAGGGATGGGATTAGTGCCTTCATAAAAGAGAACTGAAAGAGTTCCCTTGTCCTTTCCAACATGTGAATTACAGCAGAAGGCACCACTTGTGAATCAGGAAGTAGGCTTTCACTAGACACCAAATCTGCCAGACTTGCTCTTGAACTTCCCAGCCTCTAGAACTGTAGGAAATAAGTTTATGCTGTTTCTAAGCCACCCAGCTTATGGTATACTATCATTAGAGCTTGAATGGACTAAGACAGAGGGGATCTTCACTAAAAGGGAACCAATTTTGATGGAGAATGGACCACTAACTCAAGTATACTAACTCTTTTTTTTTTTTTTTTTTTTGAGATGGAGTCTCGCTCTATTGTCCAGGCTGGAGTGCAGTGGCGCGATCTTGGCTCACTGCAACCTCTGCCTCCTGGGTTCAAGCAATTCTCCTGCCTCAGCCTCCCAAGTAGCTAGGATTACAGGCACGTGCCCCCACGCCTGGCTAATTTTCGTATTTTTAGTAGAGATGGGGTTTTGCCATATTGGGCAGGCTGGTCTCAAACTCCTGACCTCAAGTGATCTGCCTGCCTCGGCCTCCCAAAGTGCTGGGATTACAGGCGTGAGCCACTGTGCACGACCTTAACTCTTTATTTACACTGACCCATTTAAGAAATTTAACAGAAAATACTAAGTTTTTGCTACAAACCAAAGATAATGTTTCCACATGAGCAGACACTCCAGTGGGGATGAAAACATGGTAGTTGGCCCTTTGAAATGAGATGGCAAACCTAGGAAAATACTCAGGCCTGGGCTGCTGCGTTCAGGTTATGCCTTACACAACAGAGACGGACTGAGGGGAAGAAAGAGGCTGCAATTGACTCCTCTCTTAGCTTGTGTGGCTGAAGCATCCAGTGGAAGGAATACCATGCTTTTATTTCACACAAAGACACTACCACCCACCAAGCCTAGAGAAGCCCATTTTTTTCTAATTCATCTGCCCAGAGGCTTTCCTTTTTATAATTGCTGTAATTTGTATGTGCTAACAGGTGCTCCAACTTCCTTCAAAGCTTTCTGAACTTGATGGTTCTGAGGGCAAGTGGGGGATCCAACTATTAATAATTTGAAGCATCCACCCTTCACTTGAAAATGGCATCTTCTTCAAGGCCTCAGACTTACTTTGGACTCTGGTCTTCTACCAGGGGGTAACCAGGGAGCTTTCAAAAATGATGGGCTCTGTTCATTTAGGGATTTAAAAAAAATTATTATTAAACTTTTTATTGTCACATCACTGTAAATTCATTTGCAGTTGTAAGAAGTAATACAGTGAGATCCCATGCATACTTTACCCAAGATTTATTTTATTTATTTATTTATTTATTTATTCATTTATTTTTTGAGACAGAGTCTCGCTCTGTTGCCCAGGCTGGGGTGCAGTGGCATGATCTCAGCTCAGTGCAACCTCTGCCTCCCGGGTTCAGGCGATTCTCCTGCCTCAGTCTCCTGAGTAGCTGGGACCACAGGTGCATGCCACCACGCTCAGCTAATTTTTTGTATTTTCAGTACAGACAGGGTTTCACCGTATTAGCCAGGATGGTCTTGATCTCCTGACCTCGTGATCTGCCCATCTTGGCTTCCCAAAGTGCTGGGATTACAGACTTGAGCCACCGCGACTAGCCCAAGGTTTATTTTTGCAAACCAACATTTGTTGAGCATTTTTCTGTACCAGACATTAGGAAAACAAAAATGTTTTAGATGAAACCCTGGCCCCTTAGGACCTTCATTCTCATGATGAAGACAGACACAGAAGGTTTTTTGATGAAGTTCATCATGCAAAGTGCCCAGAGTGAAGTGAACATCTCAGAGAAAGAGTCCTGCGCAGTGTCTTAGGGGATGAGCAGAAGTTTTCCAAGAGCAGTGGATGTTGGAAGGGCAGTCTGGGCAGAGAAAACAGCATGGGCCAAGGCTCAGAAGTAGGAAGTAACATGGCACCGGTGTGCTGGGGGCCATTCAAGAAATTCAGCATGAATTGGAGCAAAACATTCAAGGATCGGAGTTCAGAGGCATCCTGAGAACAACAAGGGAATGTTGTGCGATCCTGACCTCCTATGTTCTATGCCGGGGAAATGATAAGCAGATGGGAATTATGCTCCCAAACATGACTAGAGAATGACTCTCAGAGAAGCAGAAGAGAATCTCATTCAGATCTGAAGAGCCTGCAGAGACCTCACTGCAACCACTGGGATAATAGGGCCCAACTTCCTTCTGTGACCTTCACCCAAAGCCAAGGACAGGAAGTCTAGCTCACATCTTTCCAGCAAGGCAGAAAATTCTTCTCCTGTATAAGGGCAGCAATTGGAACAAAACAGAGTGCACCCTCTACCAATCTGGGCTGCTAAGCCCAGCTGTCCTTGGCTCTCATGTGGTGTGAAGAGTGCCCTGAAGTCCTTCAAGGGCCCATTGAAAGATAAAGAAAGTAGATGGTGTGCTGGCAAGCTCAGCAGAGGGTTACCAAAGTGGGAGCTTGCGGGCAGACCACCTGGGCTGGTGATCGAATGGGAATCCCCACACCTTTAAAGAAATACACAATCTCAGAGAGCTGAGATGATGCAAGTTAACCAGGAGGCCCCCAAACCCTGGCTGAGCTGAGAGACAGCAGACCAAGAGTATTACTGTAGCCACAGATGTTTGCAGAAGGTGCCGGTAGAGTGAGGAGTGACAGGGTAGACAGGGAAATCATTTCTTCAAAACGGGTGAAGATCTGGCATGAGACCAACACAAAGATTGGAGTTCCACCCACCCACCACCACAGCGACACAATCAGCAAACCCTAACAAGCCACTTGGAGCAGAAGACAGAGGGGACACTGAAATACTTAAATCTAAGTTTCCTTGTTACTCAGCAGGGTGGAGCTTATAGGAGGATTAGGTAATTTGTAGAAAGATAAGAAGTTTCATTTTCTTTGAATAAATGAGCATTTTGTGTATAAATGATCAATCTTCTGTACATTTTAAGAAATCCCTGGCGAGGTTTTGAAAGAAACAAGTCCACTTTAATTCAGAATAAGGGTTCTATGCTGGTTAATGACTTCTGAATGATGCCATACTCCCTGCCAGTGTTAAAATATTCTCTAGAATAAGCCTGTCCAACCCGCGGCCCATGGGCTGCATGCGGCCCAGGATGGCTTTGAATGCGGCCCAACACAAATTTGTAAACTTTCCTAAAACATTATGAGATTTTTTTTTTTTTTAGCTCATCAGCTATCGTTAGTGTTAGTATATTTTATGTGTGGCCCAAGACTACACATAAAAAAATTGGTGGCCCAAGACCACCAATTCTTCTTCTTCCAATGTGACCCAGGGAAGACAAAAGATTGGACACCCCTGCTCTGTAATATTCAGTAGAAAAAGAGATGAGCTCCTTTTTTTTTTTTAACCTGTCCTGAGGTCCAAAGAAGTGACAGCTCCTGGTACATCTCCAGAAAACGGGAATGTGACCTACTACTTTACAAGAGGACGAGAGTAGACCTTGTATCTGTGAACTGGTTTATTTCAGGACAACCTGATTTTGTAGTATACCACCTTGAAGTTGAAAGGGAGAGAGAGAGAAAATGGTGTGGGATAAAGAAGGAAGCAGTGTCCTTTACAGACAGGACTTAGAATTTGGTGGCTTATGAGTCACTGATGGTCATATTCTTAGGTGTGTTTTTTAAAGTAAAAAATACATTTTCTTAGTGAGGTTAGCTGTGTTAACAAAACCCCTCCAAATCTCAACAACTCAGAACAAACATTTTTTTCTCGCTCTCTGTATTTCTGTCTCATTCCAGGAACCAGGCTAAGAGAGTAACTCCTTCATGAGACGTACCTGGGAAAGAGCAAGAAAACTGGCCAAAACTCACAATGCATCTTAAACACCCAACATAGCAGACACCATATTTACTCACATTTCATTGGCCAAAGTGTGTCACGTGGCCAAGCCCAAGTCCAGTGAGATGGAGACATAAAATTCCCCCACAAGAAGGATAGTAAACCACCTGCTGATGGACAGGGATGAGTAATACTCTTTTTTTTTTTTCTTGAGACAGAGTCTCACTCTGTCACCCAGGCTGGAGTGCAGTGGCGCAATCTCAGCTCAGTGCAATTGCTGCCTCCCGGGTTCAAGCAATTCTCCTGTCTCAGCCTCTTGAGTAGCTGGGATTACGGGCATGCACCATCATGCCTGGCTAATTTTTGTACTTTTAGTAGAGATGGGGTTTTACCATGTTGGCCAGGCTGGTCTCGAACTCCTGACCTCAAGTGATCTACCTGCCTCGGCCTTCCAAACTGCTGGGATTACAGGCGTAAGCCACCACGCTCAGCTGAGTAATACTCTTATAGGGACGGGCTAGGGAGAAATTGAAAAAATATATATATCATTTACCCATGATAATACAAACTCATTATCAAAAATTCAGAAAATACGGAGAAGAAAAAAGTAATAATTACCTGTAACCCACTGTTAAAATTTTGATATATTTCCTTTCAGTATATATGTGTGTATGTGTTTGCAAATACAAATGCAAATTTGGGATTATACAACATATACAAGTATGCATCTGCTTCATAGGCTGCTCATTTACAAAGAGTTTTATTATTGAATTCTTTCTCACATAATTATTTTCTAAAAACATCATTTCAGTCCCTCCATAATTTTTGTATTACTTTAGACAAAGTAGGTTATGTAGCAATAACAAAAATTCTCTATGTGACTTAATACAGCAAAGGTTTGTTTCTGATTCAAGCCTCATGTCTGGTGCAGGACAGCATTTTGATCACTTTGAAACAGAGCCCGACTGAGCAGCTGCTATTTCAAATGTATCTGATCATCGAGCAAGAGGAAAGGAGAATATAGAAAAGTATACATATTTTATTAGCCAAAGCAAGTTACATGGTGTGAAATAAATATATATATTTAATTTTAATTTTTTTCTTTTTTTTTTGATACAGAGTCTTTCTCTGTCGCCCAGGCTAGAGTGCAGTGGTGCAATCTTGGCTCACTGCAACCTTCACTTCCCAGGTTAAAATAATTCTCATGCCTCAGCCTCCCAAGTAGCTGGGATCACAGGCATGCACACACACCCAGCTAATTTTTGTATTTTTAGTAGAGACAGGGTTTCACCATGTTGGCCAGGCTGCTCTCAAACTCCTGGCCTCAAGTGATCTGCCAAGTGCTGGGATTACAGGCGTCAGCCCAGCCAATGTGTGTGTGTGTGTGTGTGTGTGTGTGTGTGTGTGTGTGTGTATAATGGCTACAATATTTTGCGGATCCTCCAATCAAGAGATTGAGTCTATTTCTCCACTTGTTGACTCTGGGCTTGGCCATGTGACTTACTTTGGCTGATGGGACATTAGCAAATGTAACATGCGCAGAAGCTTGACACATGCTTGTGCATTGGGGCTTTTCTCTCTTCATGCTTTTAGAATAGCCTAAGATTGACCTAGGGGATGAAAGACCACATGGAGAGAGAGGATGAGCCATCCCAGCTGTCCCATACATGCAACCAGTTCCAGCTGAGCCAGCTCAGACCAAAAGATTCATCCAGCCAGTCCATGAATTTTGACAGTGTCTTAAGCCACTGAATTTTGGGGTGGTTTGTTATGCGGCAAGAGCTGGCTTATACATGTGTTTATTTCTAACTTAATCTGGGAGGAAGCCATAATAGTTTTGAAGGACCTTAACGTCTACCTCAATATTAAATTTTATGGATGTGCCATCATTTATTTAACCATTTTTCATTATTCAAATCATACTTTTAACATCACATTTATTAGAACTATAAATAATGCTCCCATAAACAGCTTTGTTTATAAATTTTTATCCAAGTTTCTGATTATTTCATAATAATAACAACTTCCACTAAATAATAGACTGGTGGAAAAAGAATTACTAGGTCGAAATTTAAGGCTGTTATTATTTATCAAATTATGTGCCAGAAGGATTGTACCAATTTATGTATCTAATGAAAGTGTGTAAGCATGACCATTTCTCCATACCCTCACTCACCATCATTGGCTGTGAGCTTTTAAAAATATCTTTGTTGCCCCTGAGACTGAAATATTATATATATATATATATATTTTTTTTTTTTTGAGATGAAGTCTCACTCTGTTGCTGGGGCTGGAGTGCAGTGGCAAGATCTCGGCTCACTGCAACCTCCATCTAATTTTTGTATTTTTAGTAGAGACAGGATTTCGCCATGTTGGCCAGGCTGATCTCGAACTCCTGACCTTAAATGATCGGCCTGCCTCGGCCTCCCAAAGTGCTGGGATTACAGGCGTGAGCCACTGTACCCAGGCATATATGTGTTAATCTAATGGAGAAAATTTTCTGATTTAAATATTAATATCCTTGCAAATTGAGATTGATTTTTTATATATTGTTAACAGTTAAGAATTTTTACACAACACTCATAGAGTGTATGGTGAGTATTTCTTTATTTTGCTATATCAAATTAAATCCAGTTTGAGTGTCCCACAGGACAAAATTGGCAGGAAGCTCAATAACAGATCTCTTTCCCAGTTTTCTTTGTCTCTCTTAGATGGTGGGGATCCTGGACCCTGCATGGCTGTGTAAAGGCAGGGAGCTCTGTTCTGCTGCCTCATCCCTCTAAGGGAGGCATAGGGAAAACTTTATAAAGGGGAAACTTCACCTGGGTTCCCACAGCACTGAAGGCAGTGTCCGGTTCTCACACTTCCACATGCCTTATATCTACCTTAAAGACACTGGAGTGGGTACAGGGCCCCTTCCTGCTCAAACCTTTAACCACCTGTTGCTTACCCACTGTCACCTCTGTCAGCACCACAGGAAGAAACCTCTAGTTCCCGTTACTTGGAAGAGTTATAATTTGGGAACACTTAAGTGTGGCATGCTAGGCTTGTTGCTGGTTGTAAAATTAAACAAATAGTCTGGGTCCGGTGGCTCACGCCTGTAATCCCAGCACTTTGGGAGGCCAAGGCGGGTGGATCACCTGAGGTCAGGAGTTCGAGACCAGCCTGGCCAACATGGTGAAACCCCGTGTCTACTAAAAAGACAAAAATAAATAAATAGCCGGGCATGGTGGTGGGTGCCTGTAATCTTGGCTACTTGGGAGGCTGAGAGGCAGGACAGTCGCTTGAACCCAGGAGGTGGAGGTTGCAGTGAGCCGAGATCATACCGTTGTACTCCAGCCTGGGCAACAAGAGTGAAACTCTGGCTCAAAGAAAAAAAAAAATTAAATAAGTAAGTATGGCATGCAGGGTGTGGGGAGGTTAAGGGAAACGAATGGCTGGGGTCACAGAAGGTTATGTGTATTCCAAAATGCTTTTCCCAGTGGAATGAGCAGATATTTCAGAAGACAAAAGTTTTAACTGTTGGAAGTGTGATATAAATGTCACAGGTCTAAGAAATCAGATATGGAATTATTGACCTATGAGCCATCCTATTTCCTTTGTAACCAAGAAAAAAAATCACATCATTTTTATTGAGCTAGACTATAAATACAAAGTCAGACTGAACAGCACTTCATGGACACACTTACTACCAAGGCCCTCTGTATTCACGCCTCCCATAGCCACTAATTTTTCATATCCTGCTCTTTGAAAAAGCTTCACTTACATAAAGTGCCACAGGATGTACCTTCTGCCAGCCAATGAATTGACTACTGGTCTCATCACTTGGGGTGACAGGACAGATGGAAAAACCCAGTCATAGTTGCTTGTATCCAAGGAACATAAAGTGCTGCTTTTAACTCTTCTTTCAAGGAAAGTAGCTGAGTGAAAAAGCCAAGTCCTCATGCAACCCACCACCAACTATCCAAACCTGCCTCTGTGTTAAGACAGTGCAGGGGCCAGTCTGCATCTAAGACAGAGGAAGAACTAGCCAGAAACCACCTGAAGGCTACTAATACCAAACACGTTACGAGACAACACGTGCCAGTGCAATCTGTGTGCATTATGCCTTCCCTAAAGGTATGTCAACAAAGGAAGGAAACAGAAACTATTCCCCATGCGGGCAACCTCCCCTCTGCCGCACGTGCAAGAGCTGGGGCAATGGATGCAAAAGAGGGCAGAGGAATGAGGGCCCCTAAGAAAGTAGAACAGATAAGGGCTCAGCTCTTGTACTTTGAATTTGTCAATGGATAAGAGAGGGGCTTTTAGAACTGTTTCACTCTTCCAGGTCTATGTGAGGTCCCGTGGATGTAGTTACTCCACCACAAAATCTCACATCTCCTTAAGATTCAGTTCAGCCCTGAAGTAATAATGCCTCTTTGGAAAGAACAGAAGAGCCCAGAAGCCTCTGGGTTCAAAAGGGCACGGTCTAAACTGACAGCCTGCTTGCCAGCCTCAGAGATAATAAAACTTCTCAGACTGGGAGAGAAATCCACTGTCAAGAATGTCTGCTGAGGAGAGCTCGCTCTGATTGCCGCCATCCCCATAAACAAAAACAGATGTGTGTGCTCACGAGTAAAGTAAACATTCAAGTTCAATATACGCTCCTCTCCGCCAATCCAGTTTGGCACCTCAATGCGAGCAAATAGTCTGTGAGGCAGAGTGGAACTTTTCTATAACATGGGCGGTGTCAAGTGACAGGGCTCACATCTGTGTATTAGGTTACTTGTTATATGAAAAAGCTATAGAATAGACTTTCTGTTTCCCAGGGAATGATTTGAGCTATGGTAAATCTATTGCAATGGAATAAATAGTTGATCCATATTAAAGAAACAAAAGAGCATCATGTTGAAGAACATGAGTTTAAATCCTGGTTCTACCACTTAGGGTTTGTGTGACCCTGGGCAAGTCATTTAACCCCAGTGTTTAACATCTGTAAAATGAGTTTTAGTAGTACTTATCTCTCATCTTGCGGTGGCAAGCATAATAAAATGTGAGCTCCTTCTAGGATTCTTCCATGGCACTAGAGGAAGTAGGATCTAAAAGTCTGAATATCTAAGCTTGTCTTTATTCATCCTTTCAACAAATATGTATTGAGTATCTACAGTGTGCCAGGTACAGAGACAGAGCAGTGACGACGACAGGTATAACTCAAAGGGACAGGATAGAAAAGGGATGAAACACGTCCCTGTTGTTTACTGTGGACTGTTCCTGGATGCAGCCATGTGGCATTTCTGCTTACATCCCACTGATCATAGTAGCAAGAGGGCTGGGTTAGCTGTTATTCTAGATGGCTTTGTGACTGGTTATAAATTAGAGCATTTTGGCTGGGCATGGTGGCTCACACTTGTAATCCCAGCAGTTTGGGAGGCCGAGGCGGGCAGATCACGAAGTCAGGAGTTCGAGACCAGCCTGGCCAACACGGTGAAACTCCGTCTCTACTAAAAAATATAAAAATTAGCTGGGCATGGTGGTGGGTGCCTGTAATCCCAGCTACTCGGGAGGCTGAGACAGGAGAATTGTTCGAACCCAGGAGGCAGAGGTTGCAGTGAGCCGAGATCACGCCATTGCACTCCAGCCTGGGCGACAGTGTGAGACTGTCGCAAAACAAAACAAAACAGAACAAAAATAAATTAGGGCATTTATTCATCACAGAGTCTACAGTCTTGTGATTTATCTGTCCCCTAAGATGTGGCCCTCCTATATCACTTGCCACCCTGAGCTTGGTGTTTCCCAAAGTTTTTTAAACATAAGAATCTCCTGGCACCCCTGTGAAAAGACAGATTCTGAGACCTCACCTTATCCTACTGAAAATTACAGGAGGATTCTGACTCCTTTTTCCTCACTGGCAAAACAGGGAGCAGAGCAAGCCCTATCACAATCTTGTATGTTTCAAGGGAAATAGCATATGCAAAGGAGCTTTGGAAACCATGAAGTTACTCTCTCGTGGCTGGTTTCCAGGCTCGCTCTGGAGGTTCAGAGGCAAAAGCCACTCTGAGGCTGTGGCCCATCACAGTGTCCTCCTCCCCCACACCACCTTCCCTTTTGGGGCTTTCTGGAGACACCAATCAGAAGCCACCCACCTCCATTTGAACCCAATGAACTGATGGTCCCAGGCTGGAACCTGCCTAAAGTTTACCACCAAGGTGGACACCTGAGTTGTGTTCTAGGAGTGCTGATTACAGAGCTTCAGGGGGTCAGGCAGCAGTCAAAACTGATGGTTTTCAAGGGATGGCCCTGCCTTCCCTTGGTACCTGCTGGAATGGAAAATGAACCCAAAGATTAGAGTGGGGAAATGTAGGGTCTTGGTAAGTTCTCATCACCCAGGCCCTGCCCCTTTCTCCAGCTACATCTCCCTCTACCCCTCCATATACCCATCTAGCCTCTGATTACTCCTCTCCTTCTTTCAGTAATAAAATCCTCTACTTTATAACCAGTCACAAAGCCACCTAGAATAACAACTACCCCCAGCCCTCTTGCTACTATGATCAGTGGGATGTAAGCAGAAATGTCACATGGCTGCATCCAGGAACAGTCCATAGTAAACAACTGGCATGTGTTTCATCCCTTTTCTATCCTGTCTCTTCTTTCATCCTGCTGCTTGGAATACTGATGAGATGGCTGAAGTTCTAGCATCTATTTTGGATGTTGGGGATGAAACTACACATTAGGAGTACTGGAATAGAGAAGGAGCCTGGAGCCCTGAGCACTGTGTGGAGTTGAGCTTCTAGTCTAGTTTTGGACTATCTAGTTTGGACTAACCTCTGGACTTCTACCTAAGAGAAATAAACTTCCATTTAATTTAAACCACTGTTGTTTTGGGTTCTGCTATCACAGCCAAAATGAATACTAACTAACAGAGTGCTCAGGAGCATGTATTCTGGAATTAGATTGGCCAGGTTCAGTCACTTATTACCTGGCAGCCTTACGCAATTTGCTTCCCTTCTTTGCCTCAATTGTAAAATCAAAATGCTCCAGCCTGGCCAACATGGTGAAACCCCATCTCTACCAAAAAAGCACAAAAATTAGGCAGGCATGGTGGCACACACCTACAGTCCCAGGTACTTGGGAGGCTGAGGTGAGCAGCTTGAACCTGGGAGATGGAGGTTGCAATGAGCCAAGATTGCGCCACTGCACTCCAGCCTGGAAGACAGAGTGAGACCCTGCTTCCCAAAAAAAAAAAAAAAAACCAAAATGCTAAAGACAGCATCTACTTCCTGGAATTGCTAAGAATGAGCTAAAACATGTAAAGCTTAAAACATGGAAAGCCCAGCACATAGTACGCACTCATTGAACATGAGCTATTATTGAAATCAGCTATTAAATACATAAAGAATAAAGATATACCCCTAAAGGAGCAAGACTGAAAGATATTCTCTATCATGCTGCATGCATGCACTTTTGCAAAGGGCTACATTTTTCTGTTAGTAAAGAAACACAGAAGGTGGGCTGGGCAGTGTGGCTCATACCTGTAATCTTATTGGGAGGCTGAGACAGGCGGATCACTTGAGGCCAGGAGTTCAAGACCAGCTTGGCCAACATGGTGAAACCCCATCTCTACTAAAAATACAAAACAATTAGCTGGGTGTGTTGGCACATTCCTGTAATCCAAGCTACTTGGGCAGCTGAAGCATGAGAATCATTTGAACCTGGGAGGCGGAGGTTGCAGTAAGCTAAGATCACACCACTGCACTCCAAGCTGGGTGACAAAGCAGGACTCTGTTTCAAAAAACAAAAAAAGAGTCATAGAATATAGAAGGTGCCCAAATTCCCAGTGGAAGAATTTTGTTTACTCATC
The DNA here is from genome assembly GCF_000001405.40 of Homo sapiens. Lineage (NCBI taxonomy): Eukaryota > Metazoa > Chordata > Mammalia > Primates > Hominidae > Homo > Homo sapiens. Next base: position 101,942,339 of record NC_000012.12, on the reverse strand, counting down.
CCTGACACAGCTCAGATATAAATAGGCCCTTTATTTGATCACATAAAATGGTAGTCCTAGAATGTACTTTGAAAAAGGAGGTCCAATCTAGGCTTAGCTCGGAAATGGAGATAGAAGGAAAGCCTTGATCCCTCTTGATGGCATCTGGATAACAGGGCCTGAGCCTGAGTGATATTCATGTTCACCCTTAAAGGGGCCCAAGGAGTGGAGCATCTGGATTGGGGCGAGGGTTCATGACAGTGCATGTGTTTTGAATTGGTGATTCTTTTAACAGAAGCAGTTTGGAACCAAGACTGGGAAGCTGCTGCTAACTGGAATGTTCTAGCCATGTTTCATGTTCCCTGAGGGCAGAGCTGGTGGCTCTCAGTGTATTGGGGGGATTTAAGTTAGATGCTAGGAAGAACTTGTTTACTATAATAGTTGTGAAAGGCAGATACAAATGTGGTTGTAGAATGTTTCTATCTCTAAGAAGATAATCTGAAGATAGTAGAGGGGGAAGTATCTTTCACAGATAGAGGTTATGAACTGAGCATCCTCCAGTAAGAAAGAGGAAGTGAGAACAAAGAAAGTAATAGCATAATACTTCTGAGTAGTTGTTTCTTCAGTCCAAATAGACCTAAGTTCAAATCCTAGCTTACCAGTTCCAATTAACCACTCTGACCCTCAGTTTCCTCCTCTAACAGGAGATCACAGTACACCCGCCTCTGAGAGTGACTGTGAGGTTGAGACAAAATATATCCAATAATATGGGAGGTGTTCAATAAATATTCATTTTATTCTTGTCTTACAAATCTTTTCCTATTCTGCGACTCTATGATTCAGCACTTCCTGGAATTCTAAGGCACTAGAAACTTTCCAAAGAGTTTGAACTGCTTAATTGCTAGCTTCCAAGCTCTTCCCAGCATTTCTTTGAGAGGTGAATAGTAGAAATGGATCACAAATCAGACAGACAAATGCATTTTGTTTGCTGGTCTAGCAATATCCCCTTACATGCTATTTTCTCCATTGTTCTCACTGGGACAAGAATGGGATTGTCAAAAACAAGTCGCACACTGCAGTGTGTAGAATTAGGATGGGATGTGGCTATTGCTCCTGCACTTTGCTGCCTGCAGAGATAAGCACCTGAAGTCTCTTAAGGGCTTGAGACTGGGGTCCAGCACAGGGCGGTGGGAAGGGCATTGCTTTGGGGAACAATTGTCTAGAAGCTCCCGGACTGGCCGGGCTGGTACCTCTCTGCATGACTCCCTGGTCCTCTCCTGTACATAATGCAAGGATGAAATTAGGTGAATGCAAAAGACTCTCCAAACTCAGAGTTTCTCTGAGCTGGTGATTGCTATGGGTGGAGAGTGATTCCTCTGTCCTTTGCTGGTTTCTGTGGGCTATATTCCTGGATCTTGTTTTCTCTTTCTCTTGAGGAAAACATTTTAAAAGTATATGTAAAGTCTTCTCCTACGTGGGAGGCTCTGCGTAGGGGCTGTGTTGGCGGGTAATAAGGGAAGATACAGAGAAAAAAATAACCAACCTGAGCATTTGCTGCTGACAATTACCTTAAGTCTCTTGTGTTTGGCTCTGTAAGTCTCTTGTGTTTGGCTTGGATAGGGAGACCTGTCTGTCTTGTTCTACTTCACAAGAGAACAATAAAGACATGATAAGTGAGAAAAAGCTATGTGATATATCCACATACGTGGGAGGCTCTGTGTAGGGGCAGTATTCGCTGGTAATAACCTCCTCTCCCCTCCTCTCCCCTCCCCTCCCTTCCCCTCCCTTTCCCTCCCTTTCCCTTCCCTCCTCTCCCCTCCCTTCCCCTCCTCTCCCCTTCCCTCCTCTCCTCTTCTCTCTCAATTGCCTCCAATCCTTTTATAGCCTGCCACATCATTAAAAAGAGTCTTATTGTATAAGTCTTGAGCCCAAAGTCTAGAGAAAAAATTTAAATTACAAAGAACTTATGTCCTAAAGAAGTTTGTTCTTTTCCTCACATGTGCAATTTATTCCCCCTTTAAAATGAGAAAGCTGGTGAAGGAAAGAACCACTCATTTCTCAACTCATAGGCGCTATGTTTCTTCAATAAGAACTTCCACAGTGGAATGTAGTTGCCCCAAGGTGGAAACAAACCATTGACAAGCAGTTGTTGAAAAGAGTTGCTTTATGTGATTTTCTATCTATAAAGGGAATGAGCAAAAGAAAGATGTTAACCTATCCTGATTCTATCTCATTGTATTCCTCCAACAGAAAGCCAGAGAGAAACCCAAATTGCTCTCAGTAGCTTTCCATTCAGCTAGAAAAGGAATTGCTGAAATCCCTCCCTCCGTTTGCTACAACTTTGGTTTGCCCTTTCTTGCTGAGTTTGTGGAGGGGTGGCCATACTACAGTCCCCTGGTGCCCCCTGTTGTTCATATTGCGAAAATAACCAGGCAGCATGAACTACTAAACTTTTGGTTCCTTATCTTAAAACGCTTTAAACCTTTTGGATGCATCTCAAAAATCCAAAATTGTGACTCCACCTTTAATTCACTGAGGGGAAGTTTATAGTCAACTTATATTATTATTTCATAAACTTACAGAATGTGAGGGAAGGTCCTTAGAATCTATTCAGCCAATTGTGTGTTTTGTTCTGTTCTGTTTTGTTTTGTTTTACCAAGTATGGGATTAGTTATGAGAGATATTTGCTGTTATTATGTGAAACCAAAGAGGGTTAGGAAATGCTGGGTTAAATAAGAATTAAGTAACATTAAATAAGGAGCTTCTTTCCTGCTGGCCTTCTCAGAGCATTTAATATGGACTGTGTCTCTCCCAAGGGAAAGGCAATTTCCCAATCGTGCTTTTGACAACAGAACCGCTTTTTATATGAATTTCTTGCAGGGCCAATATTCCAGGGAACACACTTGGGAAGTGCTAATCAAGTCCAAATGAATCGTTCTAGAAGTCTGGAAACTGAGGCCCAGGGAGGTGCCAGTGACTGGGTGGTAGTAGACACTGCAAGGCCCCTGTCAGGAGGCTCCCAGGCCACTTCCTCACCAGGATCCCTCCCATTCATTGGAGTTGGCCTTTAGTATTTCTGTATCCATAAAGCGTGTTTACTTGTGGAATGGGGAATGGTGTTGCCTTTAGCCAAGGATGTTGGAAAAGTTTAGTAAACCTTTTTTCAAGAATGTTCTAACTTCTTGGGGAAGAGAATTTGCTTCCGGTATTTTCAATTCAATTTCTTTCTGTCTCTTGTGAAGAACTTCATTGCTTTCTAAAAAGCTCCTATTCAACAAATTTGCATTAAGCACCTACTATGCACAGATACAGAGGAGGTCAAGATAATGCACTACTTTGGATAAAAGAAAATATTTGGGGGTCAAGTTCTGGTTCTGCTACATCCTGACTGTATAATTGGACAAGTTGCTTATCATCTTCTAAGACCCAGACTCCCCATCTATAAAGTGGGGGTAATAATACCCCCTCCAGAGGAATTGTTGAGGATTCCATTAGATAATACATGTTAAATGGCCAGCACAGTGCCAGCACATATAAGTACTCAATGAATATTTGCCACTGCTGTTATTGTTGTTAGGATTGTTATTGTTAGGATTATTGAGGCATGGTCCCTGCCCTCAGGGACTTAGCTCAGCTGGAGAAAGAAGACAAGCACGCTCAGAAACTTTAAATAGCGATATAAGGGAATAGATAGATCAGAGACAGCAACTAGGCTTCACAGAACTCCAATCAGCCTTTAGTGGCTGCCTCCAGTGCTGTGTTGGGAAGAATTCTGAGGGTTTTGCCAGCTACACAAGGAAAAAGCACCACCATCAATTAGTGATGTCTGTCACGGATGTGTGGAGAGTGGGTACGTGCTTATATGACATGTATTTGCCATTCTTAGAATGAATAACGAAATGCCAGGTGTGGCAGATTAGACAGAACAGTGGTTTCTGGAGGAGGTAAGAAAGTTGGACCTGGAGAATGGGTAGGATGTGAATGGAAAACAGATAAAGGGAGGAAGAAATATTTGACACTCAGAACTTGTGGCATATGCCAAGGATAAAACCAACATGGGCCACTTGGGTGGCAGTAAGTAAATTAGCCTGTCTAGAGTAGGTCTTGATGCTAAAGATTAGCTCTATAAATATGGTAACCAGCGATGCCAAGATGGTTTCCCAACATCAGACAAGCTGTCCCGTTGTTTCCATAAGTTCCCTCATATGCTATGTGCCTGAGTTTGAGGTTCAGATAATGTGAACACCACTCAGTCTTTATAACCATCTTCTCTACCATGGAACTGTGCAAAGGCTCTTTCCCACTGCCTTTGCTCATGGAGACTATATTTTGGTGTAAGTCCATGGCTGCTGTTCAGAAAGCCCATCACCCTTTGTGTACTTTAGAAAGTCTTTATGAATGTTTTTCATTATGCATAGATGGTATTGCAGCCCCAGGCATCTGAACGTCTCAACAAATGCACACAAGGAAAAAAGTTGTTGAAAATGAAAAGTGAAGACCCAAGCTACCAGAAACTGTAGCATCAGGTATGCTGTGTGCTTCCTCTATATCTGGTACTACACCAGCTCTGGGAGGGGTGGTGAAAAGGTGCTTATTAAAGCCACAAATGAGCATGAGAAGTTTTGAAAAATTCCTGTTTGCAAGACTTCATTGCTTGGTATCATGAGATTTTATTCATCCCGTCTTTTTTATTATCTACCATGCAATAATAGTAGACAGTCTTCTATAGTAGTTAGGACTTGTGTGGTTACAAGTGACAGAGACCTAATTCTAATTCATTTAGGCAAAAGGAGTGGGAAGGGTATTAAGAGATAATGTGACTGCCGTGAACACTAGCAAGGTTCTGTTTGATTCTTCTTGTTTCTGTGGTTCCACTTAATCTCTTCATTAGCTTCATTCTTCACTCCAGCTAGAGATGAGCCTTCTCTGTGCAGTGAAAAACAAGGGCGCCAATAGCACCTAAATTTACCAGTACATCCACATAGATCTGGTCCCTAGGAAGACACTATCTTAACATTGTCTCTGGTTCCAAGTCAAAACGTCTCAAAAAATAACTCACTGAAGCAGGTTGCATCAACTCCTGTGGCAGCTACAAAGATGGGATTGGGTAAGGGAAACTTCTGGAAGGAGAGGAGGGAGGTACTTGGTAAACAATATAAGAGATGCCTGCTAAAACTTCCCTTATCTACCTTTTCATGCCAACTCAACTTAGCTATCAATCAACAATTCCACTCATTTAATAAGCACCTATTTGCTTATTGAGTGTCTGTTACATGCCAGGTGCTGTGCTAGATTTCAGGGATGCAAAGGGGAACATGACGCTTTTTAAGTTATGTTCCTCTTAGAATGCTAGGCATTCAGAGAGACAGAGGAATATCAAATATTATGGGTTTAGGATGTCTAGGAACTCACCATATAACTGGAGAAAGGAGACTATGTATTTGGAGAATAATAAGTGTTAAACTGTGTGCCATGGGTGATGAGGGTAAGAGAAACTTCAAGGTAACTGAGGTCAGCAAGGCCTGGAGCATTCAGGAGAGGAGAAGCGTCTTGGAGAGATACTTCTGTGAGGTCTTTAAAGGGTGAGGAAGCTTTGTTTATGACTACATGTGTTTAAAGTGCAGTATTTTCACAACATCACACTAAGTGAGGCCCTCTGCATCTGGAGGCGTTCTGGAATGCAGCCGTCAGCCAGTGGCCCTGTTCCTTTCTCAGAGACAGGACTACCACCCACAGCTCTTCTGATAGCCTTGTTTTCAATTGCCATGGCCTGTTGGATCAAAGCCTCTGAGTTTGATGCAAGTTCAAAATAATTTCCTTCAAGGATTAACTCATCTTTTTGGGCCTGAGGAGCTACAACAAGCAACATCTGGTATAGCCTGCAGAGGGATTTTTTTTTTCACCCAAGGAGTTTCAAGTTTCAACATGTGAGCCATCCTGCTGAATAACATCATTGACGGGAAATGACACGCAGAGACCTTATCTTGTAATGAGAGCTCTGTGTAACACCCCACAGTCATGTTTTGCATCGACTATAATAGATGGTGCAAACTGTAACAGGTTCCTTCTCACTTTGTTTCCTGCCAAAGTGACTGAGTTCCACACTGATGGGGTTGAAATCCCCTTGTGGGTTTCCTCTGGGGCCATTCCATAGCCCATCCTAGTGCCGTTAATAACACCCTCCCTGTGTTCGTCAGGCCCACCTTTTAATGCCGTCATAGGGAGTCTCTTGGTCAGTTCCTATTATCTGATCCCATTAGTCACTTCCCTGTCTGCCTAGGTCTCCTGGAAAATTCCTGGGACTATCTCCTTGCTTTTGGTAAATCCTGGCTTCATTCCTCCACGCTGTGTTTTCTGTATTCCCAGCTCTCCCCTTTGCATCCCTTGGGCTAGTCCCACCACCCCTGGAATTCTCTCTGAGGTCAAGATTTTGCAATGTTTTTAAAGGTGAAACAGTGTAATAGCTACAGTTGAGTGTTATGTGTCAGGGATGTATTATTTATAGGGGTGCTATTATCATCACCCATGACTTACCAGTGAGAAAAATGAGGCTCAGAGTTTGATTGAATTGCCCAGGTACAAGACATAAACCCACATCTTTCTCACACTTAAGACTGTGCTCTTTTTAAGGGATAAAATAGGGACCTAAAGAATGGTCATGGGAGTCCCGAGTTCCAAGCAGAGGAGGGAGAAGGAAAGAGAAATGAGGAAAACTCCAAGAGTGGCAGCTCTGAATTCAAAGGAGGAGAATTTTGAGACATAGTCAACTGCGTCTAAAGCTGGAACAGGTTTGAGAATATAGACACCATTGGCATGAAGATGCCTATTGGCAAATCTTTTCAACAAAGATTTCAGTAATGGGTCTGGAAGAGGTTATTAGGAAGAGGGTAAAACGATATAGATGGCAAACAAAAGCAAAGAGCAGCCACATAGATGGTGGAATAAAGCAGGTGAGTTGTTTTGTATCCACTAAATGGAAAACTCTGGGGCAGGTCCCAGAAACTGTGTTTTAACAAACCCTCCAGGTGATTCTGATGCACACTAAAGTTAGCAAACCGCTACAGCAGAACCGTGTTTCTCAGCCTTGGCTGCACACTGAAATCACCTGAAATAATAATGCTTCCATCTGACTTCCTGAAATTCTGATTTAATTGCTCCAGGCAACAGGGTTTTAAAAAAAAACTCTCCAGGTGATTCTCATGTGCAGCCAGAGTTGAAAACTGCTGCTGTACAGGGAGAAGACAGTTGAGGGTATGCAGTCGAGAGGGAGGTGGAAGGGCTATAACAGCATCTGCCATGCACAGCTCTGGCTGTGCCAGGCAAACTGCTAAGGCTGGGCATTTCAAGCTTCAATGGGCAGGCATAAGGATCACCAACAAGTTCCCAGGTGCTTTACAGGCATTGCTTCAAGGAATCCTCGTGACAAGCCTACAAGGCAGGTGCTAGCATTATTCCCACTTTACAGATAAGGGTACTGAGACACCAAGACGTTATCTGACTTGACTGAGGCGTGACAGAAAGGAAATGGTAGGTCTTGAAAATTAGGTCTTGATTCCAAAGTACTTATTCTTTAAAAAAATTATGATAAAATATACATAACATAAAATGTACCACTTTAATCATTTTAAAGTATTTACAATTTCATGGTATTCACAATGTTGTACAACTATCCATTTCCAGGAATTTTTCACCATCCCAAACAGAAACTCTTGTCCATTAAGCAATAATTCCCCATCTCCCCCTGTCCCCAGCCCCTAGTAACTTCTATTCTGCTTTTTCTTTATGAATCAAAGTACTCATTCTTAATCACTATGTTTCAGGATTGGCTCAAATATGAGATGGAGGTATCAAATTTGATCAAACTTTTTCCTTGAATTGATGGCATGTCTGAGCTAAGTGAGGCCACCATCAGCAATTTGTTCCCAAAATATGGAACAACTTGTAACTTCCCCCAAACAGCACATCCTCTTTTGCCTGTGTGCCAAAGCACATGCCAATTTGTCCAGGACATGTGCCTCTTCCCTCCTCGCCTTCATTTAGCAAACTCCATCTTCTTCTCTAAGTCTCTTGCCAGGCATGACCTCTCCTGGGGATCTGAATCAAGTGCTTCAACTAGTGTGGTCCCATAGACCAGGACTTCAAAAGCTGACATTCATTCCAATCACCTAGGGATCTTGTTAAAATGCAGATTCGCATTTACTGAGTCTGGCTCGGGGCACTAAGATTCTGCATTTCTTTCTTTCTTCAGACACAGCGTCTCACTTTGTTGCCCAGGCTGGAGCACAGTGGTGCAATCATAGCTCACTGAAGCCTCAAACTCCTGGGCTCAAGCCATCCATTCTGCTGCCTTAACTCTCAAGTAACTAGGACTACAGATGTGTGCCACCGCACCAGCTAATTTTTTTTTTTTTTTTGAGAGATGGGGTCTTGGTGTGTTGCCCAGGCAGTCCTCAATTTCTTGGCCTGAAGTGATACTCCCACCTCAGCCTCCCAAAGCTGAGATTAGAGATTTGAGCTACTGCCCTAGGACTTAGATTCTGCATTTCTACAGAGCTCCCAAGTGATAGTCATGCTGCTGGTCCCTGAACAACACCCTGAATAGTGAAGCCATAGGTTGTGGTGCTTTGCCATGGTACATATTGCTACAGCATCCCCTTGACTGTTTCTCTACTGCACTATAAATATCTTGAGGGCAAAAACTCATCTTATTATTATATTCCTGGAGCCTAACATTGTACTACCCACAGTGACAATAAATGTGAATAGAGCAATAGATAAACGAGCAAACAGCCTGGAAGGCTAGAAGGAACCAGATCTGTGAGGAACCTCATAAGCCACACTAAGAAATTTGAAATGTATCATGACATTACAGGCAGATACTGAAAGGTCTGAAAAGGGTGATAGATCAAATGTTTATGTGCAGTGTGTAAGATACGTTGGAAAGGACCAAGATTGAAGTCAAGGAAACCGTAGCAAGCTACTACACTAGTCTAAGCAAATAATTTTGAAGGCCTGAACTAAGGCAGTAATAGCAGGGAGAATGTAATGGGAAGAGGATTCAAGACCATATGGACGGGTTGACCATACATCCCCATTTGCTTCAGACAGTTTACCCTGGGTATGATTATTAGTAGTGTCCCATTTGCCCCCCAAAATGCCCTAATTTGGATGATAATTATCTATTCATACTGTACATAGGAGCCTTTTCTTTTTTTTCTTTGAGACGGAGTCTCCCTCACTCTGTCGCCCAGGCTGGAGTGCAGTGGTGCAATCTCCGCTCAATGCAACCTCCGCCTCCAGGGTTCAAGTGATTTTCCTGCCTCAGCCTCCCGAGTAGTTGGGATTAGAGGTGTGTGCCACCACGACGGCTAATTTTTGTATTTTTAGTAGAGACAGGGTTTCACTATGTTGGCCAGGCTGGTCTTGAACTCCTGACCTCAAATGATCCACCGGAGTGGGCCTCCAAAAGTGCTGGGATTACAAGTGTGAGCCACCACACCCGGCCAGGAGACAATGTTAATAGAACATGGGGTGTGGGCTTTGAGCAAAGTGAGATGTCTAGGATAATGCTCATGTTTCTGCCCTGGGTGACCCAACAGATGGTAATATCATTGACCAACCTAGGCAATCCAGGAGACAAAGCAGTAGGAGAAGTTTCTCTTTAAAATAAAAATATTTAAGTTAAGGAGCCATTGCAAAGTATTAAGTAAATTTTGGTACACAGCATGACAAGAAATTTCAAAAGAAGCACAGATGGCTGAAGTTTGGAACACTGATGGAAGGTATCACCAAGTGAAAACATCCTCCCTCCCTGGCGCTCTGAATCAAATTAGTTTCAGAGCAATGTACTACATTAGGAAACCTTCCCTATGTGCTATTCAGACCAACTGCAGACGGGCTGTCACAAAGGCCAACGAATTCCGAGTTTTGTTTCTCACTCCTTATTCTCTTCCCTTCAAGTCATTGCTGTGAATGCTCCAAACAACTGGATCACAGTTGACTGCGGTCATTGAGACAGTCAATATAAAGATATACCAAGCCACGGCCAGGTTGAGTCTGAAGACCACATCGCTTGGTTCAACTGTCCTGAGTCAAAGGTCAGTAACACCAAAATGTTCCACCACATTTAAAAGCCTCATGACTCAAGATCCTTCCTAATCTCTACTCATATTTGCCAACATCTCAGCTTTTTTCTCCTGCCTACAACATTTCAACAAGTAGGTAATTATTTAATAAATCTCAGAACATACCTTTGCTTCTTCTGGCCAGAGACCTGGGGTTTTCCCGGTTTCAGTTTCAAGGTGGCTGTTATTTAAGGGTCCAAATGCAATCAAGCAGAAGAATAAATTCACCTGCTAGAGCCTTTTAAGAGAACTTTAAAACAAAACTGTAGCTTTTCAAGTATTAAAAGGAAATGAAAGACTGAACTAAGCTCAGTATTCATTTTAATATGCGTGTTAAAGGTTATGTTTGCAGCTGTCAAAGCACTGGCCAATTCTAAATACATCACTCTTCACCTTAAATCAGATGTCTTAGGTGGCACCCAGAACCTGCTACTCTGGGCTGACCCTGAGTAAAAGGATTGTTAAAGAAGGTGAAGTTAGTCTTCCAGGCTTTCCTGTCACTCATGCTGATATTAGCCTGATGAGCAAGGGAGAGCAAGAGAGCTGGAACCCAGGAGCCAGAGTCCTCACCACTTCCTGCTGCTGCTTCAGCTCCAAGAAGACTAACTTACATGCTGCTGATCTGATATCACATCCATACATGTGACAAGACTGAGGACTGAGGAAAACAACCCAATTCAAAAACGAACTGAACAGATGTTTCTCCAAAGAAGATATATAGGTGACCAATAAGCACATGAAAAAATGACCAACATCATTAATTCTTAGGGAAATGCAAACCAAAATACTATGAGATATCACCTCACACCCATTAGGAAGGCTACTAACCAAAAAAATGGAAAATATGTCAGGTGCTATGGTTTGTGCCTGTAATCCCAGCTACTTTAGAGGCTGAGGCATGAGGATCTCTTGAGCCAAGGAATTGGAGGCCAGCGTGGGTAACATACCAAGACCCTCAAATCTCAAATAAATAAATAAATAGGAAAAAACAAATGTTGGCGAGGATGTGAAGAAATTAGAATCCTTGTGCACTGTTGGTGGGACTGTAAAATGGTACAGCTGCTATGGAAAACAGTATGGTGGTTCCTCAAAAAATTAAAAATAGAATTTCCATATGATCCAGCAATCCCACTTCTTGGTATATACCCAGAAGAATTTAAAGCAGGGTCTCAAAGAAATATTTGTACACACATGTTTGTAGCAGCATTATTCACAATGTGGAAGCAACTGAAGTGTCCATCAACAGATGATTGGTAAACAAAGTGGGTATAAATGTACAATGGAATCTTACTAAGCCTTAATATGGAAAAAATTCCAACACATGCTACAACATGGATGGTGCTGAGACATTACGCTAAATGAAATAAGCCAGTCACAAAAAGAGAAATGCTGTATGATTCCACTTATATGAGGTATCTAGAATAGTCAAAATCATAGAGCCAGAAAGTAGAATAATGGTTGCCAGGGGCTGGGGCAAGAGGGAATCAGGAGTTATTGTTCAATGGGCACAGAGTTTCAGTTTTACAAGATGAAGAGGGTTCTGGAGATGGATGGTGGTGATGGTTGCACAACATTATGAATGTATTCAAAACCACTGAACTGCACACTTAAAAATGGCTACGACGGCCAGGCGTGCGTGGTGGTGGCTCACGCCTATAATCCTAACACTTTGGGAGGCCCAGACAAAAGGATCTCTTGAGTCCAGGAGTTTGAGGCCAGCCTAGGCAACATAGTGAGACCCTATCGCTACAAAAAATACAAAAATTAGCCAAGCACGGTGGTGCACACCTGTAGTCCCAGCTACTTGGGAGGCTGAGGTGGGAGGATCACTTGAGCCCAGAGGTTGAGGCTGCAGTGAGCCAAGATCACACCACTGCACTCCAGTCTGGGTGGCAGAGTGAGATCTGTCTCAAAAAAAAAAAATCACCAAGATGATAAAATTTATGTTATATTTTACCACAGTAAAGTAATAATAATGGTCACCAAGAGTGTTCAAACATAATAATAAAATGATAATAGTAATAAATTAAAATAACTTTTTTAAAAAGTGAGCACTGAGGACTTCTTTTACCCAGCCCTGTGATAGCCTAGATGGTCCTTTCCCTGGGCCTCACCATGACTTCTCCTTTGGGAAGTCCAGACAGACGGACGACAACCCCCAGTCCCTCTTACCGCACCATCCAGAAGCAAAAGATACCAGGAGTTGAGAGTCATAAGAACCCACACCTCACAGCCACCAGAGCCTGAATCGTACTGAAAGCCTGCTGCACCCTGTCTCACTGCGCAGTGGAATCCTTGGCCTCTTCAGTGCTCCTCCTCAGGCTGTGGTGGTTGCAGGAGAACTGATATGGCTTGGCTATGTCCCCACCTAAAATCTCATCTTGAATTGTAATAATCCCCACGTGTCAAGGGGGGCCCAGGTGGAGATAATTGAATCATGAGGGCGGTTTCCCCCATACTGTTCTTGTGATACTGAGTTCACACGAGATGTGGGGGTTTTATAAGGGGCATCCCCCCCTTTGCTCGGCTCTCATTCTCTCTCCTGCCACCATGTGAAGAAGGATGTGTTTGCTTCCCCTTTCGCCGTGATTATAAGTTTCCTGAGGCCTCCCTAGCCATGTGAAACTGTAAGCCAATTAAAGCTCTTTTCTTTATAAATTACCCAGTCTCTGGTACGTCTTTATTAGCAGCGTGAGAACTGACTCATACAAGAACTGATCCCCATTCCCACCAAAGACCAGGTGTATCATACAAACCCTCTCTTACTGTTTCTACTCCTGATTCCTATCACCTGCTCCCACCCCCACAATTCTTAGATGCCCAGACTTCAACCAGGACCTGCCGTTTTGAAGTGGCAATCCAAACATTTCACCCATTTTTCTAAACTTGCCAGCTTAAGGGTTTCATTTCTCAAGGCCTTATATTATATAACCCTAGAAAAGCTGACAAATTAATTCATACTCCTAAGGCAGTGACTGGGAATCACACTGTCAGCATGGCAAAGGTTAACCGTAGGAGTCACAGTCCTGGGTTTGGTTCTAGCCCCATCATTTGGTATCTGGTGACAACCTCGCTACATCTTAATTTCCTCATGAATAAAATAGGGTTAACTATGAGGAAACGCCCTCCTTACAGTGTCTGTGATATAGGAAATAATCAGTATTAACAGAACATAAGTGATCATGTAAGCAGATGAAGAAATATCCTTAGTTTTTAGGTGAAAGTCCCTGAATACCTGGTACTGAAAAAATTATGATGCCTCCCCATAGGTAATTCCAAATAATATTTTCTTTTTCCAAATGACATAAAGGATACATTTAGGCAAACATAAAGCTGATTATTTCCAAGTCAATTTTTAAGTTTCTCAAAGGTAAAGTTTCTTTCCTCTCTCTCTCTCTCTCTCTCTCTGACTACTGAATTGCTGGTGTCCCCCACTCATTGAGTCATTCTGCAGTAACCACCAAGCTACAAGGTCAGGGAGGATCAAAAGGTCTGTGGGTTGCCCCTGGTGTTCTGTCCTGGATCACTTTGCCAGAGAGGAGAGAATATTGTGCTTGATTGTTGATGTCTGTAAAAATACAATCGTCTCCAGCTGGGCATGGTCGCTCACGCCTGTAATCCTAGCACTTTGGGAGGCCGAAGTGGGCGGACCATGAGGTCAAGAGATCAAGACCATCCTAGCCAACATGATGAAACCCCGTCTCTACTAAAAATATAAAGCTTAGCTGGGCGTGGTGGCACACGCCTGTCGTCCCAGCTACTCGGGAGGCTCAGGCAGGAGAATCACTTGAACCCGAGAGGCGAAGTTGCAGTGAGCCAAGCTCGCACCACTGCACTTTAGCCTGGTGACAGAGCGAGACTCCATCTCAAAATTTAAAACAAACAAACAAAACAACAACAACAACAACAAAAATACATCCTCTCAAAAGATAGGGAAGAAGTGTAAGACAAGTAACAGGACTTCAGCGAGATACCAAAAAGGAAGTGAGTACAAACTGGAAGAGGCATTGACAAAACTTTTGCAACTAATTGCAAAAGTTTGCAAGATCATAATGAAAAACCCAAGTGAACTGGAGACACTCTTGCCCATAAAAAGAAGACATGTCCGGGTTGGGGTAGGAGGCAGAAGATAGGTGAGTTCTGCTGTCAGCAGAAAGAGGAGCACACAGCCTTGCATTCCCTGCAGTAGGTGGTTACATAAAAGAGGGAACAGAAGAGGTGTGTGTAGAAGACCCGTGACCAAGTTGGCAGGCCTCTGTCCCACACCATCTACTGCAAAATCCACATTTGCACCTGATCTACAGTCATGGATGACTGAGTCACCAAGGAAACATGAACTTATATTCAGCATCCTCAGGTTAGAAGAAAATGTGTGTAATCACAAAGATTCCTGGCTTGTCCGAGTGCAGTGGTGTTTACAACTAATTGATCGCAACCAGTTACAGATTTATTTATTTTAGTTTAGTTTTCTTTGAGACAAAGTCTCGTTCTATAGCCTAGATTGGAGTGCAGTGGCACGATCTCTGCTCACTGCAACCTCTGCCTCCCCAGGCTCAAGCGATACCCCCCTCTTGCCTCCTGAGTAGCTGAGACCACAGCTTGCACCACCATTCTTGGCTAATTTTTTAAATTTTTTTGTAGAGATGGGGTCTTGCTATGTTACTTAGGCTGGTCTTGAACTCCTAGACTCAAATGATCTACCCGCCTCAGCCTCCCAAAATGTTGGGATCACACGCGTGAGCCACCATGCCCAGCCCAGTTACAGATTTTTTTCTTCCTTCTCCACTCTCACTGCTGCACTTGACCAGCCTTTAAAAAAAAAAAAAAAGAAAGAAACAAAAAAGAAAAAGAGGTTCCTAACAAAAATATTCAAGTAAAAAAGTTCTAAAGGCAAGATAACATTTGCAAAATAACAGATGAAGTTTCCAACATCCCACTCACTGGAATTTGTCCTAGAGATTTCCTTGCACATGTGTGATATGATGTATGTACAAGGTCATCTACTTGTAATTGCAAAAATTTGGAAACCACATAATTGCTCATCAGATAGGGAACTTGCTAAATAAATGATGGCACAGCCATACAATGGAATACTGTAAGGTATAAAACAAAGCAAATTAACCTTAAAAATGAGGGAGATCTCTATGTATTGATAAAGGAAACATCTCCAAGATACATTGCTATGTCAAAAAAGTAAGGCTCAAAACTGTTCTTACAGTATACTAATTTGGGGTGAAAATGAAAAGGAAAACGTTAAAATATTTGTTTTGGCTTGTATTTTCATAAAAATCTGATAAAAAGTGGATACCTAGGCTGAGCACAGTGGCTCACACCTGTAATCTCAGCACTTTGGGAGGCCAAGGCAGGCGGATCACTTGAGGTCAGGAGTTGACCAACATGGTGAAACCCTGTCTCAACTAAAATACAAAAGTTAGCTGGGTGTGGTGGTGGGCACCTGTAATACCAGCTACTTGGGAAGCTGAGGCAGGGAGAACTGCTTGAACCCAGGAGGCATAGGTTGCAGTGAGCTGAGATCATGCTACTCCACTTCAGCCTGGGCGACAGAGCAAGGCTCTGTCGTTAAAAAAAAAAAAAAAAAAAAAAAAGTGGATATCTGCAAGGAGAGAGTGAATTGAGTAAATGCAGGTAGGGAAAAGCAAAAAGGCTTTTCACAGTATACCTTTTCATATTGTTTTGAGTTTTGAATTGTGAAAATATTACTCAAATTTTTTGAAATAAATGGTTCAGGGGGTGAGGGTTGTGAGTGGGGGCAGCTGAATCCACTTATATAAAAATGATCTTTCCTGTGAAGGCAAGTCTGTACTGAAAAAAAAATGCAAAAGAAAAAAATGAAATAAAAATGACTCTAGATGATAGTTGTTTACTGTATTTTCATATTAGGGGAACTCTTGTGTATCCATTATCAGTCAGGACTCTTACAGGTAAAATCATCTGAAGTCTAACTCCAGTTTATTGAAGTTAGAGACTTTATCAGCTCATGTAACTGAGTCGTCCAGAGGTGGAACTGGCCTTGAGGATGGTGGGGCACAGAGCAGTGCTCCTTGCTGAGGAACTACCTAAACCACAGGCTTTCCAGGCACCCCACGCCACCCCGTCTTAAACCACAAGGCAGATTGTTGACATCTTCCTCAGCATTTTCCAAGCATGGACTCTGGAGGTCACTGCCACCTCCAACATGGGTCTGGAAAACTGCTACCCTTCATTTTAGAAGATGAATCTGGGGCCGGGCGCAGTGGCTCACGCCTGTAATCCCAGCACTTTGGGGAGCCAAGATGGGTGCATCACCTGGGGTCAGGAGTTTGAGACCAGCCTGGCCAACATGGTGAAACCCTGTCTCTACTACAAATACAAAAATTAGCTGGGCGTGGTGGCATGCGCCTGTAATTCCAGCTACTTGGGAGGCTGAGGCAGGAGAATCGCTTGAACCCGGGAGGCAGAGGTTGCTGTGAGCCGAGATCACGCCATTGCACTCCAGCCTGGGCGACAAGAGCGAGACTCTGTCTAAAAAAAAAAAAAAAAAAAAAAAAAAAAATGAAGATGAATCTGCTGGGAGTGACCAAGGAGAGTCAGAGGCTTCTCCTCCAGGGCTTGAGGCTGTGGTTGCTCTCTTGTGCAACAGACATGATGCAGATGCATGACATTCTGGACTGGAGAATGTGGGGCATTCAGAGCCAGACCAAGAGTATGTGTGTGGGGAGACGGCTGGGCTTACTGGCTTGCCAGAATCAGGCAGTGGGAGAGAATGGGATACCACTTATCTTCCTCCCACTCCCCTTTCCTCATTCCAGGCTCAAACACCAGACTAGTGTGTCTCCAACTGAGTAAAAATGGGAACATGGGACAATGCCACATGTAAGGAATGTTAGGAAACCCAAACACAGCACAACACTGATGCACTTAATTTGGTTTATAAAATGCAATTTCTGTGGAATCCTCAGTGTTAATGTTAAAAAAGAAAAAAAAAAAGACCCACTTGATTAGAAATCAGGAAAACTGATTCTAAATAAGAGACACTAAATAAGAAAACAAGAACTTTTTAAAAATATAAACATAACTTTGGAGTTAACACAAGGTTTTTGTATTATCTAAATGGCTTATTTACTTTCAAATTCGAAAAGGTTATTAGCAAGTATATTTTGGTTTACTGTGAAGCGAGTTAGGTTGCCTTTTGGGCGGGGAGGGTATGAAGGGAAAGGGGGTTTTAATTCTACAGTGGAATCTGCTGCTTTTTGTCTGTTAGAGACCCATTTCCACCCTTTTCTTCTGAGAAACAACCTTCAGCCACCATCAGCCCACTAGTTTCGGCGGTGTTGACCCCTCCCTGCTCCAGAGGTGAACATGTGACTCACGTCTGACCAATCAGAGCCTCAGACCTCCCAATGGCATGTGATCCAAGCCAGCCAATGGGAGACAATTCATGGGCTTGTGGTTGGAACTGTTGAGAAGTCCTTTCTTTCCACCTCTTTTTGTGGATAGGTTGTGGGTCTGGGGGTTCTAGATGCCCTGTCACTTCTATCAGGGGAAAGCCTGCCTGAGAATGAAGCCAGCTGAGAGGAGGAAAGAGAAGTTGGAGTCCTAATGGCACTTTTAGATCCAGCCCCCATAAAGCCAGTTCCACTCCTAAATGTCTCAGTTACTTGAGGCAATATAGATTCCCTTTTCCCCTTCTTGTTGGATTTCTGATTCCCTTTTCTCCTTCTTGTTGGATTTCTGATTCCCTTTTCTCCTTCTTGTTGGATTTCTGATCTCTTCATCTCTGAATCTTGAGTGACATAAACTTCTGATGCTAACGTTTGAGAATCTACGAAGATGAACCAATCGTGCCCACGTGGAAAACTACATGAATTAAGAAAGCATAAGGTTTAAATCGTAATCATACCTTTATAAAGTCCAAATGGATCTGGAATCATCTCCCAGATAAATCTACTTCATAGTAGTAGCCAAGTGATATTTTCTAATTTAACAGCAAAACAAATTACTGGGCCAGGCGCAGTGGCTCACGCCTGTAGTCCCAGCACTTTGGGAGGTCGAGGCAGGCAGATCATGAGGTCAGGAGATTGAGACCATCCTGGCTAACACAGTGAAACCCCATCTCTACTAAAATACAAAAAATTAGCTGGGCGTGGTGGTGGGCGCCTGTAGTCCCAGCTACTCGGGAGGCTGAGGCAGGAGAATCCCTTGAACCCAGGAGGCAGAGGTTGCAGTGAGCCGAGATCGCGCCACTGCACTCCAGCCTGGGCAACAGAAAGAGACTCCATCTCAAAAACAGAAAAACAAATTTTAAAATAAATATTTCATTTCATTTAACTATTTCAGCCATAAGGTACAAGGAAATGCAAGTTCATGGATATTAGAAATAATACCAAAATCCGAATAAGACCGGGTTTAGAGGTCGCATGGAATCTGCTGAATATGGTTGTCTGGAGTGATTTTTTTGGCCTTCTCAGTTTGCCAAGACAGGTAGGTGTACCATTTGGTCTAGCCCGTGTAACAATTTTCTGTGGTAACTGTCCAGGTTGAAGATTGTTGTCATAGAATGGTGATGCCGAAACAACTGAAATGTTTACAGTACACAAAGAAAAACAGTCAACATTACCAGGCGATACAGACTATTTGTTTATTATGAAACTAACTGGTAAAGCAGAGTAAATCCCATTCTATATTATAGCACTACAAACATCCTTAGTCATTCCTTCATTTGTTCATTCATTCATTCATGCATTCAGTGAGTATTTCTTAAGCTCCTACAGTGTACCAGGAGGCACTCTGTTCATTGTGGCATTACAAAGATAAAGATTAAGGCACGTACTCTGCCCTCAAGGAGCTCCCAATCTAATTGTGCAGAGAGATGTGAAAATGAAGCATGAAACTCCATCGTGAGGAGCGCCGAGAACAAAAGTCTGCTCGAAGTGAGGCAGAAGTATGGATTCATTCCACCACAGGTCCCATGGGAAAGGTATGTGGCATTTCTCCTCCTCTTCAGAATAATGAATGCTTGACATAGCTTTCATCACTGTCTTTCAGTTCCAGTGTTACAAGGGGGATCCCCAGCACTACAGTGAGTCGCAGTGAACCCAGAAATGATTAGCATTCTCTTTATTCATTTATTTATTTATTTATTTTTGAGACAGGGTCTCACTCTGTTGCCCAGACTGGAGTGCATTGGCATGGCTCACTGCAGCCTCCACCTCCTGGGCTCAGGTGATTCTCCCACCTCAGCCTCCCAAGTAACTAGGACTACAGGCACACCACCGCACTTGGCTAATTTTTGTATTTTTGTTGTAGAGATGGGATTTTGCCATGTTTCCCAGTCTGGTCTCGAAGTCCCAGGCTCAAGCAATCCTCCTGCCTAGGCCTCCCAAAGTGCTGGGAATACAGGTGTGAGCCACCACAGCCAGCCAGCATTCTTAATGTTTTCTTACAAAGGTGTATCTCTGTCAAACTCTTCCATTCACTTAAAGAAAACCATTTATGATGCGTCTTAAAGAAAGCATGCTTACATTTGCCTTTTATTGCCAGATTTCTCTACTTGGCTTTATTAAAGGGCCCAAATGGCAGCGGTAGGGGTGTCGGACATGTTCTAATAACATATGCTAAACACATAGAGGGGAGGCAGCTTGTCATTGCAGAGGTACCTGCCACTGAGCCTCACCCCTTTACTCACCCAACAAATAGTTAATGAGGAGCTACCCCGAACTCCCTACACCCCCATGCCCTCCGAAGCTGTCTACATGGGCTGCTCTGCCCTTGGCATGTGCCCTTGAGGGCTGATCTCACTTGGCCACACATGGGTTTATGCTCTAGGATTTGAAAGAGAGAATTCCTGCTCTTCACCTTTCAAGCCTAAGCCTTAACATTTCAAGGGCTGCTTCTTCCTCTGGAATAACTTGCTTTTTATTGGTCATTCATGATTTGGGTGAAAAGATGGAGTCTGTAGTTCTTGCTTAACACAAAGGGCTTGACTTATATTTCTTATAGTGTTGTGGGACATCCAGCCACAGGCATGAAGAGAAGGAGCAAATAAACAGTACCCTGAACCCAGAAGTTCTTCTTGGCTGCCCCCTTCTCCATTCTTCTTGTCTCGCTCTTGGGCCTTTCTTCTCTTTGCCACATTTACTGGCATGAAATGAATTTGAGATGTGAGCTTCAGTTCTGAGTCAGACTATATATCAAGTTGTGCCAGCAACAATAAAGGATGGTTTTCACCTGACTTGTTGAAACCATTCCACCTGGCATTACACCCACTACGAATGGGCAATTAGCAGCAAGAGCAAAAGGTGCGACCTCATGAGCAGGGAGAAACAAGGTGGCAGAATTTCAAAACCAAGGTCTTCCGTATTCACTTAGAGTTACTGTACATGGTGGTATAAAGGCCTCTCAGTAGAAGCACTTTGTTTAGTTCGGCTAAAAATCAGAGTATCTTAGTGTTAATGTATCAACTAAATCTTTATGATTTGGGTATATGATCTTTATAAATTGAATTTTATAAGTGCTCTCCTGATAAAAAAAATTATACAGTTCATTCACTAAGAATAAAATTTACAAATGAATATCCCCTGATTTCACTTTGTAATAAATGTACTGAACCTGAATTACTCATTTAGTGTATTTCCATAAATCTCACACAAATAAAACAAAAACGACAGAATCTGTACAAAAATAAGAGCTCTCCATTTTTTGTAACACCTTATTTTTTCTGTATATGAATTTGTTAATATAAAAAAATCTACTTAGAAAATTATAAAAACATCACTACAGTGTCATAAGGCTGTACATTCTCTAGGAAACACATCTTTAGAAATACAACTATTAGGAACTCGTAATGAAATTCAAGTCCTGGATGTGCTGCAGATGCATCCCAATAATCAGGGTGGCCTCAAAACCCTGTCTGTCCTCTGTAGCACTTTTAGAAATGGCCTGCGACATTCACTGAGTGAGACTGAATTCTTCTTTCTTCAAATATCACCATTGATTTCTGTGGATATCCTTAGGGTGACACTCTATTTTTAAAAATGAAAGAGAAAGGTTTAAAAGAAGTTAAACAATCCCAGCGTTGACAATGACATTTCCAACAGCTCTGCACCACCTAAGGAATGATCTCACTATGGTTTGTGCTATGCTTGAGTCAGGTCCTAAAGAATTTTCTTGGCTTTCTATATCCTTTGAGCTAATAATTCACTTGTTTCAAAATGTAAGATTTTTCCTGTGGACAAATCTGATATAGTCCCATCTTCTATCTGCTTTGGGAATGTTTTTTGAACAACACACTTTTATTTTTTATTTATTCATTTATTTATTTATTTTGAGATAGAGTCTCGCTCTTGTTGCCCAAGCTGGAGTGCAATGGCATGATCTCAGCTCACGACAACCTCCGCCTCCCGGGTTCAAGTGATTCTCCTGCCTCAGCCTCCTGAGTAGCTGGGAATACAGGCATGTGCCACCACCCCCAGCTAATTTTGTATTTTTAGTAGAGACGGGGTTTCTCCATGTTGGTCAGGCTGGTCTCGAACTCCTGACCTCAGGTGATCTGCCCGCCTCGGCCTCCCAAAGTGCTGGGATTACAGATGTGAACCACCACACCTGGCATACTTTTATTTTTAAAAAAGATATATTTACTTTGTATTATTTGGAACTAGTAAGTGAGACCTCCTAAAAGAAAACAACCAGGATACATGACTATTAACATCAAACAGCAGAGGACATATGAAAATCTCATTGGTGGGAGAGCTATTAAAGATGCCTCCCATTGGGAATAAGCTAACACATGAAGTTGCACAATCCTTACAGATTTTTCTCAAACACATTAAGGATAAAAAGAAAGTGCTCTTTTTGCAGTGAGCCGAGATTGCGCCACTGCAGTCCGCAGTCCGGCCTGGGCGACAGAGCGAGACTCCGTCTCAAAAAAAAAAAAAAAAAAAGAAAGTGCTCTTTTTAAAAATGCAAAATGTCTTCTGCAAATTTTTACTAATCCTAATTGTCCGCAATTTAAAACATTTGAATTGATAAACACCTACCTGGAAATCTTGGATGAAAGTTAGGAAGTAGAAAATAAAACCAAAGGCCACTGTCCATTCACAGATCGCACTCACTACGTGATATACATAATCCTAATGCAATAATAAAGAAACAGAATTTAGCCGAAAAAGACTCACTTTAATGTACATACTGAAATACAATGAGGAGTTTCAACCAAAGGAAAAAGCTGTCCAGTGAGCATAAGTCAGAACTTTGAGGATATACGGTAAGCACAACCACGTTACTAAGTGTCAGGGCACCTGCCCACTGAGAATGCGAAGGCAGGTATTCCAAAGTTCTTTCTGGCTCGCACAAACTCTTGTTTTAAGATTTAGTTTGTCACTTCAAAAGGTAGACTAAGGACTGCAAAATGGCTGAGACTGGGAAGCAAATTTGGACTCAACAGAAGAAAGAAATTTCCATACAAGGCATGACTTGGTCTCGCTCTGCTGAGAATCCCTAAGTGTAAGGCTATGCTTAACAAGCACTCTCGCAGTTGTTCCAAAGAAAGTGTGTACACATCTAGATGAACTTGGCCAACTAGTCCCCTAGGTTTCGTGTTTCCCTGTTTATATAGAAATGATCATTCAGGAAATAGTTCTGCTTAACATCCCAAGGTAAATACAGCTACAAAGAAAATGCTAATAATGGACATCCACATGTTAACTGTATATCTTCTTGGAGGCAAGAATGGGAGAATGGAAGCCAAGGAGAATGGCTTCAATCAGATGTTCCAAACTCAGTTGCCTATGGAGGCCAGAAAATTAACAATAATAAATAAAACTGATGGTTGTGAAAAGAGAGGGAAGTTAGGGAGCCCACGCCTCATCAGCTCAATTCCATGGGAAAATAATACACTAGTGTTGCTTTCAAAGGGGTTTAAAAAAACAAAACCGTGTGTGTGTGTGTGTGTGTGCGTGTGTGTGTCTGTGTGTCTGTGGATGTGTCTGTGTGTGATATCTCCTGATTTTTCAGTGCTGGAAACTAATTTTAAAACTCTGTTGCAATGGCTCACACCTGTAATCTCAGCACTTTGGAAGGCTGAGGCAGGAGGATCACTTGAGCCCAGGAGTTTGAGACCAGCCTGGGCAACATAACGAGACAAAAAAAAATTAGCTGGGTGGGGTGGCCTGCGCCTGCAGTCCCAGCTACTTGGGAGGCTGAACTGGGAGGATCACTTGAGCCTGGGGGATAGAGGTTGCAGTGAACCATGATTGCGTCACTCTACTCCAACCTGGGTGACAGAGCAAGACTCTGTCTCAAAAATAATAATAATAATAATAAAATAAAAATAAATAAAACTCTGAGTCAAATATGCATGTCTGCATTCTGATGTTAGCTCACATGCCAAATGAGGCCTGGGGACTGTCAGTGTGCCCCCTCTGATTTCCTACGTCACTTTCTGCTCTGCTGAAATGAGCAACTACCCCTAACTCCCTACACCCCCATGCCTTCTGAAGCTGCATACATGGGCTGCTCTGCCCTTGGCATGTGCTGTTGAGGGCTGAGCCCACTGCTCTTCTACCCCAAACTGCTGTAGGCTACAAGGGTAAGTAAATGTGCTGGATCACAGGGCAGCTCCATGGTGACAGTTGTTTTCTTTGATCCTGTTTTCATCCAGACAGATCGAGTGGAGGCACACCAAGCCCTCCGAGCGTCACTCTTCACTCTCCTTGTCATGGTCACACTCACCCACTGTTTTCATGCTAGGTCACACCGAGGAGGACCTGACCAGCCTACAGTAGGAGATACAGAACAGAGGCTTCCTCCTTCTGGTACCAGTACCAGGGGACCTGCCACATCCCGTATCATCCCTGAACAAGGAAGATGGCTTCTAAAAATAAAGGCAGAACTTTGGGGGGAATTTCTTAAGCATGATATTAGTGAAAGTACATGGAACCAAGAGTCCTGAATGCAGGCAAAGCCCTAATATCCTTGCTATGTGAAATGAGACAGTGACATTATAATTCTCACCTCCCCCTACCAAGTAAGTCACTGCATATAAATGTGCTGTGAAAGCTGTAAAGCACTACACAGAAGTTTGAGGCAGTACCTAAATGATTATTCAGTGAATTAATGTAAAGGGAAATTTTTTTACATCCTTTGATATTAGGAACAGAAGGAAATGCAAGAGTGGCGCAGTCATTTATGGAGTGAATAGAAAACCATGTGCTTTTCACATTTTTAAGATAGAAAGTGGAATATAACAGATTTTTAACTGCCTGGGAATATACTTCGATAAGCCCTTCCCAGCAGCGGGTTTGTGATAGAAGGTCTCCCCCGAGTGGCTGAAAAGTAAAGTACACCTGAACTGCTCCGCTATGCGGTCTCACTTTCAGAAAGAGGTTCTCTCCAACGGAAAGAGGAACTGAACCCCCTTCGCATGATGGGGCTAATTCCCCATATATAAGAAAGAAAAAAACCTGCCTTTTGCCTAGGTCTAACCTATTGACGAATTTGACCATTTTAAGGTTAGATTTTAAAGAAGGCTTTTTTTTTTTTTTTTGAGATGGAGTCTCACTCTTGTTGCACAGGCTGGAGTGCATTGGCATGATCTCGGCTCATTGCAGCCTCCAGCTCTCCAACTCCTGGGTACAAGCAATTCTCCTGCCTCAGCCTCCCAAGTAGCTGGGACTACAGGTGTGTGCCACTACACCAAAAATTTTTTTTTTTTTTAGTACAGACAGGGTTTCGCCATATTGGCCAGGCTAGTTTTGAACTCTAGCCTCAAGTGATCCACCCGCCTTGGCCTCCCAAAGTGTTGGAATTACAGGCCTGAGCCACCGCACCCGGCCAAGAAGCACTTTTTGATCTCCTGTCTGGATCATTCTCTTCCTCACCATCTTCTGTCTCTCTCTTGTCTTGGCAGGCTTCCATTACCTGCCAGAGTTCTCCATATTGGGAAATCCTGCTGTCTCCTCTAGCCACCCTGGTGTTCCTCCTTTACCTCTTACCTCCAGTCCAGAACAGGACTCAATAAACATTTGGTTGATAGCTGAATGAAAGAACCATCCCTCTCACTATTTAACTTCTTGCCATTGGCTTCTAACCTCGGCGTTTTACTGAAACTACTTTTTGACAAACATCACTGACTCCCTTATTGCCCAAATTGAGGGACTTCATTCCTAAAGGCTATTCAGCTGCATATGCCATAGTTAGCCATTTCCCTTGCCTTTGAAAAATGTCCTTTAGTCTCTGGGATCGTATCTCCTCTCATTCCATCGTTAGGATTAATTGCTATTGCTTCTGCATTTCCACAATGTGTTGTCTGAAGTCCAGTTCAGCATTTTTTTATTCTTCAAAGTATTACATTTAGCCATTGACAACTGGCTGTTTGCCCCTCTGAACTATAAAATCCCTCAGGATCCTCTATCCCATGGCCACCCTGCCCTCTATAATCTTTCACAGTCTTGCATGTGGTAGGGACTCATCAATGAGGTCTACCATACAGCACAAGTCTAGTTCTTCTCTCTGGTCCATGATCCCTTTACTTCTCCTTTGCTGGAGGTATTCTTCCACCTGATCCTTGGGGGAAAGAATCCTCTGTCTCTCACTAACTCTCTTCTTTCCTGGGGCATCCTTGATTCTCCTATAAGGCGTCTAGATGAACCACTACTACAGGTATCTAACAGGATGGGTTGATCTCAATGTCAAACATTTGGTTCCATGTGTTCTGATGCTTGGTCCAAAATGTCCTGGTCTACCCCATACTCTAACAACTCTACCCTACACTCTGACGACTCCCAGTCCCACCAGAAGTCTAGGCCCACCGGAGTGCAAGTGATCCTTCCACCTCAGCTTCCCAAGTAGCTGGGACTACAGGCGCATGCCACAACGTCTGGCTAATTTTTGTAGAGGCAGGATCTTACTGTGTTACCCTGACTGGTCTTCATCTCCTGGACTCAAGCAATCCTCCTGCCTCAGCCTCCCAAAGTGCTGGGATTACAGGCATGAACCACAGCACCTGGCCTAGGCCCATGTTTCTAACCTCGATATCTCATCATATCCTCAGAATCATCAACTCTAACCAAACTCATCCACTTCCACCTACTAAATTATTTATCCCTGTTAGGGGCCTTATTTCTGGTCAAGGGAATAAATTCTTTGGTTCACCTAAGATAAAAACTTAGAAGTCATCTTTGATTCATCATGCCACTTCATTCTTGTGTTAATCATTTGCCAACACCCATCAGATTTCCCCTATTTGAAACGTGAACTAGTAGAACTGCCTTCTCCTTGCCCTCCTAATGCCAAGCTCTCCAAGCCATCCCAGGCATTGCTTCTGTCTAACACTCATCTAATAATACTCTTTCTATTTGCTTTACCGTTCGAAAGTCTGCAGGTTGGGCGTGGTGGTTCACGCCTGTAATCCCAGCACTTTAGGAGGCCAAGGAGGGCAGATCACGAGGTGCAGAGATCAAGACCATCCTGGCTAACACGGTGAAATCCCGTCTCTACTAAAAATACAAAAACTAGCTGGGCATGGTGGTGCACGCCTGTAATCCCAGCTAGTGCCTGTAATCCCAGCTATTTGGGAGGCTGAGACAGGAGAACTGCTTGAACCTGAGAGGCAGAGGTTGCAGTGAGCCGAGATCGCGCCATTGCACTCCAGCCTAGGCAACAAGGGCGAAACTCCGTCTCAAAAAAAAAAAAAGTCTTCAAAGTCTTACTCTGGTCACCTAGGCCAAGTACAAGCCTCTCTGCCTGCCTCTTACAGCCACTACACCCTTGCACAGTTATCCCCGGCTGCAGTGATTTCTCACTCTATCCTGAAATGAACTATCCACCACACTGGAGCTGGTATCATCCTCTCTACTTAACATTCCACGCTCCCTTTCACCACCAAACACCTTCATTCACACTGTCCCTCTACCCTCTTTTACTAAAGATAGATAGTTGAAGTGTTTAAGAAAGAAATTAAAGGCCAGGTGCGGTGGCTCACACCTGTAATCCCAGCATTTTGGGAGGCCGAGGTGGGCAGATCACGAGGTCAGGAGATCGAGACCATCCTGGCTAATACGGTGAAACCCCATCTCTACTAAAAATACAAAAAAGTAGCCGGGGGTGGTGGCAGGCGCCTATAGTCCCAGCTACTCAGGAGGCTGAGGCAGGAGAATGGCATGAACCCGGGAGGCAGAGCTTGCACTGAGTCAAGATTGTGCCACTGCACTCCAGCCTGGGCGGCAGAACGAGACTCTGTCTCAAAAAAAAAAAAAGAAAGAAAGAAAAGGAAGAAATTAGAGGGACGGGTGCGGTGGGTCACGCCTATAATCCCAGCACTTTGGGAGGCCGAGACGGGGGGATCACTTGAGGCCAGGAGCTCCAAACCAGCCTGGTCAACATGGGAAAAACCCTGTCTCTACTAAAAATACAAAAATTAGCCAGGCATGTGGCGCACGCCTGTGGTCCCAGCTACTCGGGAGGCTGAGGCACAAGAATCACTTGAACCCAGGAGGCAAAGGTTGCAGTGAGCTGAGATCACGCCACTTCACTCCAGCCTGGGTGACAGAGCGAGACTCTGTCTCAGAAAAGAACAAAACAAAATCAAAAATTAGCTGGGCCTTGTGGCAGGTGCCTGTAGTCCCAGCT
Organism: Homo sapiens; assembly: GCF_000001405.40. NCBI lineage: Eukaryota > Metazoa > Chordata > Mammalia > Primates > Hominidae > Homo > Homo sapiens. The sequence continues at coordinate 101,914,611 of NC_000012.12, read as the reverse complement.
ACTTGGGAGACTGAGGCAGGAGAATCGCTTGAGCCTGGGACACAGAGGTTGCAGTAAGCTGAGATTGCACCACTGCATTCCAGCCTGGGCAACACAGCAAGACTCTGTCTCAAAAAAAAAAAAAAAGAAGAAGAAGAAGAAAGAAAGAAATTAGGAACTCAAAATTTTGAAAATACTTCCAGGAAGCATTTGGAATTACCCTGATAGCTAATTACTACATACTGCCAAATGATTGGACAGTAAATTGATTACATGCCATGTTTATTTGACATTTTGCAACTTGTTCTAAGGAACGGCAGTGATCTTCCCTATGCCTAGCCTGGCCACAAGCTCACATAACCACGTCCGACAACCACATTCACAACAACTTAAATGTTACCTTTTCTCTTGGATTCCACTCCAGCTTGGTTATGGAAATTAGTGAAGCACAGACAATCACTGAAAGAAGTAAACAGTTAAGGAAACTACAGCACACAACAGTTCCTTTAATGTTAAGACTACATTATTCTCCTAATAACATAATCATTATAAGGTGTTAAAATGTTAATACCAACATTTCTATCATCAATTAAAATGTTAATACCAACATTTCTACAATCAAACCAGTTATATTAGCTTCTTATAAACTCAAACTTCAAATTCAATGATGAGAGTTAAATCACAACACGGAAATACCTTCGCAATAGTTTTCCAGTGTGTATAGTAAAATTTATTAAAACTTGTCACTACATTTTGCACAACCCTACATGTTTCTGGATCTTCCCATTTAAACTAGCTGTTTAAATTCGGTCAAAATGACTGACGCAGCAGTCCAGGATGGTTCTTTTTGAATACTTCCCACTGAATAAAAATACTTTTTCCCTAAAATACTATTTTCCTTTCCTTTTTTTTTTTTTTTTTTTTTTTGAGACGTACTCTCGCTCTGTCACCCAGGCTGGAGTGCAATGGCGCGATCTCAGCTCACTGCAACCTCCACCTCCTGGGTTCAAGCATTCTCCTGCCTCAGCCTCCTGAATAGTTGGGATTACAAGCACCCACCACCATGCCTGGCTAATTTTTTGTATTTTTAGTAGAGACGGTGTTTCTCCATGTTGGTCAGGCTGGTCTTGAACTCCTGACCTCAGGTGATCTGCCCACCTCGGCCTCCCAAAGTGCTGGGATTACAGGCATGAGCCACCGTGCCCGGCCTAAAATACTATTTCCAAGGTAACAGCTTTAAGGAAAATTTTAAATTCCAAAGTGCCAAGGCTCATATACAAAAACAAGCTACAGAAACTCAAACTATTATCTTTAAAAAACAGACTTCTGTTGGGTAATTGGGTATAAGGTGAGCCCTTCCTTCCTGGACCAAAGATCTGGCAAATCAAAGAGATTCGCCCCATATCAGACTTCAGGGATGACTGACACATGCCTACAGTCCAGCCTAATAATGCCAGGGGCTGAGGCTCCTATCTTCCACCAGCAATACTTTCTGCATGAAGGCAGTGATAACCATTTTGATTGAACTTAGAATGCAAAAAAGAAAGCTAGAGAGAAATGGGATGCTCTAAAAAGTCTGCAAAATATTAGAAATTCAAAATGTTAGGCCGGGCGCAGTGGCTCACACCTGTAATCCCAGCACTTTGGGAGGCTGAGGCAGGCGAATCACCTGAGGTCAGGAGTTCGAGACTAGTCTGACCAACATGGTGAAACCCAGTCTCTACTAAAAACACAAAAATTAGCTGGGCATGGTGGCGTGCACCTGTAATCCCAGCTACCTGGGAGGCTGAAGCAGGAGAATCGCTTGAACCTGGGAGGTGGCAGTGAGCTGAATTTGCACCACTGCACTCCAACCTGGGCAACAGGGTGAGACTCTGTCTCAAAAAAAAAAAAAAAAAAAATGTTGAGCCAAGGAAAGTTTAGAGCCTCCTCTGAATTCAGAGTCAGCGTCATCTCTCTTAACTCCAACCCCCCGCAAATTGTGCAGAGTTTAATGCTTCTGATTCTCAAAATAAAAGAAGTAGAGAGCACAGAAGATTCTCTGATCATTTCATCACCTCACATCTGTTTCTAATAGTTTAAAAGCCTCTTAATTATTTCGTTTATTTATTCTTAGCTCCATCTTCAGTGCACCAGGTACCATTCTGGTCTGGGGGTGGGAGAAGGGAAAACTTGGTCTCAGCTCTCAGAAATATCACAACTTTGTTGGACCAGACCCAGAGAATGTACCATAGTAGACAGAAAAGAACTGGGTACAGCAATGACTGTAAGGGAAAATTATTAATTCAGAATGGAATGGGAGAAAGCTTCATTCAGTGAAACTTAATGTAAGTTGTGAAGTTTAAGGAGCTCTCTAGAGCAGCACCATCCCACAGAAATATGTGTAATTTTTAATTTTCTAATATCCAAATTTATTTATTTATTTATGTATTTGAGATGGAGTCTCGCTCTTTCACTCAGGCTGGAGTGCAGTGGTGTGATCTCAGCTCACCTGCAACCTCCACCTCCTGGGTTCAAGCGATTCTCCTGCCTCAGCCTCCTCAGCAGCTGGGATTACAGGTGCCCACCACCACACCTGGCTAGTTTTTCTATTTTTAGTAGAGATGGGGTTTCACCACGTTAGCCAGGCTGGTCTCGAACTCCTGACCTCAAATGATCTGCCCACCTCGGCCTCCCAAAATGCTGGGATTACAGGCGTGCCTGACCCCTAACTTAATTTTAATAATATATCTTATCTAACCCAACACATAAAAATATTGTCAATATAAGATATACATAATATGCAAAACATATCTTATGTATTGATAAACAACATACATCTTATTTAACTCAATATATCAAATAATATTGCTGATGATATCATTTCAATGTGTAATAATATAAAAAATTATTGAGATATTTTACTTCTGTTTCTTATCAAATCCTTGAAATCAGGTATATGTTTTACATTTAGGACACATCTCAATCTGGACTAGCCACATTTCAAGTATGCAAAAGCCACATGTGGGTACCATGTTGAACCAACAGCTCTAGCAAGACAAAGTGGAGGAGGATAATCCAGCCAAGTAGAGATCAGTTAAAAACAGAGGACAACAAACAACCAAGCCTGAGGGAGAAGCCCTAAAAACAAGGATGAAGAACTAGGAGGTCTCAGATCATGGGTCTGATGCAGAGGAACCTGGACTTTATGCTGTTGGTGAGTTCTGCGAAGGCTTTCAGAAGCTTTAGAAGCCCGGTGCAAGACAGATAATTCATCAGGAAAGGTTTAGAAGCAGGATTCTAACGTCTGCCTCACTAGGTGCCTCGGTTTCTTCGGTAGTCAAATGAGGCTATTATACAGAAATACTGCAGTAAGAAGAAACCAGGGCATTTTAAAGATGCTTTCAACTCTTTTTTTTGAGACGGAGTCTCACTCTGTCATCTGGGCTGGAGTGCAGTGGCACAATCTTGGCTCACTGTAACCTCCCACTCCTGGTTCAAGCGATTCTCCTCCTTCAGCCTCCCAAGTAGCTGGGACTAAAGGCATACGCCACCACGCTTGGCTAATTTTTGTAACTTTAGTAGAGATGAGATTTCACCATGTTGGCCAGGTTGGTCCCGAACTCCTGACCTCAAGTGATCCACCTGCCTCGGCCTCCCAACGTGCTGGGATTACAGGTGTGAGTCACCGCACCTAGCCTATTTAAAGATGCTGTCAATTCTTTGTAAGGAAATATAAATACCACACTAATGTTTAAGACAGAAGATCTTTTCGTGTGGATGAATTCATTCAAGTTAATCTGACATAGGGTTATAACCCCTTTCTGTATGGGGCTGCTTCCTGTTGGCATGACTTATAATAAGAACTTCCTAGAGGCCAGGCACAGTGGCTCACACCTGTAATCCCAGCACTTTGGGAGGCTGAGGCGGGTGGATCACCTGAGTTCAGGAGTTTGACACCAGCCTGGCCAACATGGTGAAACCCCCGTCTCTACTAAAAATATGAAAAGTAGCCGGGCGTGGTGGTGGGCACCTGTAATACCAGCTACTAGGGAGGCTGAGGCAGGAGAATTGCTTGAACCCGGGAGGCGGAGGTTGCAGTGAGCGGAGATCGCACCATTGCACTCCAGCCTGGGTGACAGAGTGAGACTCTGTCTCAAAAAAAAAAAAAAAACTTTCTAGAAATGAGAATTATTAGTAAGTGAAACTCTGAGGCCTGAAATGCTTATTTTGTGAAAACTCTCTGACTTTGATATCTAGGGATCTGTTTCCGAAGTTGGAAGCAAGGGAAGGTTTCCTGCATCAAGAAACTTTGCTTGTAACACTACAACCACTATTATGAATTTTACAACTAACACAAGATAAAATGTTGAAGGAGATATATTCAAAGAGAAAGTGTTCCTTTAACCTATAAGTAAGACAAGGGATTTGAGAAGCAACTATCTTAGGAACAAGGGTATATATTTTGTTGGTAAATTTCTCGGTACTAGGATTTGGCTACTCTGTGCCTGGAAATTTTGTAATTAAAAATGTCCTTCCCCAAGATGGAAGAAAACCCAAAATCATACTTAGACTTCACATTTTGTAGTTTCTATTTTAGAAAAGAAACACAAAGCTTAATATTTAGAAGCAAGTGATGTGTTTTCACTCCATCTTGCCCACTTTATACCGTAACTCAACCCAGACTAACAAAATTGCCGCCGATAACATAGTTCCGATTTTCCTACAATCTGACATTAGTCATCAATGTTTAATGACCCTGAAGCTTTCTCTGATATGACTACAGATGGTATTTTGAAAGATGGGGAACTCTGCAACTCTTTAAGACCACGGCTTTTTTTCTTTGTTAAATACTTCATTAAAGAAAAGAAAAAGGGAAAGAAAAAGCTTTCGTTTCCTCTAAATCAGAATCTACAAGCACGCTAAATTTATATTTTCATTTCCTTTCAGATTGCTGAGTTAGAAAATAAAATGGATTTCATTTTGAAAATGAAATCAGTGACTATAAAAAGAAAAGGCTAAACATATTTTAATTTACTCAGTAATAAGTGATCTAGAGCTTTTTAGAAATTTCTTCACATGAATGAGTAAATCAAACTGTCTTGCCACCTACGACGTGCAGGGAGGGGGAGAGTTTAGCCTTGAGGGACTTCGTGGGGCTATTACTTTGAGTACAATATCAATATTTGGTGTCTTTAGCCAAGCACTACAAAGAAAAATAAATATTTTCATATGGCTCATGAAACTGGCCCTGTGAGAAGGAAAGTAAACAGAGACTAAAGTGTTCCTACATTTTCCACCCTTCTTTCATACCATTCTTCCCCGCAAAGAGACTTTTGATCTAATTAGACAATGTTGAGACATTTTCTTAATGATCTACACTTTTTTTTTTGAGACGGAGTTTCACTCTTGTTGCCCAGGCTGGAGTGCAATGGTGTGATCTCGGCTCACTGCAACCTCCATCTCCCGGGTTCAAGCGATTCTCCTGCCTCAGCCTCCCAAGTAGCTGGGATTACAGGCATGTGCCACTATGCCTGACTAATTTTGTATTTTTAGTAAAGACAGGGTTTCTCCATGTTGGTCAGGCTGGTCTTGAACTCTCAACCTCAGGTGATCCACCCACCTGAGCCTCCCAAAGTGCTGGGATTACAGGCGTGAGCCACTACGCCCAGCTTGATCTACACTTTTATCCGAATTGTTTTTCTGAAAAAATGTGGAAACTTGGTTGTTATCCTTTGCTTTTTTTTTTTTTTTTTTTTTGGTTGTGGGGAAGGGAAGTGTCAAGCTTTGCTAAGACACGGTGACAAAGATCCTTTGCTTGGCTGAACTTTAGTCAAGCCCCTGAAACTTCTCCTAGGTCCATCTGTGCACTTCCTTGTAAGATCCAGTTTTAGCAAAGAACCCTGGCTAAGTCAGTTTAGCAAGGACCCCCCACCCTCATATCTGATCACACTCAATATCTGATTGGGTTCCTCCTCCTCCTCCACCCTTCCCAGGTGATGTCTGATCACATGGCCAGTACTCAATAAGAATCCTGTTAGGTTGGTTTGGCCAGAATTCCCCCTCATCCTTGAGGTTTCCTTTTAGTACTTTTCCATTCACTGACCTCATCCTACTCCTTGGCTATAGATTCGCACTTGCCAATGCTGTATTCAGAGTTGAGCCCAATCTCTCCGCCCTGCTGTCAGAACTCATTGCAGCGGTCCCTATAAAGTCTTCATTACCCTTCTTTAACAAGTGTCACTGAATGTTTTATTCCTTTAACAAGGCACAAATGTGAAAAAGGATACTGGGGATGACAGCTGCGCAAGAAACGGCAGAGATGACCATCCGTATGTGGCATGTCGAGAGACTGTTCCACTGGGGACATGATTTGTAAGAGATGATGGACTGTAGGAGCGTGTACACGACACCACAGACAAAGGCCAAAAGAGCGCCCCCGTCATGAACCACTGGCACAGCTAACTCCTGGAGAAAAAGTCATAAATGTGTGTTACTCTGGGTGGGTTTGTCAACATCGAACCGCAAGCACTCTCACTCTGGGCTGCTTTGAGCCATTGGTCATCACAGATGCACCACTTCTTGGAAAATGTGGCTGTTTGACTACCAAAAGAAAAGCCCTCCAGGTGCTGAAATTAATGCCAAAAAGTTGGTTGTTCCACAGCGAACCTGGGCTCATGGGACAAGGAAAGGAGGTCTGCCTTACAGGTGGGAGGGTTGAGTATGGTGGGCTTCAGAGTCTGGTACACCTGGATTAAAAGTCCTGACTCCACCATGAGGCTCTGTGACCTTACTGCAAAGCCTCGATTTCTGTATCTAAAAATGGGCATAATCATCTCAGTCTTGCATGTTTGCAGTGAAGATTATAGGATACATATCATATACAATTTTCTTTTTTTGTTGTTGTTGTTTTTGAGACAGAGTTTCACTCTTGCTGCCCAGGCTGGAGTGCAGTGACATGAACTCGGCTCACTGCAACCTCCGCCACCCAGGTTCAAGCAATTCTCCTGTCTCAGCTTCCCAAGTAGTTGGGATTACAGGCACGTGCCACCACGCCCGGCTAATTTTTGTATTTTTAGTAGAGACGGGGTTTCGCCATGTTGGCCAGGCTGGTCTCGAACTCCTGATCTCGTGATCCGTCCACCTCGGCCTCCCAAAGTGCTGGGATTACAGGCGTGAGCCACCGCACCCAACCCTGCCTTTTTTGTTACAGAAATTTTTGTTTGATGTCATCAATAAACTTCGGTATGATATGATTGAAAAAAAAAACCAAAGTACGTGACTCGTTCCATGATGGTGCCAAGGGTGGTTTGGGGTTTTTAGGCTCCCTGCTCCCTGATAATCTCTACTCATCCCTCCCAAGGCACCTCAAATGAACACACCATCTAAGTAAAACCACTGCTTTTGTTATGCAAATGCAGCTTCTTTTTTCTTCTTTTTTTTTTTTTTTTTTTGAGACAGGGTCTCACTCCGTCGCTTAGGTGGGAGTGCAGTGGCATGATCATAGCTCACTGCAGCCTTGAATTCCCAGGCTCAAGAGATCCTCCCAGCCCAGCAAGTAGCTGGGACTACAGGCACATGCCACCACACCCAGTTCTGGCTAATTTTTTTTGAAAGGCAGCTTCTAAACAAGTTCCCTGTCCCTGCCATCCTGTAACCAGCCATTTCAACCAGAAGGCAGCCCCTGTGCCAGTCTAGGCAGAAAGTTGGTGCAGACCCTGTACATACTACACACTCAAAATGCACCTCACCTTTGGCTCCCTTCTTTTCTTTTCTTTTCTTTTTTTTTTTTTTTTTTTGAGGCAGAGTCTTGCTCTGTCACCCAGGCTGGAGTGCAGTGATGAGATCTCAGCTCATTGCAACCTCCACCTGCCGGGTTCAAGCGATTCTCATGCCCCAGCCTCCCGAGTAGTTGGGATTACAGGCATGCACCACCACGCTGAGCTAATTTTTCTGTTTTCAGTAGAGACGGGGGTTTCTCCATGTTGGCCAGGCTGGTCTCGAACTTATGACCTCAGGTGATCCACCCACCTCAGCCTTCCAAAGTGCTCAGATTATAGGCATGAGCCACCACACCCAGCCTCAGCTCCTTTCAAATGTGCACTGGGCACAACCTTCCAGTCGAGGAACATTTAGATGGAACCACTGGGTCTTGACTTAAGCTTGAACATGCAAGCTTTGCAAAGGGCAAGTTAAAGTGTTGTCCAGGAGAGCCTGGTTTTGGCCACAGGCCACCCCTTGGCCTCAGCTCACGGTGAACACACTCTTCCCCCAGCTTCCCTCTGACCTGGGCTTCCCCAGCACCACAATATTTGCCATCCAGACAGTTCAACCTCAAGCTGGAGCACAAATGAATTGATATTAAATTTTCATTCACCACATAAGAAAGGGAGGTGCAGAAAAAAAAAAAGACCTTTTAACTTATTTCTAAGGAAATGTATTTCCTAGTATCAAACCTAGAAATAAGGGGAGAAATTGATTACATGATTGGTGTTATATTCAAATATGACTGCACTGACTCTGCAATACATCATATAGTTTCTGTATACCTAAGATACCTTGCATGGGCCAGGTACTGTGGCTCACGCCTGTAATCCCAGCACTTTGGGAGGCTGAGGCAGGTGGATTACAAGGTCAGGACTTTGAGACCAGCCTCGCCAACGTGGTGAAACCGCGTATCTACTAAAAATACAAAAACTAGCCAGGCGTGGTGGCGCGTGCCTGTAATCCCAGCTACCAGGGAGACTGAGGCAGGAGAATTACTGGACCCCAGGAGGTGGAGACTGCAGTAAGCCGAGATTGTGCCACTGAACTACATACAGTCTGGGAGACAGAGCGAGACTCCATCTCAAAAAATAAATAAATACATAAATAAATAAATAAATAAATAAATAAAATCAGATGGGCATGATGGTGTGTGCCTGTAGTCCCAGCTACTTCGGAGGCTGAGGTGGGAGAATCACTTGAGCTTGGGAGACCAAGGCTGCAGTGAGCTATGATAGCACCACTGCACTCTAGTCTGGGCAACAGAGTGAGACCTTGTCTCAAAAAATAAAATAAAAATAAATAAAAGACTGGGCACAGTGGCTTATGTCTGTAAACTCATCACTTTGGGAGGCCAAGGCAGGTGTATCACTTGAGCTCAGGAGTTCAAGACCAACCTGGGCAATGTGGTGAAACACTGTCTCTGCAAAAACTACAAAAATTTGCTGGGCATGATGGCATGAACCTGTAGTTTTAGCTACTCAGGAGGCTGAGGTGGGAGGACTGCTTGAGCTCACAAGGCAGAGATTGCAGTGAGCCATGATCACACCACTGCACTCCAGCCTGAGCAACAGATCAAGACCCTGTCTCAAAAAATAAAGGTAAAAATACAAATACAAATAAATAAATAAATAAGATTCCTAACATAGGCATATAGATTCAGGGAAGTTATATATGAAAAATAAAATACGACAGGGTATGGTGGCTTGTGTTTGTAATCCCAACATTTTGGGAGGTGGAGATGGGAGGATCACATGAGGCCAGGAGTTGAAGAACAGCCTCAGAAACATAGCAAGACCCCATCTCTACAAAAGTGAAAATAAGAATTAGCTGGGCATGGTGATGCACCCATAGTCTCAGCTACTCAAGAGACTGAGACAGGAGGAGTTCAAGGCTTAGTCTAAGCGTTCAAGGTTACAGTGAGCTATGATTGTGCTATTGCATTCCAGCTTAGGTGAAGGAGCGAGACCCTTTCTCAACCAATCAATCAAAAAAGCAGGGAAATGATGTTTAGATCAGACATGAATTTTCGATAAAGTTAAAACCCGGCACTCTTTCTGGATTGCTTTTTAGAAACTCTCTTGGTAATTTAAAAGGTAATAACAACAGAGAGGGAGAGAGAGAGAGAATAGTTTAATAAAGCTCTATCAGCCAGGCGCGGTGGCTCACGCCTGTAATCCCAGCACTTTGGGAGGCCGAGGCAGGTGGATCACGAGGTCAGGAGATCAAGACCATCCTGGCTAATGTGGTGAAACCCCATCTCTACTAAAAATACAAAAAATTAGCCGGGCGTGGTGGCGGGCGCCTGTAGTCCCAGCTACTTGGGAGGCTGAGGCAGGAGAATGGCGTGAACTCGGGAGGCAGAGCTTGTAGTGAGCCGAGATTGCGCCACTGCACTCCAGCCTGGGTGACAGAGCAAGACTCTGTCTCAAAAAAAAAAAAAAAAAAAAAAAAAAAAAAAACCCCTAAAGCTCTATCACTCAGCTTCAAAAAAAAAAAAAGAATATGTGAATACTGACAGAGTTAAACCTTGGAAAGTTTCTTTTCTAAAAAGGAAACTTTAAAAGTTTTTATTTTTAATTGACAAATAATAATTGTTTATAGGCTGGGCACGATGGCTCACACCTCTCAGCACTTCAGGAGGCCGAGGTGGGAGGATCACCTGAGGTCAGGAGTTCAAGACATGCCTGGCCAACATGGCGAAACGCCATCTCTACTAAAAAAAAATACAAAAATCAGCTGGGCATGGTGCCAGGTGCCTGTAATACCATCTGCTCGGGAGGCTGAAGCAGGGATAATTGCTTGAACCTGAGAGGCGGAGGTTGCAGTGAGCCAAGATCGCGCCACTGCACTGCAGCCTGGGCAACAGAGAGAGACTCTGTCTCAAAAAATAATAATAATTGTTCATATTTATGAGGCTTATAGGGGTGTGTGTGTGTGTGTGTGTGTGTGTGTGTGTGTGTATGTGTGTGTGTGTTTCCAGAGGCACGGTCTCCCTGTGTTGCCCTATGTTGCCCAGACTAGTCTCAAACTCCTGGGCTAAAGCATTCCTCCTGCCTTGGCTTCCCTAAGTGCTGGGATTACAGGTATGAGCCACCACACCTGGCTGTAGATGTTTTGATGTATGTTTACACTGTGGAATGATTAAATCAAGGTAATTAACATATCAATCACCTCACATACTTATTCATTTTTTTTGTGATGAGAACATTTAAAATCTACTGTTTTAGCAATTTTGAAATATACAATACACTATTATTAACTATAGTCACCATACTGTGCAGTAATAGATCTCCAGAATTATTAATTCAGTCTAACTGAAACTTGGTACCCTTTGACCAATACCTCCCCGCTCCTCATCTTCCTCTTCACTCCTGTAACACCATTCTACTCTCTCCTGTAAGTTTGATTTTCTTAGATTCCACATATAAGTGACAGCATTCGGTATTTGTCCCTCTGTGACTGGCTTATTTCACTTAGCATAAGGTCCTCCAGGTTCATCCATGTTGCCACAAATGACAGAATTTCAAAAAGAAAACTTTCTGAGGGAAAATAAAGTATTGACAGAAGTTAGTGAGGACACACCAAAAAGTAGCCATCTCACCCACCCATTTGGGAAAAAGATTATCTGTGAAATTCTCAAAAATGTGATTTATTGCAACTCAAGAAAAATCACCATGGCTGGGCACGGTGGCTCATGCCTGTAATCCCAGCACTTTGGGAGGCCAAGGCAGGCAGATCACTTGAGTTCAAGACCAGCCTGGCCAACATGGGGAAACCCTATCTCTACTAAAAATACAAAAATTAGCTGGACATGGTGGTGGGTGCTTGTAATCCCAGCTACTCGGGAGGCTGAGGCATGAGAATCACTTGAACCCGGGGCGGAGGTTGCAGTGAACCGAGATCGCGCCACTACACTCTAGCCTGGGCGACAGAGCAAGACTCTGTCTCTACAAAAAAAGAAAAAAAAAAAAGAGGCAGTCACACTCTCTCTTGCCCACACATCTCAAAATCATCTTGAGTTAGCTCAAGTTGGTTTGCTCCTGATATGACGAAAATGAATTACAGGATACCAAACAAGGAAGTTGTAAAGATACAGTTATCGGAACAATGACAAGTCAAACACTTTGCTCCTTGGGAAGTTAAGATTCTATTTCTGGTTTTTGTGGATTTAATCACATCATTGAAGACTTAAGGGGAACCAAAAGTTGAAATTATTTAACCATCTAAGTTTTCTTCTTAAAGTCAGCCCTTAAATGGTTTAAAAACTGACATCTGTATCTCTCATGATGTGGTTAGTCAGAGGATAAAGTGATATATCTATACTAGCCCCCATTAAACCATAACCACACTGTACTAGACAAATTATACCACTCTAGGTCTTCCTTTTTAAATTTTGTGTGTGTGTGCATCCTGATGGTAGAACTATGCATCGTGTACTTGGTTTTTTTGTCACAGATATATCTTCATGTTAGCATTGAGGATAGCTCTCACAGGCTCTAGGAAGATGACTTCAATTCAAAGCTCGCCTCTGCCATGCATTATTCAACTGATCTTAGGCAAGTATTAACCTCTCTAGGCCTCCATTTTACCATTGATAAATGGGGAAAATAATAGTGCCTATCTTACAAGGCTTTTATTATAATTGTATGGTTAAAATATGGAATATTTTCTTAAACATGTGTCACAGGAAAATTTCAATAAATGTTTGTTGTTATGAAAAACAAAATGCATACTGTCATAAAAATATAAAGAAATGTCACCGGGAGCCTCCTCTTTGAATACCAGAGGTTTAAATGGTAGAATTGGTAAACACATACAAATATTTTCACACTCTTAACAAAATCATCACAGTAGCTGAAGTAGCTCTCCCAACACATCAAACCACATCAATGACAACATGGAGCAATGCAAAGCCCAAGGCCTCCTCTGAATCACACACTCTCATAATCATGCAAATGTGCACCCCATTTCTCCCAAGTATCAGAACTCACTTTCAAATGCTTTTTTTTTTTTTTTTTGAGATAGAGTCTCGCTCTGTCAAGTGCAGTGGCACAATCTCGGCTCACTGCAACCTCCACCTTCCAGGTTCAAACAATTCTCCTGCCTCAGCTTCCTGAGTAGCTGGGATTACAGGCATGTGACGCCACACCTGGCTAATTTTGTATTTTTAGTAGAAATGAGGCTTCACCATGTTGGCCAGACTGGTCTTGAACTCCTGGTCTCATGATCCACCTCAGTTTCCCAAAGTGCTGGGATTACAGGTGTGAGCCACCACACCTGGCCCTGATTTCCAAATGTTAAAGGTTTCTAAAAAGCAAACTAACCCACTTATTGTAAACTCATCAAGCATTTAATGGCTATAATGGCATAAGTGTGCCTCTTGCATTTCTGCTGCTCTCTTCAGACACATACACTCCACCACTCCTCATAACTGAAAAAGCTCCAGATTATACCTGAAAATTGGCGACAATGCCCATTCCGAAACATCCCACCAATCCAAGCACTAAAGACACCAAGTTAAAAACAGGAGTGCTGAAATAGCAGGTTTGATTTTGCTTCTGTACTATTTTGTATCTTGTATACATCGTGGCTGCACCTGAAAAAGAAGAGAACTTTGATGAATGTTCATAATTTGATGTCTTTAGGATGAAAAACAGGAGCAGCTTTGTATCACTTTTTAAAAATGTACTGATTGCAAGTCTCCCCACTTTCCCACCCCTGTCCCTCCTGACTCCATCTTACTCTCTCCCCAGCATGTACAGACACACACACACACACACACACACACACACACACACACACACACACCCCTTGGCTGTTGTCCTTTTCATGTAAATGCTATTATAGTACATGTATTACTCTGTGACTTGCTTTTTCCATTTAACAGTGTACCATGGAGATCTTTTCAAGCAAGTACAAACAGATCTACTTCATTGTTTTCAGGGATCTTATCATGGTCTGTGGTATGAGATACTATATTTATTCCTCATTCTCCTAAGAATGAATTTCTACATTGTTTCCATGTTTTTCCTGCTACAAACAACACGCCATGAATATCCTTGTATATAAATCTTTGGGTTTCTGAAAGACCAGTTCCTAGAAGTAATATTACTGGGTCAAAAAACCATGCACAATTAGAAACACCTCCAAATTGCTCCAGCCCGTTGACGATTTAGACTCCCACCAGCAGAATTTGCGAGCAATTGTGTATGCCCTTGCCTTTTTAATTCTGTCAGTCTAATAAATGAAAATTCAACCTGTTGGGTTAGTTTGCATTTCTCTGATCATTAGCAAGATTTAGCAACTTTCAGTATATCTACTGGTCATTTGCATTTCTTCTTCTGAGAAATGCATGTTTACAATTTTCTTTTTATTCTTCTCTTGGGCTTGTCGATATCTAATTTGTAGTTACTTTTTACACATTATGTCCATTAGTCTATTATCTGCTATAAATATTACAAATTTTCTTCTGCTCTGCTATTTGTCTTTTAACATTGTATCTTGTATCTTACATCATTTGAAAGTTTTAATTTTTAATCTACTCATATCTATCAATTCTTCTGCGTTTTGTGTTTCTATTCCAAGGTTTAAAAAATATTCTCCTGTAATTTAATTATTGCATAGTTTTGCTTTTCATGTCTATTAAATTGCAATTGGTTTTTGTGTATGATGTGAGGAGGATAGTAAAGGTATGTTTTTCCAAATAGCTAGTCAATTAACCAAATACCATTTGTTGTAATTTGGCAATAAAATGTAGCCTCCATGAGAGCAGGGCTCTTGTCTGTTTTGTTGGCTGTTGTAAACTCAACACTAAGTCATAAACAAGCACAAACCCTATCATATAGTACATACTTAGTAAATGTTGAATAAATAAATAGCTACCATAATTTTAGATACATATTCCCTTTAACTCAGCAAATTTATCTTATAGAAAAACTCACACAAATATGCAAAGATATATTTAAAAGATGTTCACTTCAACATTAGAATTACAAAATACCAGAAATAGCCTAAATGTTGGACAATAGGGAACTGATTAAATAAATGATAATACATCCTTGTGAAAGATATCATGCATGTGTGGAAAGGATAAAGTAGATGTGTATATATTTACATAGTATGACGGCCATAATCTATTCCTGAATTTTTAAAAAGCAGGCTAAAAACTAATAACTTATCATAAATCTTTTTTTTTTTTTTTTTTTGTGGAGACAGGGACTTGCTCTGTCACCTGGGTGGGAGTGCAGCGGCACAGTCATGGTTCACTGCAGCCTTGACCTCCTGGGCTCAGGCAATTCTTCCACTTTATCCTTCCAAGTAGCTGGAACTACAGGCACACATCACCACACCCAGCTAACTTCTTTTTTCTTTCTTTCTTTCTTTTTTAACTTTTTGTAGAGATGAGATCTCACTACATTGCCCAGGCTGGTCTTGAACTCCTGGGCTCAACAGATCCTCCTGCTTCAGCCTCCCAAAATGCTAGAATTACAGGCATGAGCTCACATAGACTATTTCAAATGAATATATTTGTCAGTTTCTGCTTTATTCAGAAGCAAAAGCCGTATTTATCACTTGCTGTGATAAAATAATCTCTCTGTTTTCCAAGTCTGGATTCTTGGCAAGGATGGTGTAAGAGGGCACTGGGATTGACTGACTCCATATTGCTACTTCCCCTTGCTCACCTCCAAAACTTTAGGAGGACTACAAATGGTGATGCGGTGAAACTTTCCTGCTACCAAGTAGGATGAACAAATTCCAAAATGCCAAGTCACTAAGTAGGGTCAGCATCACTGTCCCTTCTCACACTGTACCAGTAGAGAGGAACAGAAAGCGTTGGTTACAAGATAGGCCCTTGGCAAACACTTGATTGTTTGGGGGGAGATTATAGAAGGACTAAGAGAAAATGCCCCACATCTGATATCTATATACTTGAATCACCTTATAGAAGACTGAGCTTTACATTAATTATACAATAGTTGTAATTAATATGCATTACATTAATTGGCTTATGACAAGGTTGCACCCTATCATCTGCATCTTAGGTACATCTGAGGAACTGAAAAGAAAAATCATACTATTCCTTGCTCCACCTGTCCCCTTTCTCTAACAGGTAAGATAATGCCTTTGTCAATGGTCCTCAAACTTTAGTGAGAAACCAAGTCCCCTAGAGTGCTTGTTTACAACACATCTTCAGGAACCCACACTCCCAAAGGTTCTGGTTGAGTAGCATGGCCCAGGAACCTGCATTTTACGAGAACTCCAGGTGACTTTTCATCAGCTTGCCTTCAGAATACACTTTGAGAAACTTAGCTTACGCATTGGGTGTCTTTGGCTTACATAAGTGTCTTGACCATAAATCAACACTTTTAAAAACTAAATTGCACTTAAAATCCGTTCCAGAAGTTTGGTATTTAAAACCACCTACAGCAAATCCTGTTACAAATTACTAATTAAAGTATAGTTCTCTAATAAAGCCATAATTTTTTATATCTTTTAACTTCAGTTTCTCAAAATAGGACAAAAATCTAGCTGCAAAGATTGTGCTTTTAAAAAAATTATACACAAGGCCGTGTGCAGTGGCTCACACCTATAAGTTCAGCACTTTGAGAGGCCAAGGCAGGTGGATCACTGAAGCCCGGGAGCTCAAGGCCAGCCTGGCAACATGGTGAAACCCCATCTCTACAAAAAACTACAAAAAATTAGCTGGGCGTGGTGGTGTGCACCTGTAGTACCAGCTACTCCGGAGGCTGAGGTGGGAGGACTGCTTGAGCCTGGCAGGTTGAGGCTGCAGTGAGCCGTGATCACGCCACTGCACTCCAGCCTGGATGACAGAGACCCTGTCTCAGAAAAAATAAATAAAATAAAATAAAAATTATATGAAAACTACAAATGACACATCAACTTCACTTGGAATTGTGAGCTTTTCAATTATTTATAATAATTATTGTGTACTTACCAAGAAATGCAGAGAAGTTTATCATAAATCCAAAAATACCACTCTCTGGAGGTGTTGTTCCCGTATCACTGGCAAAGGGAAGAAATGTCCAAATTATTAGAAAGAAATTCTGTCCAGACCTCTGGGAAGACACGTAATTGGCGAGTTTTATATTCTGTTTCTTTTAGGTGTTCAGCCACTTTGAATTCCAAAGATTTGGCCTGATTTTGTTCTAAAGTATTTTCATTTTGGCTCTGAAAAATCTAAAATTTATTTTTATACCATGAGAGATTCCATAGTAAAAAGCCAGAAAATGTTTAAAATGAATGGTGCTGCCATTTTTCAAATGATCGAACCCACTAACCTTGGTATGTGTTCCTTCTCAGTGAAGAATGACTACTTTGAAAAAGAAAAACAAAAACAAAAAAAAAAGATCTAAAATCATGTTTGAGGCCGGGTGCAGCGGCTCACACCTGTAATCCCAGCACTTTGGGAGGTGGAGGTGGGAGGATCACCTGAGGTCAGGAGTTCAAGACCAGCCTGGCCAACATGGTAAAACCCCCATCTCTACTAAAAATACAAAAATTAGCCTAGCATGGTGGCAGGTGCCTGTAGTCCCAACTACTTGGGAGGCTGAAGCAGGAAAATCTCTTGAACCAGGGAGGCGGAGGTTATGGTGAGCCGAGATCATGCCACTGCATTCGAGCCTGGGCAACAGAGCAAGACTCGGTCTCAAAAAAAAAATAAAAATAAATCGCGTTTGAAAATTCTAATATTGGCATGTTAAATACACATAAACACATCACTTTATTTTCTAATAATTGAGATTTTATTATCTGCTGAAAATATTATGATAAAAATCTGAGGCCGGTCACGGTGGCTCACGCCTGTAATCCCAGCACTTTGGGAGGCTGAGGCGGGCGGATCACCTGAGGTCAGAAGTTCGAGACCAGCCTGACCAACATGGAGAAGCCTCATCTCTACTAAAAATACAAAATTAGCCGGCCATGGTGGCACATGCCTGTAACCCCAGCTACTCAGGAGGCTGAGGCAGGAGAATCACTTGAACCCAGGAGGCGGAGGTTGCGGTGAGCCGAGATCACACCATTGCACTCCAGCCTAAGCAACAACAGTGAAACTCTGTCTCAAAAAAAAAAAAGAAAAAGAAAACTGAACAATATTATTGATCTCTAGGAATACTTTATGGAAATAATAGGGTATCTAGGGTATATTAATTGTGGTAAATTATTTTAACAAAAAAGGGTTTCTGTAAAACATTTTTCAGGTACAGTCTTTCAATTAATTAAATGAGTTGGAAAATACTGTTTGACATGTTCTTTTTTTTTATTTTTTAGAGACAGGGTTTTGCTATGTTACCCAGGCTGGTTTTGAAGTCCTGAGCTCAAGCAATCCTCTTGCCTCAACCTCCGAAAGTGCTGGGATTACAGGTGTAAGCCACCATGTCTGGCCAACATGTTCTATTTTCTATTAGTGCCAAGCTTTAATTTTTTTCATTTTCAGGCTGCTCACTTTAAAACTGATGGCAAAAGAGCTCCCAACATGAAACAACTTGAACTCATTTTGAGTGTTTCTACATTTGTAAACAGCTCTGAAATTTAAGTATTAAAAAACCGATCACGTTGAAAATGATGCACTTGTAAGTGTTTGAAGAATTCCACAAGGAGCCTGTGTGTGCAGAAAACAGGAATTTTTTAAGTTTTGCGAACACTTAGTATTTAAACTGGAGTATAAAGAAGTTAATAGGGCCGGGCACAGTGGCCCACGCCTGTAATCCCAGCACTTTCGGAGGTCGAGGCAGGTGGATCACCTGTGGTCAGGAGTTCGAGACCAGCCTGACCAACATGATGAAATCCCATCTCTACTAAAAAATACAAAAATTAGCTAAGCATGGTGGTGGGTGCCTGTAATCCCAGCTACTCAGGAGGCTGAGGCAGGAGAATCGCTTGAACCCAGGAGGCAGAGGTTGCAGTGAGCCAAGATTGCGCCATTGCACTCCAGCCTGGGCAACAGAGCAAGACTCCGTCTCAAAAAAAAGAAAAAGAAGTTAATAGCCTCCCTTACGACCAGGCGCGGTGGTTCACACCTGTAATCCCAGCACTACGGGAGCCCGAGGCAGGTGGATCACGAGGTCAGGAGTTCAAGACCAGCCTGGCCAACATGGTGAAACCCTGTCTCTACTAAACATATAAAAAATTAGCCAGGCGCGGTGGCAGACGCCGGTAATCCCAGCTAATCCGGAGGCTGAGGCAGGAGAATCGCTTGAACTCAGAGGGCGGAGGTTGCAGTGAGCCGAGATCGTGCCACTGTACTCCAGTCTGGGTGACAGAGTGAGACTCCTTCTCAAAAAAAAAAAAAAAAAAAAAATAGCCTCCCTTACAGCAAATGCCTTTATTCCAAATTAATTCAATTTCAATGTCACTGGTATTGCAAGAACCTGAAGGGTTTAGGATTTAGGCTGGGTATAGTGGCTCATGCCTGTAATTCCAGGACTTCTGTGGGCCGAGGCGGGAAGATCACTTGAGCTCAGGAGTTCGAGACCAGCCTGGCCAACATGGTGAAACCCTGTTTCTACTAAAAATACAAAAATTAACTGGGCATGGTACAGCGTGCCTGTAATCCAAGCTACTCGGGAGACTGAGGCAGGAGAATCACTTGAACCCAGGAGGTAGAGTTTGCAGTGAGCTGAGATCACGCCACTGCACTCCAGCCTGGGTAAAAAAAAAAAAAAAAAAAAAAAAAAAAAACCTGAAGGGTTTCGAATTTAGCATTACCACTTTTCCTACAATAACCATTTTTCACACTACAGGAATGTTGAGGTGGAGGATGCCCTTCTGAGCACAATGCTGAATGGGCAGAGAGACAGGAATGGGAACCAGTAATGGGGAAAAAAGCAGAGACAGCTCATAACCTTGGGCAGCACTTTTGCCACACAATTAACTCTGCCAGGGAAATCAGGCCTCCCTGCCTTGGCCTGAGGGTATAAAAAAGCAGGCACCAGGTGACTCATCCTAGAGTTCTTGTTACACAGGTCTGAGAATAATTCTGAACCTCAGACAGCCACATGCCAGGCATCGGAGCAAACACAGAGGAGAAGCGCTGGGAAGAAGGTTGTTTGCCTGTCTGTGGAGAAAGGGAAGGCAATGAAAGAATGAGGAGGATATTTAGGAAGATAGGGAGGTGGCGATATGAAGGTGCTCTAGGTGCTCTGACTGAAGAGAAGACCAGACCTGGGGACTCTGTCTATTGATGGCAAATTGAGACTATGTCAAAGGCCCAGGTGTGGAGTCCACATGACATCAAACACGTGATCTGAAAACTTGGAATTCCAGGGTCGTGTTCTATTCTTGCTTATCTGTACATTTAAAACCATACAGGTGGAGGCCAGGCACGGTAGCTCACACCTGTAATCCCAGCATTTTGGGAGGCCGAGGAGGATGGATCACTTGAGCTCAGGAGTTCGAAACCAGTCTGGGCAACATGGTGAAACCCTGTCTCTACAAAAAATACAAAAATTGGCCGGGTGTGGTAGCTCATGCCTGTAATCCCAGCACTTTGGGAGGCTGAGACGGGTGGATCACTTCGGGTTAGGAGTTCAAGACCAGCCTGGCCAACATGGTGAAACCCCATCTCTACTAAAATATAAAAATTAGCCAGGCATAGTGGTGCATGCCTGTAATCCCAGCTACTCAGGAGGCTGAGGCAGGAGAATCATTTGAACCTGGGAGGTGGAGGTTGCAGTGAGCCGAGATCATGCCATTGCACTCCAGCCTAGGCAATAGCATGAGACTCTGTCTCAAAAATTAAAAAATAAATAAAAAATAAAATAAATACAAAAAGCCAGGCATGGCGGCACCTACCTGTAGTCCCAGCTACTTGGGAGGCTAAGGTGGAAAGATCACTTGAGCCCAGTAGGCAGAGGTTGCAGTGAGCCAAGATCATGCCACTGCCCTCCAGCCTGGGTGACAGAGTGAGACCTTGTCTCAAAAATAAATTAATTAATTAATTTTAAAAAAAAACATACAGGTGAAGGGAAGCTCAGAATATTTGGGACTAAGATTAAAATAAATAAGTAAATAAATAAAACTATACAGGTGGAACCAAAAGCACTTTGCAAATAGCCATTGAATGAATATCAGTACTGGCCAAAAAAAAAAAAAAATTGACCTAATCAACACCACTTACTGAGCATTGACTATGTACCCACCAGGCACCATTAGGTGCTTACCATATATCAGTTCATTTCATCTTTACAACCCTGAGGGGGGTCTATATCAACCCCATTTTACAAAGTAGGAAATTGGGTATTAGAGAGGCTATATAACTTGTTCAAGATCACAGAGCTACACAGAGGATTCCCTATCCCAATACAGATGTTTAACTCCCTGACTTCCCAGCCTCTCCTCTGCTTTAACAGCAGACAAGGAACTAAGCCATTAGGAGAATGATTGGGGGCGGGGAGCAAACACTAATATAGATGCTGGTCAGTGTTTAACAGCCAGCTCTGGAGGGTGCCTGGTTTGTGGCATTTGCCAACTTCCATGGTGAAAATACTCTCAACACGTTAAAATTCAGGCTACCAAAAGAACCAAAACAAAAAAACGAAATAAATAAATAAAAACAAAATTTGGGCTACCAAACGGCAGGTCACTGAACGTGGAGTTGGAAGAGAGGCACACAGTCCCTGCTCAGGAGCAGACACCAGCTAGCTCCAGCACACCACGGGAATGAACCAGCATGGTGATGAGAAGACATCATTATGCCTTTGTTGTAGACCAGAAAGATGTAAACTAGGCAAGATCTTAGAAACTCCTCAAATGCTATAATTGTAAAACCTTTCTGCCAAATACTGCCATGGTAAATCTGATTATTTTTCAGGATGACTGAGGCTATAACACCCACCATCAATGCCTGAATATCAATGGCCCACATTCCTACACCTTTGCACTGCAACAGTACAATACAACAGTGTTGACACAACAAAAATTCATAACCAGTTGTTTGATTAAACACCCATCTTTTCAAAGTTTTTTTCTTTTAACTCCACAGATAGCTATAGAATTTACTCATTCATCAGCAAAATATTTGTTAGATACAATCTGAGTCACAAATTCCCAAATCTATCAGATAACAATTATCAATTTGTGATTTATTTACACTAAGTGTAGAATTCAAAGAGGTGAGGAAATAAAAAATACATAAAAATAATTTTAAAAAAATTCCACTAAGTGACAAAGCAGTACCAATTTACATTAGCTGAAATTTTGCTCAAGAATAGTTCATGAAAACTTTCCAAGAGGCAAATGAAAATGTGAACGTTTCAAAACTTTTAAGAACAATAGTGTTTGCCCATTACCATTTTAAAGATGAAAGAAGGCTGGGCGCACATTAGCTCACACCTGTAGTAATCCCAGCACTCTGAGAGGCCGAGGCAGGTGGATCACTTGAGGTTAGGGGCTCGAGACCAGCCTGGCCAACATGGTGAAACCCTATCTCTACTAAAAATACAAAAAAAAAAAAAAAAAAAAAAATTAGCCTGGCATGGTGGTGGGTGCCTGTAATCCCAGCTACTCAGGAGGCTGAGGCATAAGAATCTCTTGAACCCAGGAGGTGGAGGTTGCAGTGAGCCGAGATCGCACCACTGCATACCAGCCTGGGCGACACAGCAAGACTCTGTCTCAAAAAAAAAAATAAAAAATAAAATAAAAATGAAATAGCTCTTACCTCTCAATGAAAAATGTTCTTATGTCTTTCCACGTCTGATTTTATATATTAAGTAAATATTTTTTACTTTTGTTGGTTTGTTTTTTGCTTTTTTGGACAGCATACATAAGTAAATATTAAGTCACATATTCTGGTGATACTGGAATCCAGATAAGTAAACACTAAGAGGTAACCAAGAGACCCTGTGGGTAACCTCTTTTTATTTATTTATTTTTTTTAAGCTCAAGCTAAATGATTCCATCATGCAAGGGCAGAGGTAGTAGTATTTGGGTGGCCTAACTGTGCCTGGGTGCCTGATTCAGTACACTGGAGAATGAGTGAGAGGCAAAACCAGTTGCTTCCCAGCCTGGCAGCAGTAGTCTCTCTACCCAGCTCCTACCACATCATTCTGCACCACACAGTTTCTGCAGTGCAGTGGGCCCTGCCCAGCTCCACCCACCACCTGATTTGCCTCCTTGCTAATAAGGCACTTTCTGGAAACTGTAAAGAGGACAAGGCCAGCAAATTGTTCATTTGCCTGTGGTTCAGAAGCTGTTGAGGCTGTTATGTATACACAGTTATTTTAGGGGTAGGTTGTGCCTAGGAAATCCGTTTATGTCCACATTTCCTGTATTTACATTTCTGCAAGTTAAGCAGACTGTGGAAAATTCCAAGTCGTTTGTGTAACATCCTACTTCAAACTAATTTATGATGTTAAGCTAGTGAATAATCACTTGATACTGAAAGGAATGAAAACGATACAAAGAAAACATGCTGGATAATAGAAGACTTTCTGAAGCTTGGTCAAACTTTGTTCTTTAAGTTACTGGATACACAGGATTTAAATATTCCAAAGCCTAGAATTATGGTTTATTGGAGGAACTTAGATGCTAACAAAATGCAACATCATGTGTGTCTCCAGCCTGAAATTTATTAGATTGTTCCAAACTCATACACTAATTGCTTGGATGATTGATAGGGACTTAGAATCTAAAAAAAACATAATTCCCCAGTATAAAGAGAACATCATTTCCTTTATCTTTATAATATTTAAATATATTATTTAAAAGGGATAAGTACGGAATAAAAAGTCATACTACATTTTATTAGCTACTTTTAGTTACGAGAGCTAACTTTCTGGCAGCTTCACTTGGTGATGACTGTTTTAGAATGTGGGGGGCAGGCCGGGCGCGGTGGCTCACGCCTGTAATCCCAGCACTTTGGGAGGCCGAGGCGGGCGGATCACAAGGTCAAGAGATCGAGACCATCCTGGCCAACATGGTGAAACCCCGTCTCTATTAAAAGTATAAAAATTAGCTGGGCGTGGTGGCGGGCGCCTGTAGTCCCAGCTACTCGGAAGGCTGAGGCAGGAGAATCGCTTGAACCCGGGAAGTGGAGGTTGCAGTGAGCTGAGATCACGCCATTGCACTCCAGCCTGGGTGACAGAGCAAGACGCCGACTCAAAAAAAAAAAAAAAAAAATAGAATGGCGGGGGCACCCTTCAGCTATATCAACTATTCTGAAACTTAAAAAGAATTTCCTACTGACAAATACAAATACCTTGCTCTTTTCTCACTACCCACAAGCAATTTTGCCCTCTCTCCATCAGAGTTCCCTCTTGTTCACACATACAACATGTTTTTAAAGGATGTTTTGAAAAGACTGTAGAGAGGCAATTGTGGACCAGGGAGACCGTAAGGAAGCTATTTTAGCAGTTTGTCCAGAGTGCTTAGCCCAGTATGGTGATAAAGAGGGAGATGAACGTGGTTTGATTTGGAAAGTTATTTGAGGGGAATCTCTAGAAACCATCCCCACATGGACTCCAGTGGCTACAAGGACCAAAAAAAATAGGGCCGGGCTCGGTGGTTCTCACCTGTCATCCCAGCACTTTGGGAGGCCAAGGCAGGCAGATCACCTGAGGTCAGGAGTTTGATAGCAGCCTGGGCAACATGGTGAAACCCTGTCTCTACTAAAAAATACAAAAATTAGCCAGGCGTGGTGGCACATACCTGTAATCCCAGCTACTCGGGTGGCTGAGGCAGGAGAATCGCTTGAACCCAGGAGGCAGAGGTTACAGTGAGCCAAGATCGTGCCACTGCACTCCAGCCTGGCCGACAGAGTGAGGCTTCATCTCAAAAAATAAATAAAAATCAAAAAAGAAAAAAGAAAAAGAAAAAATTAGAAATGAACACTTCCTTGGCAACTACATTCCGCCAGGCACATCTTACTTGATCTTCACAACATTAGAAAGTACTCATTACTGGCATCTTTTTTTTTTTTTTTTTTTTTTGAGACAGAGTCTAACTCTTGTCATCCAGGCTGGAGTGTAGTGGCACGATCTCGGCTCACTGCAACCTCTGCCTCACAGGTTTAAGCAATTCTCGTGCCTCAGCCTCCCAAGTAGCTGGGATTACAGGCACCCACCACCATGCATGGCTAATTTTTGTATTTTTAGTAGAGATGGGGTTTCATCATGTTGGCCAGGCTGGTCTCAAACTCCTGACCTCAAGTGATCCACCTGCCTTGGCTTCCCAAAATGTGGGGATTACAGGCGTAAGCCACCACGTCCTGCTCACTATTGCCATCTTAAAGATGAGGAAACGGTCTTAGAAAACTAACTTGATCACAGAGTAAACAAGGAAGCCAAGCTGTGCATCTAGAACTCTCCAATTTCCTTTTTTCCTGCCTTCTTTTCCTTCCTTCCTTCCTTCCTTTCCTTCCTTCCTTTCCTTCCTTACTTCCTTCCTTCTTCTCTTCTCATCTCGTCTCATCTCGTCTCTTTTCTTGTCTGAGTGGAGGTTTAATAGGGAAAAGAAAGAGAAAGGAAAACAGCTCTCTCACGAGAGGGGACTTCCAAGAGGAAAGAACCCTAGAACTCTCTAATTTCAATGGAAACAATTTAGG
The DNA here is from genome assembly GCF_000001405.40 of Homo sapiens. Lineage (NCBI taxonomy): Eukaryota > Metazoa > Chordata > Mammalia > Primates > Hominidae > Homo > Homo sapiens. The sequence continues at coordinate 101,889,326 of NC_000012.12, read as the reverse complement.
AACTCTTCTCTGCTGTGCTATATTACATTTCTTTAAAGTTGTTATCATTTTCATGTGAGTTTACATGTTGTACATTTCAATCAGGGGTATATCAGCTATTTCTTCTGGAGCCAGCTATGGTGTCCTTGGCTCACAACAACTCTTCAATGCATGTTCTTGATGGAATGAAAGGCAATTACTGTGACGTAAAGAGGACTATGAAACTTTTTTTTAATTGAGATTGAGGCCAGGCACAGTGGCTCACACTTGTAATCCCAGCATTATGTGAGGCTGAGGTGGGAGGATCTCTTGAGCCCAGGAGTTCAAGACCAGCCCAGGCAATACAGTGAGATCCCGTCTCTACAAAAACACAAAATTAGCCAAGCATGGTGACATGTTCCTGTAGTCCTAGCTACTTGGGAGGCTGAGGTAGGAGGATCACTTGAGCCCGGAAGGCAGACGCTGCAGTGAGCTGAGATCATGCCACTGCAATCCAGTCTGGGCAACAGAGTGAGACCCTGTCCCCTGACCAAAAAAAAAAAAAAAAAAAAAAAAAAAAAATTGAGATGTTTGAAAGTCATCAGCCCTGCATCAGTCAAGACTTTTGAGCAATACTCTAATGCCCTTTTAAAAGGAAAAATAGAAGAAAAATATTCATAATTTTACTTAATTCACTGAGAACAAAAGAATTTGTTGTACCCAAATGACAGGGAAAATTCAAATCAGAGGAGAAATTATATATTTACAGTAGACTCAGGCTGAACAACACTCCATCCATCACCCTCAGTTAATTTTGGGGCTGCAAAAGTTTGGGATCTTCACTTTTCTTACTATGCTTTTCTTAGAATTAACTAATTTCATGTGTTTGTGAAATCAATATTCAATTATAAATGATCATCTCAAAAATAATACTTTTCGGCCAGGCACAGTGGCTCATGCCTGTAATCCTAGCACTTCGGGAGGCTGAGGTGGGTGGATCGCCTGAGGTCAAGAGTTCGAGACCAGCCTAACCAACATGGTAAAACCCCGTCTCTACTAAAAAATACAAAAATTAGCCAGGCATGGTGGCGGACGCCTGTAATCCCAGCTACTCGGGAGGCTGAGTCAGGAGAATCACTTGAACCCAGGAGGAGGAGGCTGCAGTGAGCTGAGATCACACCATTGCACACCAGCCTGGGCAACAGAGCAAAAACTCTGTCTCAAAACAATAATAATAATAATACTTTTCTAGCTAAAGGTTTTAAATGGCATGCCTACCTTTTCATCTTTGTGACACTGTAGATTAGAAATACTACGAGGTTATAATCACTGCACTGTAAAAACTGATATGTCATTAACATCATGTCAGAATACGTGATTTTATGCACACAGCCCTCATTAACTGAGTATTTTTTATCCTGGTACTCATTGTTACGGCTGAACAGGAAAGCCAACATCACCACTGCCTGAAATTCTGTGTAGTCTCAGTAATCAAAAAAGTTGGTTTAAGCAAAAGTCATCAAAAATTAGGGCCAGGCACAGTGGCTCATGCCTGTAATCTCAGGACTTTGGGAGGCCAAGGCAGGCAGATCACTTGAGGTCAGGAGTTCGAGACCAGCCTGGCCAACATGGTGAAACCCCCGTCTCTACTAAAAAAACAAAAACAAAAAATTAGCTGTGCATGGTGGCACGTGCCTGTAGTCCCAGCTACTCAGGGGGTTGAGGCCAGAGAATCACTTGAGCCCAGGAGGCAGAGGTTGCAGCGAACCGAGATTGCAACACTGCACTCCAGCCTGGGTGACAGAGTGAGACTTCGTCTCAAAAAAAAAAGAAAAAGAAAAAAGTCTTCAGAACTTGTATGAATGAATACATACCACAAACATTTTATTTTAACTTAAAGTGTATCAATGTGTATTCATTTGCCCACCTGTGGATGTAGACCAAAGCCGTTACAAGAGTATGGGTCCACTATGTCTTCTTGGCATATAAATCGCATCTACTCTGAATCATCTCATTTCCAATTTTGGTTTCTTTAAAGTGGAGGGAAGTCTTAAAAACACTTTTGAAGCAATTTGAATTCAGACTCCTTCCAGTTTTCCTTATACCAGTTTCCTAAATCTTTACAGCTGTCAGATAATTACCAAAAAGGCTACAAATTTTTTTCGGACAATTTGTCTCTTTTTAATCTTTCCAAAGCATTTAACCAATTTTTTTTTTTTTTTTGAAACGGAGTTTCACTCTTGTCGCCCAGGCTGGAGTGCAATGGCACAATCTCAGCTCACAGCAACATCTGCCTCCCAGGTTCGAGTGACTCTCCTGCCTCAGCCTCCCGAGTAGCTGGGATTACAAGTGTGTGCCACCATGCCCGGCTAATTTTGTATTTTTAATAGAGAAGGGGTTTCACCATGTTGGCCAGGCTGGTATTGAACTCCTGACCTCAAGTGATCCGCCCACCTCAGCCTCCCAAAGCACTGGGATTCCAGGCATGAGCCACTGCATCCGGCCCAACCAAATTTTTTTAGAAATTACAATTCTCTTTTTGCCTACACAGATCAACAGTTAATATGTATTGCATTAAGTCACACAGTTACAATACAAAATACAACTGGCATGAACATAAATACAATTTGGGAATAAACACAATTGGCATTTGATGAGAATACAAAGACATGGGTAAGAGAAGCAAGTACCTACAGAGTGGCCCTCACAGGAGGGAGTTTTCAGAGGCCATTGGCTTCAGTCAGTGCATTTTTCAAAGAACAAATTCATCAGTTAACCCAGCAAGTTGATTAAGTTGAGGCTACTGAATAAAAGAGCTTCTGATATTACATTCACATATAAAGCGATCACTTCTAAAATTAGCTCCCAACCAAACATCCTTTCCTATCCAGCCCAATGTGGACTGGCCCCTTGATAATACTAATAGCAAGTGCTTCTACATACTATGTTCCTCCACCAGGGTGTTAATGAGTTTTCTGTGAGTTCATGTTAATAATGAAGTACGTGCAATTATTAACCAATAGAGAAGCAGAGAGAAGTCAAGTAACCTGTCCAAAGTTCTACAGCTGGAACACATAATGGAGCCATACCCTAATCCAGGCTGTCTGTTCCAAAGCTGTTGCTCTTAATCATGCTATGTTCCCTCTCAGTATTATTATTAAATATTGTAAATAGTCAACAATGCAAGTCAAATCGACCACAAACTGGGACCGCAAATCTTCTGAAACACAAGGATTTCATCTCTAACTGTGCTGGAAAACAGAACTGCAACCAAAGTCAATGAACAATGAGGTGCTGGCAGAATCAGTTAACAATTAAAGAGGAGGAAACTAACAAGGTTAATGAAACAGGACCATATGACACAAATTATCTTGTTCAACATTCAACCAATATTTACCAAGTGCCTGCAATGTGTCAGGCTCTATCACAAATGCTGTGGACAAACCCCAAATCTCTATCCTCATGGAGCATATATTTTGTGTGAGACAGGTAATAAACAAGATCAATATCCTTACATATAGATTAAGAATGGCCACTGGGAGGCCGGACGCGGTGGCTCACACCTGTAATCCCAGCACTTTTTGAGGCCGAGGTGGGCAGATCACTTGAGGCCAGGAGTTCGAGACCAGCCTGGCCAACATAGTGAAACCCTGTCTCTACTAAAAATAAAAAAAATTAGGTGGGCATGGTGGCGGGCACCTGTAGTCCTGGCTACTCAGGAGGCTGAGACAGGAGAATCACTTGAACTGGGAGGCAGAGGCTGCAGTGAGCTGAGATCATGCCACTGCTCTCCAGCCTGGGTGACAGAGCAAAACTCTGTCAAAAAAAAAAAAAAAAAAAAAAGTCCAGTGGGAAAATTGGAGTCTTCAGACATTTTTGCAAAAATGAACCTCTTCCTATCCCCCTTCAAAAGCTTAATGTGGTTCATGGGAAACCTGGTGTTAAACCATTCACAGACAACCTGCTTCTGGGGCAGGGTTTCGTAGTAGCAGAGCAGCTCCCTCCCTCGATTTGAGCTACTGAAAGTCAGCGCTTGACACAAGGGTTTATCAAAAACAAACAAAAAGAGAAGAAGGAAACTTTCTTTAAAGTTAAATGTGAAATGAAAGACTTACTATAATATAATCATAAAATTGTATTGGAAAAAGAATGCAAGGCTGGGTGTGGTGGCTCACGCCTGTTATCCCAGCACTTTGGGAGGCCAAGGCGGGAGTTCAAGACCAGCCTGACCAACATAGAGAAACCCCGTGTCTACTAAAAATACAAAATTAGCCGGGCGTGGTGGCACATGCCTCTAATCACAGCTACTCGGGAGGATGAGGTGGGAGAATCGCTTGAACCAGGTGGCAGGAGGTTGCAGTGGGCCAAGATTGCGCCATTGCACTCCAGCCTGGGCAACAAAAGTGAAACTCCATCTCAAAAAAAAAAAAAAAAACATTTTCTCTATAAAGATCAGCATCTGAAGATTTAACACACACTTGTCATAACCCAAAATTTGTGATTGTTACATAAATGCAAGTTAAAATCGTTATTTTCCTAATTTTTAGTATCATTTTTGAAGTTAAAGACCTGACCAAACTTCTTTTACTTCATTTACTCTGCAATTTTGTTCCTCCTTTTAAAGTGGCTTGATTCTAGGTGACCCAGTTTTCTGTCATCAACTACTGAGCAGAGATTATGGGGTCATGAGGTAGGACAATATGGGTGGCCAAAGGCCACAATCTATCCCACAAAACTGTATTCACATGGAAAGTGAGACGTGCTAATAAAGAGAAAAGCCAGGATCTAGAATCGGCAACACTGAAGAGTAAAGGATCACAGAATATCATGAGCAAGATATCATGGCAGGAGACACATGCCAAAAAGAAGATGGAAGACAGTGATCTATCAGCTGGAAAAAGTTAATAATTTGATAAGAAACTATAACAAGTTAAGCATGATTTGGCTTGAGAATGTGGGTGTGGCCGTGTGCAAATCTTTTTTTTTTTTTTTTTTTTTTGAGACAGGGTATCACTCTGTCACCCAAGCTGGAGTGATCACTGCAGCCTCAGACTGCAGGCTCAAGTGATCCTCCCACTCAGGCTCCTGAGTAAGTGGGACTGTAGGTGCATCCTACCACGCTCAGCTAATTTTTTGTATGTATTGTAGAGACAGGGTTGCACCATATTGCCCATGGCTGGTCTCAAACACCCGGACTCAAGTGATCAGCCCACTTCAGCCTCCCAAAGTGCTGGGATTACAGGCATAAGGCACCACACCCGAGTGCAAATCTAAACTAATTTTTTGAGATTAGCTTTTATTTGTCCTTCCTTTTGATATGCTTTTGTTAATGGTTTCAGAATAAGAAATATCACTTTATGCTATTCTAACTTGTTATATCTCACGGTGGTTGGTCCCATGTTTTTATTTTGTATTTATTTATTTTTTTTTTTTTTGAGAAAGAGTCTCGCTCTATCACCAGGCTGGAGTGCAGTGGCACAATCTCGGTCCACTGCAACCTCCACCTCCGGGTTCAAGCGATTCTTCTGCCTCAGCCTCCTGAGTAGCTGGGACTACAGGCACATGCCACCATGCCCAGCTAATTTTTGTATTTTTAGTAGAGATAGGGTTTCACAATGTTGGCCAGAATGGTTGCGATCTCTTGACCTCGTGATCCGCCTGCTTTGGCCTCCCAAAGTGCTGGGATTACAGGCGTGAGTGAGCCACTGCGCCCGGCCTCATGTTTTTAATTTAATTTTCTGATAGGAAACATTCATGCGGGGCGCAGTGGCTCACGCCTGTAATCCCAGCACTTTGGGAGGCCGAGGTGGGCGGATCATGAAGTCAGGAGATCGAGACCACCCTGGCTAACATGGTGAAACCCCGTCTCTACTAAAAATACAAAAAAATTAGCCAGGTGTGGTGGCACGTGCCTGTAATCCCAGCTATCAGGAGGCTGAGGCAGGAGAATCGCTTGAACCCGGGAGGCGGAGGTTGTGGTGAGCCGAGATCGTGCCATTGTACTCCAGCCTGGGCAACAAGAGTGAAACTCCATCTCAAAAAAAAAAAAAAAAACCTATTTGGGTAAAAAATAAAACAAAAAAGTATGCCTTATAATTATCCTTTTTCCCCATCTGCCAATGTCTCACTGACCTTGACCTACTCCTCCCTCCATCACACACAGATAAACCACTTTCATTAGTTTCTTTATGCAAGCTAATGCAAATATATATTATTTTTCTCCTCTTTTTTCTTAACTAACGAGAGCATAGGTTGTTCTGCATCTTGCTTTTTCCCATGTAACAATGTATCTTGGAGATTTTTCCATATAAGTGTATTGACGTAAAAATCTGCTAGGTACAGAGAGCTTTCACTTGAAGTATCCTTTAATAAATAAACCATATTTATTTAGGCAATTCTCTACTGATAGTCATTTGTAGTTTCCAATCTTTTGTTATTCAAAGCAATGCCCTGAGTAACTCTGCAGAAATGCCATTCTTCACATGGGCATGTACACCTATAGGATAAATTTCAAAAAAAAAAAAAAAAAAAAAGGCTGTTGCATCAAATGATGGGGGGGTGTGTGTGTATCTGTCATTTCCATAGATATTGCCCAAGTCCCACCATGGAGACTGAAATCAATTCACGTTCCTGTAAGCAATGTATGAGAGAGACTGTTTCCCCATATTCTCACCAGTACTAGTATCAAACATTTGGGTTTCTGCTAACCCACTAGATCACAACTGGCATCAGTGAGTTTTAATTTGAATATTTATTCCTATTCATAAAGTTGAGTATCTTTTCATGTGTATAAGAGCCATTTGCCAATTTATCCAATATGCTGAAGAATAACAATGTTACAAGGAGAAAGTATCTGATAAGGAAGCTGATTCTAAATGCCATACTGGGGAGAGGTCCTCCTTATGGTTGTGGCTCTTATTTAAAGTGTTCAACTGTGCTAAAAACATTAGACCATCAGGGGCCGGGCGCGGTGGCTCACGCCTGTAATCCCAGCACTTTGGGAGGCTGAGGCGGGCGGATCACAAGGTCAGGAGATCGAGACCATCCTGACTAACATGGTGAAACCCCGTCTCTACTAAAAAAATACAAAAAATTAGCCGGGAGGGGTGGCGGGCGCCTGTAGTCCCAGCTACTCGGGAGGCTGAGGCAGGAAAATGGCGTGAACCCGGGAGGCGGAGCTTGCAGTGAGCCGAGATCGCGCCACTGCACTCCAGCCTGGGAAACTCCGTCTCAAAAAAAAAAAAAAAAAAAAAAAAAAAAATTAGACCATCAGAATGACTGAACAATGTTAGAATGTAAAAGGAAACTCATCCTAAGGACTTTCAAATCACTGACTAGCCACCAAACAGAATGGCCATGTCAAGCTTTTCCTTAAGGGATCTGCCCTGTCCTGGGGTAAAGAGTGAGTACCCAAGAAATAGTCATTCAGAAATATTCATTCAGCAAATATTGAGAGCTTTCATGGACCTTACAATCCAGTGAAGGGAGACAGAAAATAAACATAATAAATAAGTTAAATCACATGATTTGTTAGAAGGTGATACGTGCTGTGGTGAATAATAAGACTGGATATGGAGACCAGTAGTGGTCAGGTGCAATTTTTAAAAAGGGTGATCAGGGCAGGTCTCATCAAGATGATAACATTTGAACAAAGGAGGTAAGTGAAAAACTCTGCAGGAAGGTAACGTTTGAACAAAAGAGGTAAGTGAAAAATAGCTGCAGGGAGAACACCTGGCAGAGGGAACAGCCACTGCAAAGGTCTTGAGAAGGACGGGTGCTTGATGTGTTTAAGACACAAGGCCAGCGTGGTTGAAGGGAAGTACAAAGAGTAGGGGTAGAGGAGAGGAGGAGGTGATGAGCTAAGAGATACCTTCAGCCTGGCATGGGGGTGCACACTTTTAATCTCAAGTACTCAGTAGGCTGAGGTCAGGGGATTGCTTGAGCCATGGAGTTCGAGACCAGCCTGGGCAACATAGCAAGACCCCACCTCCAAAAAAAACACAACAAAAAGGGATAAGGTTGAATATTTCAAGGCCAGTAGATAAATGTAGAGTTATCACTTCTCTATGTCTGGTTCTTTCATTTTTTTGAGAAAGAGTCTCACTCAGTCACCCAGACTGGAGTGCAGTGGCACAGTCTCGGTTCACGGCAACCTCTGCCTCCCTGGTTCAAGCGATTCTCATGCCTCAGCCTCCTGAGTAGCTGGGATCACAGGAATGTGCCACCACGCTCAGCTAATTTTATATATTTTTAGTAGAGACTGCACCCAGCCTTCTTCTCTATGTGTGGTTCTTATCCACATCTTGTTGCTGCACCAAGGACTTGTTTTCTAGGAGCGGGCAGGGGCAATCCAGTGCTCCGGCTGCTCAGGTAAGCAGAGAGCAAACAACCTAAAAGACCCAGGCACACATGGGCAATCAGTACAAATGTTTGTTGTGTGTTGGCTGAGAACTCCTGGCAACAAGGGGGCATGCCTTTTTCTCCTGTAATTCTGCTTTTCCTGAAGGCTTCCTTGTTAAATTTTAAACCCCTTCCTTGTAGGGTCTGTGATTTGAGCATCTCATAAGTGGTTCACCTTGTCAGCTTATTTTCCCATTTCTGAATGTCTCCCATTTCAAGTTCACCTTAGAGTGATATTAATCACAACTACATCAGACACCTCTATGAACATTCAAAACCTGCCTTTGACAGCCTGGCCAATGAATATCACGTATTATCTGTCCTCAACCTTCAGATCTGGGACAAACATGACTACTGTTTTCTCAATAAGAAGCACTGCAGGCTGGGTGTGGTGGCTCACGCCTGTAATCCCAACACTTTAGGAGGCTGAGGCAGGTGGATCATCTGAGGTCAGGAGCTTGAGACCAGCCTGGCCAACATGGTGAAACCCCGTCTCTACTAAAAATACAAAAATATTAGCTGGGCGTGGTGGCAGGTGCCTGTAATCCCAGCTACTTGGGAGGCTGAGTCAGGAGAATTGCTTGAACCAGGAGGTGGAGGTTGCACTGAGCCGAGATTGCACCATTGCACTCCAGCCTGGGCGACAGAGCAAGACTCTGTCTTAAAAAAAAAAAAAAAAAAAAAAAAAAAGGAAGCATTGCAGGACACAGCAAGATGCCATCTCTACAAATACAAAAAAAAATTAAAAATTAGCTGGGCATGGTTGTGCATGCCTATCTACAGTCCCCAGCTATTCAGGAGGCTGAGGTGGGAGGATCAATGGAGCCCAGGAGGTCGAGGCTGCAGTGAGCTGTGATCCCACCACCACACCACAGACTGGGCAACAGAGCGAGACTTTGTCTGAAAAAACAAACAAACAAACAAACAAAAGAAGCAGCACTGCAGGTAGAGCAGCTCTTTACCTTTTTTTTTTTTTTCTGAGATGGAGTCTCGCTCTGTCACCAGGCTGGAGTGCAGTAGCTCTGTCTCGGCTCACTGCAACCTCTGCCTCCCGGGTTCAAGCAATTCTGCCTCAGCCTCCCGAGTAGCTGGGACTACAGGCGTGCACCACCACGCCCAGCTAATTTCTGTATTTTTAGTAGAGATGAGGTTTTACCATGTTGGCCAGGATGGTCTCGATCTCTTGACCTCATGATCCGCCAGCCTCGGCCTCCCAAAGTGCTGGGATTACAGGCGTGAGCCACTGTGCCCAGCTGAGCAGGTCTTTACTTTTACACAAGTCTAGAAGGATCTATCCTGCTTCAGAAGCAAGATGATGGCACTTGGGCCTGAGATGTGCCATGAGAAACCAAGCCTAGGTTTCTTCCAAGCATAATACCAGATGGGAGGGCCAGGCGTGGTGGCTCACGCCTGTAATCCCAACACTCTGGGAGGCCAAAGCAAGGGGAATGCTTGAGCCCAGGAGTTTAAGACCAGCCTGGGCAATATAGTGAGACTTTGTCTCTACTGAAAATAAAAAATAATAACAATAAATGGAAAAAACCGAAAGGCCAGATGAGAACATCTTGATATACATAACATCTCCTTTCATAGGCAAAAACCACCATCATTACTGCAAATTTGCACTATTCTACCTATTGCTGTATTCCCTGCATCTTGTAAATGCTGGTTCCCTGGGAACACTGGCTCACACCTGTAATCCTAGCATTTTGGGAGGCCAAGGCAAGAGGATCACTTGAGGTCAGGAATTTGAGACCAGCCTGACCAACATAGTGAAACCCTGTCTCTACTAAAAATACAAAAAAATTAAGCCAGGTGTGGTGGTGCACGCCTGTAATCTCAGCTACTTGGGAGGCTGAGGCAGGAGAATCGCTTGAACCCGGGAGGCAGAGGTTGCGGTGAGCCGAGATTGTGTCACTGCACTCCAGCCTGGGCGACAGAACAAGACTCTGTCTCAAAAAAATAAAAAAAATTTTAAAAAATGCTAGTCCCCTCTTGCTCGATCTTTGTTTCCCCTTTCTCCACACTCCTCACCCCCACCCCCAAAAAAAGGAAAAAAACAAACAAACAAACAAAAAAACACAGAACATTGCTCACCAGACAGAATGGCTGCAGGGAAGAAGACGCCCTACATTTTCTATCATAGCAGTAACAAACCTTGGGTGTCACCAACCTTATCATCCGTTCACCAACCAATGCCTGTCCAGAGGGGTCACACTACTTAGATAAGGATGGATGGTTCTAACGTTTAAAGAATCCTGCCACTATGAGAAAGGCACTGAGCTGGAACCCACATAGGAGGATCAGACCACTGTCCCTGGCACTGAAGTGCCCCTCAGGAAGGTAGAGGCCAAAGCACAGGAAAAGTGAATGGGTAAAATAACACAAAAGATGTCACAAGTTGTTGACAAGTTGAGGACTTTGGGGTCACAGTGCCCAGAGGTGTCTGGTGCAGCTCCAGAGAATTTAAGCCAGACTCCCAGAGACCTGGGGGCAGCACAGTGTTGCTTTCTGCATGGCCGGGTGTGAATTCTGCTCCTACCATTAACTAGTGTGACATCAGTGTCACGTTGATGATATTTCATCAACTTTACACCACCGCTCGCTTGCGGGAATAATAAGCCCAAACATCCACTTCAAGGGATGTTGGGATGCAGAAGTGAAAATAGTGGCTGTTTAGCATATACCTGGATCTACCTCTTGTATAATATATGTCATCTATCAGAACCCATCTTGTTTCAATATCGCCTAAGAACGTCCTGCTGAGATTCTGTCCCATACCCAGAATGAAAGCTCTACCATCTATCCTGAACCTCTCCTTGCTGCCACCCTGTTCCATGCTCCGGGTACAGGCAGAAGTGCTCAGCGCCGCACCCGCTGCCTCCCTAAACATCCCAGGCTATCGGGAGCACCTCTCCTCCTGCTCCCACCTCTGCCTGACCACACGACGCCCCAAGCTGGGTCCGGACGCCTTCCCTCCCCGTCGGCAGCGCTCCCTGTGGTCCCTGTGCCTGCTCCTGGGGCCCTGACGCCCACCCTGCCACTCACCTGATATACGGGAGGAAGGGGTTGACGTGCCCGGAGAGCACGGCGACCACGTAGGAGATAATGAAGGCGGCTGACGACCAGGTCACCAAGAGGAAGGGGACGAAAGCCATTCCCCTCAGGAAGCACAGCATCGCGCCGCCGCCGCCGCCGACGGAGTGCTGCGCCCAGCGGGGCCGGGCGCCGGGTTGCTCCGGGCTGCCTGGAGGCGGCGGCCGGGCGCGTACACTCACGGACGGTGGGAGGGGAGGCTCCGCGACGGCCGGGGCAGGCCCAGCCCCGGAGGGAGGGGAAGCGCGAGGAGCGGAGCGAGGCTGCGGGCGGCGAGGCTGCCGGGCCAGAGTGGGTGGGGCGCGGGCTGCCCGGGCTTGTTGCGAAACGAGTGAAGTCACAAAGCGGCCCGGCAGGGTCGGAGGCGCCCGGCGAGCTCCAAGCGGACGCGACTACGGAGCCGCCGGAGGGGACGCGGGGTCGGGTTCCTTTCGCTTTTGGTTTGGACACTCGGCGGAGGCCGGGTTGGGCGCGGACGGGCGGCGTGGGGTCACTGGCGGGGACGCCCGCTCTGGCCTTCCCACTCTGGCCCTACCGCGCTGGCTCTTGCGCAACTCTGGAGAAAAGGATTTATTTCTCCCAACCCCTCCCTCCCGGGGGATTTCCGGAGTGCCGGGCCTCGCACCCCGAGGGCGCCCCCTCCGAGGTCCCGCCGCCGGCGCTTCGCAGCAGTGAGAGTGGCCACCGCGTGGTGACACCCATGCCATCCGGTCGCGCTGCTGCTGCGGGGGTCGGGCAGAAGTGTTCAATGAGGTTCGCCAGGTCACGGGGCGCAGATGTGGCTCCCACCTCAATGGTGAACACCCGAAAACCCAGACAGGGTGGGAACGGGTGGGGTGGAGAGTACGCGGGTGGGGTGCGGGGCAGGCGGGTGGGACTGCGCGCCCACGGAGCCGGGAGGCCCATTGTGCTGCTTTCCAGGAGAGCGCAACTGGAGAATATTTCCTGGAAATAAGATTTCCCAGGCCGGGCGCCGTGAATAGCCATCACTTTGGGAGGCATCCAAAAGCCATCACCCCTGGAATGCCACCACTTTGGGAGGCCGAGTTGGGAGGATCGCTTGAACCCAAGAACTAGAGATCAGCCTGGGTAACATAGCGAAACCCCTCTTCTACAAAAAAAAAAAAAAAAAATGAAAAAGAAAAAAAGCCGGTTCCAGTTACTCGGGAGACTGAGTTGGGATGATCACTTGAGCCTTGGGGGTCGAGGCTGCAGTGAGCCTTTATCACACCACTTCACTCGGCCTGGGTGACAGAGCAAGACCTTGTCTCAAAAAACAAACAAACAAAAAAAAAACAAAAAAAACTCCCCTCCAGGTTCTGGAGTAGCCCAGACTCGGAGCCTTGGCCTAAGATGATTAATAGTGACTTGATACATTTCAAGCCCTGTGAAAGGGATTTGTGTTCTGGAGGCACTTATAATATAAGCACATGATTTTGATAGTTTAGGGAGTCTGAGCCCAACATATGTGGCCAAAATTGTTGGGTCATTGGTGACCAAAGATAGGTTCCTTTCAGCCACAAACACATTTCATGGGCGCCATGCTAGGCTACAAAGATGAAATAGTAATAGTACCCTCAGGACGAGGACACTCATAGATCAAAATAACAAAATTAGGCCAGGCGTGGTGGCTCATGCCTGTAATCCTAGCACTTTGGGAGGCCAAGGTGGGTGGATCACCTGAGGTCAGGAGTTCGAGACCAGCCTGGCCAACATGGTGAAACCCCATCTCTACTAAAAATACAAAAAATTAGTCAGGCATCATGGCTCACGCCTGTAATCCCAGCTACTCAGGAGGCTGAGGCAGGAGAATCGCTTGAACCTGGGAAATGGAGGTTTTCTCAGTGAGCTGAGATCACACCACTGCATTTCAGCCTGGGTGAGAGAACGAGACTCTGTCTCAAAAATATAAATAAATAAAAACAAAATTATGTTATGTGGTTTATTAAATGGAAAGGAGAGGATTTTAAAAAGTAGAGACATGCCCAGAGCTGAGGGCCAGGGGCCTGGGCTCAGAGGAAGGACCACGGAGGTTTTCTGACAGATGACATCAGAGTTTTCAAAAGGAAGTAATTACTAACCAGGCAAAGAAAAATAAGATTAGCATTCCAGGCCCAGAAAACAACTGGAGGAAATGCATACACAGAGCTTGCTTCCCTGGGACTATGAAAGCACTTAAATAAGTGTGAGGCAGCAAATGGAGAGAGAAACAAAGAGGCAAAGTCACCAGAGTCCTGCTGAGAATCTTGGATTATTTTTGGTATTAAGGAGAAAGTAAGAACATGGGCAGACTAGTATTTCAAGAGATCACTGTGGCCGTGGAGTGAGTGCCCGCCATACAAAACAAAATAGAAAATTTAAAATAAGGCTTTTTAAAAACCACAAAAGCTGGCCAGGCATGGTAGCTCACAGTTCTGTAATCCCGGCGCTTTGGGAGGCCGAAGCCTGGACAATATAGTGAGACCCGCAACCATATCTACAAAAAATTTAAAAATTAGCTGGGTGTGGTGTTGCATAACCTGTGGTTCCAGCTACATGAGAGGCTTACGTGGGAGGCTCACTTGAGCCCGGAGTTTGAGGCTGCAGTGAGCTATGATCACACCACTGAACTCCAGCCTGGATCACAGATCGAGACTCTATTTCAAAAACAAATAAAAATTTAAAAATGGTCAGGTGCAATGTAATCCCAGCACTTTAGGAGGTTGAGGCAGGCACATGACCTGAGGTCAGGAGTTCGAGACCAGCCTGGCCAATATGATGAAGCCCTGTCTCTACTGAAAATACAAAAATTAGCTGGGCATGGTGGTGCGCGCCTGTAATCCCAGCTACTCGTGAAGCTAAGGCATGAGAATCGCTTGAACCTGGGAGGCAGAGATTGCAGTTGAGCTGAGATTGCAGCCACTGCACTCCAGCCTGGGTAATAGAGCGAGACCCTGTCTTAAAAAAAAAAAAATGGCCAGGCACAGTGGCTCACGCCTGTAATTCCAGCACTTTGAGAGGTGGAGGCCAGTGGACCATGAGGTCAGGAGTTTAAGACCAGCCTGGCCAACATGGTGAAACCCCGTCAATGCTAAAAAATACAAAAATTAGCCAGGCATGGTGGCGGGCACCTGTAATCCCAGCTACTCAGGAGGCTGAGGCAGGAGAACTGCTTGAACCCAGGAGGCAGAGGTTGCAGTGAGCAGAGACGGTGACATTGCACTCCAGCCTGGTCAACAGATAGAGACTATGTCTCTAAATAAATAAATAAATTTTAAAAATAAAAAATAAAAATCACAAAAGTTAGCAACCATGGTTTCATTGTAATCTCTACCTAGGTTTCTGTGTTCTGAAAATCACTCTATTCCTTCCCTTTTTTCCTTTCGTGCCCTACTACTGATTCATCAGACTAAAAAAAAAAACTCTCCCTAAGCAAAGAAATTATAATATCAAAGGGAATTCACCTGATCATCTTACCCTTCTGCTGCTTATGTAATTTCCTTAATTAAGCAATTCAATTGGCTAATCACTTTTAACACAGATATAAGAATTGTCTGGCCTGGCGCGGTGGCTCACACCTCTAATCCCAGCACTTTGGAAGGCCGAGGCTGGCGGATCACGAGGTCTGGAGATCAAGACCATCCTGGCTAACACGGTGAAACCGCGTCTCTACTAAAAATACAAAAACAAAATTGGCCGGGCGTGGTGGCGGGCGCATATAGTCCCAGCTACTCAGGAGGCTGAGGCAGGAAAATGGCGTGAACCCGGGAGGCGGAGCTTGCAGTGAGCCGAGATCGCGCAACTGCACTCCAGACTGGACGACAGAGCAAGACTCTGTCTCAAAAAAAAAAAAAAAAAAAAAAAAAAAAAAAAAAAAATCTGAGGCCGGGCATGGTGGCTCACGCCTGTAATCCCAGCACTTTGGGAGGCCAAGGCGGGCGGATCACCTGAGGTCAGGAGTTCGAGACCAGCCCAGCCAACATGGTGAAACCTCATCTCTACTAAAAATACAAAAATCAGCCGGGTGTAGTGGTGGGCCCCTGTAATCCCAGCTACTCGGGAGGCTGAGGCAGGAGAATCGCTTGAGCCCGGGAGGCGGAGGTTGCAGTGAGCCGAGATCATACCACTGCACTCCAGCCTGGGCAACAAAGAGCAAAACTCAGTCTCAAATAAAAAAAGAGTTGTCTGACTATAGAGCTAACAAGAATTTGTCACTTAAGATGAGTATGTATACACGCGAGCAGAGTACGAGTCTGAGGTGGAGGGAATCATGGCAAGCCAAGCGTTTAGAAAGTTTCTTCCACTCCTTGACCGAGTTTTGGTTGAAAGGCGTGCTGCTGAAACTGTAACCAAAGGAGGCATTATGCTTCCAGAAAAATCTCAAGGAAAATTATTGCAAGCAAGAGTAGTCGCTGTTGGATGGGGTTCTATGGAAAGGGTAGAGAGATTCAACCAGTTAGCGTGAAAGTTGGAGATAAAGTTCTTCTCCCAGAATATGGAGGCACCAAAGTAGTTCTAGATGACAAGGATTATTTCCTATTTAGAGATGGTGACATTCTTAGAAAGTACGTAGACTGAAATAAGTCACTATTGAAATGGCATCAACGTGAAGCTGCCCATTCTACTGAAGTTCTGAAATCTTTCATCATGTAAATAATTTCCATATTTTTCTTTTATAATAAACTAATGACATCCAGTGTCTCCAAAATTGTTTCCTTGTACTGATATAAACATTTCCAAATAAAAATATGTAAATGAGTGTAAAAAAAAGAGTATGTATACATATATATTTAAAATAAATACACTATAAATGTAAAAGTTCTGGCTTCTTTTTTACTTTTTTTTTTTTTTTAGAGAGTCTCACTGTGTCACCCATGCTGGAGTGCAGTAGTGCGATCTTGGCTCACTGCAACCTCTGCCTCCCGGGTTCAAGCAATTCTTGTTCCTCAGCCTGCCAAGTAGCTGGGACTACAGGCATGCACCACCATGCCCAGCTAATTTGTTGTTATTGTTGTTGTTGTTGTTGTTGTTTTGAGGTGGAGTCTCGCTCCCATCATGCAGGCTGGAGTGCAGTGGCACGATCTCTGCTCGCTGCAACCTCCACCTCCTGGGTCCAAGCGATTTTCCTGCCTCAGCCTCCCAAGCAGCTGTGATTACAGGCATGTGCCACCACCCCCAGTTAATTTTGGATTTTTAGTAGAGATAGGGTTTTCGCCATATCGGTCAGGCTGGTCTTGAACTCCTGACCTCAGGTGATCCACCCGCCTCCGCCTCCCAAAGTGCTGGGATTACAGGCTTGAGCCACCCGTGCCCAGCCAAGCCATTGATCTTAGGAGTAGTTTAGGGATGGTCAATCTTGTAGCCTCCAGCGGCATGACTCCTAAACCATAATTTTTAATCTTTTGAGTAATTTGTTAGTCCTACAAAGGCAGTCTAGGCCCCAGGCAAGAAGGGGGTTTATTTCAGGAAAGGGCTGTTATTGTCTTTGTTTCAAACTATAGTCTATAAACTAAGTTCCTCCCAAAGTTAGTTCGGCCTATGCCCAGGAATGAACAAGGACAGCTTGGAGGTTAGAAGCAAGATGGAATTGGTAAGGTCAGATCTCTTTCACTGTCTGTTATAATTTTGCAATGGCAGTTTCAGAGTCACACGATTTTTTTTTTGTTCTCCAGTGCATATAGAATTTATATTTACATTATACTATAATCTATTACGTGCACAATAGCATTATGTATTTAAAAACCATGTACAGACCTTAATTTAAAAATATGGCCAGGCACAGTGGCTCATGGCTGTAATTCCAGCACTTTGGGAGGCCAAGGAAGAAGGATCACTTGAACTCAGGAGTTTGAGACCAGCTTGGACAACATAGTGAAACCTCATCTCTACAAAAAAATCAAAAAATTAGCTAGGTGTGGTCATGCACACCTGTGGTCCCAGCTACTTGGGAGGCTGAGGTGGGAGGACTGCTTGAGCCCATGAGGTCAAGGCTGTAGGGAGCCATAGTTGTACCACTGCATTCCAGCCTGGGTGACAGAGAGACCCTGACTCAAAAAAAAAAAAAAAAAACAAACAAACAAAAAAACAAAATAGTGCTTGCTTTGGCAGCACATAAACTAAAATTGGAACAATACAGAGAAGATTAGCATGGCTGCTTTAAAAATATATTACAAAATAATTTTTTAAAAAACTTTATTGACTGGGCTCAGTGGCTAACACCTGTAATCCTAGCACTTTGGGAGCCCAAGGCGGGCAGATCACAAGGTCAGGAGTTCGAGACCAGCCTGGCCAATATGATAAAACCCTGTCTCTACTAAAAATACAAAAATTAGCCAGGCATGGTGGCGGGCGCCTATAGTCCCAGCTACTCAGGAGGCTGAGGCAGGAGAATTGCTTGAACCCAGGAGGCAGAGGTTGCAGTAAGCCAAGATTGCACCACTGCACTCTAGCCTGGGCGACAGAGCAAGACTCTGTCTCAAAAAAAAAAAAAAAAAAAACTTTTATTGGTGGCAGGGCATGGTGGCTCATGCCTGTAATCCCAGCACTTTGGGAGGCTGAGGCAGAAGTATGGCTTGAGGCCAGGAGTTCAAGACCAGCCTGGGCAACATAGTGAGGTCTTCATCTCTACGGGGAAAAAAAAAAAAAGATAAATATGTATTTTTAAAAATACTTTATTGCAAAACATTGCTAATCATCATCTGAGCCTTCAGCAAGTCATAACCTTTTTGCTGTTGGAGTGTTTTCCTTGATGTTGATAGCTGCTGACTTAGGGTGGTGGTTGCTGAAGGGTGGGGTGGCTGTGGCAATTTCTTAAAATAAGACAGGGAAAATTGACTCTTCCTTTTACAAAAGATTTCTCTGTAGCATGCAACTCTGACAGCATTTTACCCACAGCACAACTTCTTTAAAAATTGGAGTTAATTCTCTCAAGCTCTACTGTTTCTTTATCAATTAAGTTTATGGAATATTCTTTTTTTTTTTTTTTTTGAGACAGAGTCTCGCTCTGTCGCCCAGGCTGGAGTGCAGTGACCCCATCTCGGCTCACTGCAAGCTCCGCCTCCCGGGTTCACGCCATTCTCCTGCCTCAGTCTCCCAAGTAGCTGGGACTACAGGTGCCCGCCACCACGCCCGGCTAATTTTTTGTATTTTTAGTAGAGACTGGGTTTCATCATGTTAACCAGGATGGTCTCGATCTCCTGACGTCGTGATCCGCCCGCCTCGGCCTCCCAAAGTGCTGGGATTACAGGCGTGAGCCACTGCGCCCGGCCAAGTTTATGGAATATTCTAAATCCTTTGTTGTCATTTCAACAATGTTAACAACATCTTCAAAAGGAGTAGACTCCACCTCAAGAAATCATTTTCTCTGTTCATCCTTAAGAAGTAAGTATGGCTGGGTGCAGTGGCTCACACCTGTAATCCCAGCATTTTGGGAGGCCGGGGCAAGCAGATCACCTGAGGTCAGGAGTTCAAGACTAGCCTGGCCAACATGGAGAAACCCCATCTCTACTAAAAACACAAAAATTAGCTGGGTGCAGTGGCGTGCGCCTGTAATCCCAGCTGTTCGGGAGGCTGAGGCAGGAGAATTGCTTGAACCAGGGAGGCAGAGATTGTGGTGAGCTGAGATCACACTACTGCACTCCAGCCTGGGTGACAGAGTGAGACTCCATCTCAAAAAAAAAAAAAAAAAAGTAACTCCTTGTCTGTTTACCTTTTATCGTGAGATTGCTGCAATTCAGTCACATCTTCAGGCTCTACTTTTAATTTTAGTTATTTTGCTATTTCCACAATGGAGGAGTTACTTCCTCCACTGAAGTCTTGAACCCCTAAAAGCCATCCATGAGGGTTGGAATCAAGTTCTTTTAAACACCCATTAATGTTAATATTTTGACCTCCTCCCATGAATCATGAATGTTCTTAATGGAGTCTAGAATGATGAATCCTTTCCAGAAGGTGAATCCTTTGCCCAGATCCATCAGAGGAATCACTATCTATGGAAGGTATAGCCTCATGAAATGTATTTCTACAATACGACTTGAAAGTTAGGGGCTGGGCATGGTGGATCACACGTGTAATCCCAGCACTTTGAGGCAGGAAGATTGCTTGAGCTCAGGAGTTCAAGGCCAGCCTGGGCAACATGGAGAAACCCCATATCTACAAAAAATTTTTAAAAATTAGTTGGGCATGGTGGCATGTGCCTGTAGTCCTAGCTACTTAGGAAGCTGAGTTGGGAGGATAGCTTGAGCCTGGTAGGCAGAAGTTGCAGTGAGCCACAATCACACCACTGCACTCCAGCCTGAGTGTCAGAACAAGACCCTTTCTTAAAAAAAAAAAAAAAAAGAAAGTTGAAATTACTCCTTGATCCATGGGCTGCAGAATGGTTGTGTTGGCAGGCATAAAAACATTAATCTCCTTGTACATCTCCACCAGAGCTCTTGTGTGACTAGGTGCATTGTCAATGAGCAGTAATATTTTGAAATAAATCTTCTGAGCAGTAGGTCTCAAACGTGGGCTTAAAATATTCAGTAAATCATGCTGTAAACAGATGTGCTGTCATCCACATGTTGTTATTCGTTTATAGAACACAGACAGTGCAGATTTAATGTAATTCTTTTTTTTTTTTTTGAGACGGAGTCTCACTCTGTCACCCAGGCTGGAGTGCAGTGATGGGACCTCGGCTCACTGCAACCTCCGCCTCCTGGGTTCAAGCAATTCTCCTGCCTCAGCCTCCCAAGTAGCTGGGATTACAGGCACGCGCCACCACGCCCAGCTAATTTTGTATTTTTAGTGGGGACGGGGTTTCACCATGTTGGCCAGGCTGGTCTTGAACTCCTGACCTCGTGATCCCCCCTACCTCGGCCTCCCAAAGTGCTGGTATTACAGGCATGAGCCACCATGCCTGGCCTTTTTTTTTTTTTTTAATTTGAGACAGAGTCTCGCTCTATTGCCCAAACTAGAGTGCACTGGCATGATCTCGGCTCACTGCAAACTTTGCCTCCCAGGTTCAAGTGATTCTCCGGCCTCAGTCTCCTGAGTAGCTGGGATTACAGGCACACACCACTACACCCATCTAATTTTTATTTTTAGTAGAGACTGGGTTTCGCCATGTTAGCCAGGCTGGTCTTGAACTCCTGACCGCAGGTGATCCGCTGGCCTCGACCTCCCAAAGTACTGGGATTACAGGCATAAGCCACCATGCCCAGCCTCATGTCTTTACTTCTATATGTTTTTATTCACAGGCAGTAAAAACCTCAATTATCTCTCCATTCAAAAAGTTGGAATATCTCCTCTCTCTCTCTTTTTTTTTTTTTTTTTTTGAGACGGAGTCTCACTCTGTCGCCCAGGCTGGGGTGCAGTGGCATGATCTCACCTCACTGCAACCTCCGCCTCCCAGGTTCAAGAGATTCTCCTGCCTCAGCCTCCCGAGTAGCTGGGGTTACAGTCGCCTGCCATCACACTCGGCTAATGTTTGTATTTTTAGTAGAGATGGAGTTTTACCATGTTGGCCAGGCTAGTCTCAAACTCCTGACCTCAGGTGACCCGCCTGCCTCAGCCTCCCAAAGTGCTGGGATTACAGCCGTGAGCCACCATGCCTGGCCAATCCCCTCTCTTAGAGTGTGGACTAAAGCTGGAGATGGTGGCTCATGCCAGGAGTTCAAGACCAACCTGGACAATATAGTGAAAACCCACCTCTACAAAAAATACAACAAATTGGCTAGGCATGGTGATACACACCTGTAGTTCCAGCTACTCAGGAGGCTGAGCTGGGAGGATTACCTGAGCCCAGAGGCAGAGGTTGCAATGAGCTGTGCTCACACCACTGCACTCCAGCCTAAGTGACAGAGTGAAACTCTGTCTGAAATAAATAAATAAAATGTAAAAAAATAATAAAAAGGAGTGTGGACTAAGTGATTTGCTTCTGAAGACTTGAGTATGGAAAGAGAAAAAAAGATCTTTGCAGGAGAAATATGGTAGACACCAATTTAACAAGCTGATTAAAGTTAACATTGAAACCACCATTGCAAAATTATAACTGAGCTGACCTAACCAACTCCATTTTGCTTCCAACCTCCGAACTGTCCTTGTTCATTCCTGGGCATAGGCTGAACTACCTTTGGGAGGAACTTACTTATAGTTATGGTTTAAAACAAAGATAAGCCAGGCATGGTGGCTCACGCCTATAATCCTAGCACTTTGGGAGGCCAAGGCAGGCGGATCACCTGAGGTCAGGAGTTTGAGACCAGCCTGACCAACATGGCAAAACCCTGTCTCTACTAAAAATACAAAAATTAGTCAGGCATGGTGATGGATGCCTGTAATCCCAACTACTCAGGAGGCTGAGGCAGAAGAATTGCTTGAACCCGGGAGGTGGAGGTTGCAGTGAGCTGAGATTGTGCCATTGCACTCCAGCCTGGGTGACAGAGAGAGACTCTGTCTCAAAACAAACAAACAAACAAAAAACAAAACAATCACAAAAAAAAACAAAGATGATAACAATGATAACAGCCCTTTCCCAAAACAAACCCCCTTCTTGCCTGGGGACTAGACTGCCTTTGTAGGACTAACAAATTAGCCACAAGATTAGAAATTATGGTTTAGGAATCATGCAGCTGGAGGCTCCAAGATTCTGACCCTACCTACACTGTTCCTAATGAAGCAGGATATTTCCCTGACCCCTTCACGGGACTTGCAACAGGGGTGCCTTGTTTACTTAGCCCACCACTCTCAACTCCTTGCAGGAGGAAGCACGCAAGCAAGCAAGGCAGGAATTGGAGTGCACAAGCGCTGGAATTGGCTGGCTGCTTCAGCACCAGTGGGATCAAACTCCACTCACGCAGGCCCATTGTGTTCCACCCCTTGCGGGAGGGAGCACACAGGTGAATGGGTGCAGGAGCCAGAGTGAGTGCTTTTGGGCACCAGCAGCAGTGAAGTTTGTGCAGGCCCCTCAGCAGTGTCCAGGCAGAGGTACCTGCAACTTCCAAAGCCCCAGGGGGCGTGTTACAGTGCTCTTTTAGCTCTGCCATCCATCAGCAACTTTGTTAACAGCTCAGTGGGCCCGCTGCCCTTTCGTGTAGGCAGCTGCCCTCTGCCAGCAAAGGCTAAGGGCCAATAGACAGCCTTTTGAATCCGCACTTGTGGCTCCTGAGCTCTTGTCCAGAGTCCAGGAGAAACGAGGTCACATAAACGAATTGAAGGATGGTCATGCAGGGGATTTTATGACGGATTAAAGTGGCTTATAGCGGGAAGGGGAGCTGAAAAAAAAGATAGAGTGGGTAGGTAATCTTCCCCTGAAGTCAGCTGTCTCTGGCCGGATTGTTCTCTGAAGTTATGCCATCAAACTGTCCCTCTGAAGTCAAGTCACTTCTCTCCAACGTCCAGCCATAGTCCCCAGTGTCCAGCTGCTTCTCCTTTCTGAAGGTGAGTCTGGGGTATTTATAGGCACAGGCTAGGGTAGGGCGGGGTCATAGGTGATTCAGGAAAAGGCAACATTCAAGCGGGAAAACGGGGATATGAGTTCTGACTTTGAGCCGTGGTCTCAGGCTTTTCAGCTTGAGGGTGGGGCTTCACCAGAGACCTGCCCCTGTCTGCCTAGAATTTCTCTGCCTCCTGCCTCTTTCATTGTATCACTAAGATCAGTGCTTGAGATATTTTGCAGACCCTGCACTTGATGGATCAGCTGGAACCACCCTAGATGGATAAATTGGCTCATCTGATCTCGCGGCCCCCATCCAGGAACTGACTCAGCACAAGATGACAATTTCAACTTCCCGTGATTTTATCTCTGACCCAACCAATCAGCACTCTTGACTCACTGACCTTCCCCACTCACCAAATTATTCTTAAAAACTCTGATCCCTTGCCAGGCGCAGAGGCTCATGCCTGTAATCCCAGCACTTTGGGAGGCCAAGGCGGGTGGATCACAAGGTCAGGAACTCTAGACCAGCCTGACCAACATGGTGAAACCCCGTCTCTATTAAAAATACAAAAATTAGCTGGGTGTGGTGGCAGGCACCTGTAATCCCAGCTACTTGGGAGGCTGAGGCAGGAGAATCGCTTCAACCGGGGAGGCGGAGGTTGGAGGAAGCTGAGATCGCACCATTGCACTCTAGCCTGGGCAATAAGAGCGAAACTCTGTCTCAAAAAAAAGAAAAAAACCAACAAACAACTCTGATCCCTGAATGCTCAGGGAGACTGATCTGAGTAATAATACAACTCCATCTCCCACACAGCTGGCTCTGCATGAATTACTCTTTCTCTATTGCAATTCCCCTGTCTTGATAAATTGGCTCTGTCTAGGCAGTGGACAAGGCAAACCCATTGGGCGGTTACAAATTTGGGGCTCGTCTGGGATTGCCCTGTAATTACCTGCCTGTGGTTCAGTAGCCCCCCTCCAGCAATGGATCCAGAGGCCAGCCCAAGCAGCCACCTAGTTCTCTTGGACTGGGGGCTGACTCTGGTACTCTCTACTGGTGGGACACGGTTGACCCAAAGAGATGAATTTGGCAGGGTGTCTGTTTGTAGCTCCATCATAGGTTGTCTGTTTTGTTTGGCTCCTGGGAGGTCTCACTTGGCTCTCCCTAACTAATAGGAAGATTCCTGATTCTGGAGACTTCTCCTTGATGAGGAAGATTTCAGGGAGATTTCTCAGATGGAGAATAGGATAGTTTGGAAGGGATACTCTTGGAATTCTTGGTTAGGGATCTGATTTGGAAGGCCTTCTGTCTGTCATATCTTTGTGTGTGTTTGTATATGTGGAAGGGATCTCAGAAGGAATTGCTGATGGAAGTCCAGCATGCCTAACTCAGAGAACCCTTCTTATTTGTCCGGTGACATTTGGTGAGCCCTGAAGAAAGTTCAATAGGCCTGTCTCGGGGTGTAATTCTCATAATGTGTGTGTGTGTGTGTGTGTGTGTGTGTGTGTGTGTGTGTGTGTGTGTCACACAGGGTCTCACTCTGTCACCCAGGCTGGAGTGCAGTGGCATGATCTCAGCTAACAACAACCCCTGCTGCCTGGGTTTAAGCAATCCTCAGCCTCTCGAGTAGCTGAAGCTACAGGCATGTGCCACCACACCTGGCTAATTTTTGTATTTTTATTAGAGATGGGGTTTCGTCATGCTAGTCAGGCTGGTCTTCAACTCCTGACCTCAGGGTTTTGCCATGTTAGCCAGGCTGTTCTCGAACTCCCAACCTCAAGTCATCTGCCCACCTCAGCTTCCCAAAGTGCTAGGATTACAGACATGAGCCACTGCGCCTGGCTAATTCTCACAATTTGGAAGGCTAAGGTGGGAGCATCACTGGAGCTCAGAAGTTCAAGCCCATCCTGGGCAACATAGGGAGACCCCTGTATCTACAAAAAAATTTAAAAATTTAGCCAAGTGTAATAGCTGGACCTGAGGTAGGAGGATTGCTTGAACCCAGGGGGATGAAGCTGCAGTTAGCCATGATCTCGCCAACTGCACTGCAGCCTGGGCAACAGAGTAAGACCTTGTCTCAAAAACCAAAAATACAATCTCATATAATTTCACACTTCATTAGTGTCTTAGTTTGGGCAGCTATAACAAATTACCATAGATAGAGTGGCTCCAATTACAATCATATATTTCTCACAGTTGTGGATGCTGGGAAGTCCAAGATCAAGGTGCTTGCAGATCCCATGTCTGGTGAACCCCAGCTTCCTGATTTGCATCATCTTGCTGTGTCCTCCCAGGGTGGAGAGTATAAAGAGAGAGGAAGCCAGCACATTTCATGACTTCTAATAAGGGCATCAATCCCATCATGAGGGCTCCACCCTTATGATCTAATTACCTCCCAAAGCCTCCACATTCTATTAGCATCCCATTGTGGTTTTCTTTTTCTCTTTTCTTTTTTTTTTTTTCTTTTTTCTTTCTTTTTTTTTTTTTTTTTGAGATGGAGTCTTTCTCTGTCACCCAGGCTGGAGTGCAATGGAGTGATCTCAGCTCATTGCAATCTCTGCCTCCTGGGTTCAAGCAATTCTCCTGCCTCAGCCTCCCAAGTAACTGAGACTGCAGGTGCATGCCACGAAGCCCAGCTAATTTTTGTGTTTTTAGTATAGATGGGGTTTCACTATGTTGGCCAGGCTGGTCTCAAACTCCTGACATCAAGTGATCCACCTGCCTCGGCCTCCCAAAGTGCTGGGATTACAGGCATGAGCCACTGCAACTGACCCTGTTGGGGTTTAAGCTTTCAACAAATGACTTTGAAGGGGACACAAATATGTAGCTCATAACACTGAGTCACCTTATTGATACAGAATGCCTGGGGTCCCAGCTAAACCCACTCTAAGCCTGGCCCTAAGTGAAAACAGCTGACTCCATTTTTCCACCCAAACGCTGCCTTTTTGGTCTGCCCTGCCCCTATGCTGTGCCCACAAAGAACATCAGCCGGCAAAGCAAAAAAAAAAAAAAAAAAAAAAAAATAGCTAAGCGTGGGGGATACAAGCGGCTGAATGGCAAGCAGAGAAGCAGCAACTGAGCATTGGAAACTACGGATAGACACAGCTAACTTCAGATGGTGCGGCTTCAAGGAAAGATCCCTTCTTCCCACACCATCCCCTTTCCAACTCCCATCCCACTGAGAGCCACATCCATCACCCAATAAAATCCTCTGCATACACTACCCTTCAATCTATTCATGTGACCTGATTCTTCCTGGATGCCGAACAAGAACCTGGGTTCTTGAACACTGCACAGAGCCTGCTCCCACCAGAGAGGAGTGACTGGGTGGTTCCAGCATTCATTCCCTCCGGTTCCCACATTCACTTGCTCACATGCTACCTCTCGTGAGGAGTGGCCAGCGGTGGGCTGAGTAAAAAGAGCCATTCCTGTTCCCACTCATGACGGGGGTCAAGGTCAAGGGAACAATCCCATTTCACTATGACAACCATACTCCTTTTTTTTTTTTTTTTTTGAGATGGAGTCTGGCTCTGTCGCCCAGGCTGGAGTGCAATGGTGTGATCTCGGCTCACTGCAACCTCTGCCTCCTGGGTTCAAGCGATTATGCCGCCTCAGCCTCCTGAGTAGCTGGGATTACAGTCATATGCCACCATGCCTGGCTAATTTTTGTATTTTTAGTAGAGACCGAGTTTCACCATGTTGGTCAGGCTGGTCTGAAACTCCTGACCTGGTGATTCGACCATCTCGGCCTCCCAAAATGCTGGGATTACAGGCATGAGCCACTGTGCCCGGTCTGACAACCATACTACTTTTCTAAGTTGTATTGTAGAAGCAGAAAACATATGTCGAGGCAGAAATGATGAGATGTTCACCTGGGATAAGAGATTTATGCTACTTTTCTACTGTGTAGTTCTTGCTGGGAAGAGGCTTCTCAGGCAGGGACTTCATTTCCTAGGCCTCTGAGAAAAGAAAAATAACTCAGAGCACCCTGTGGTATGGGAAGTATGTAAAATTCAGCAGGCCAGAAAGACATGAGTAGAGGACTTCAGCCATGCCCTGCCATGCCCATGCCTGAGGACAATTGTTTAAAGATATTTTGTTCCTGACTAGCTGCCTTACCCATTATCATTGAATTCCTGGAATTTGTGATGCAAAGAACAATGTACGGCCAATCAATAGCTTATGTTATTTGAATATAAATTCTTGGGAAGCAAGTTAGGAATTACCTTTTCTTTTTCTTAAAAACCTACTTGGCTGGGGGCTGGGGGGTAGTTTTGGGATGAGACAAGCACATTAGTTATTGTGTACTTTATTTCTATTATTATTATATTGTAATATATAATAAAATGATTATATAACTCACCATAATGTAAAATCAGTGGGAACCCTGAGCTTGGTCACCTGCAACTAGACAGTCCCATCTGGAGGCGATGGGAGATAGTGACAGATCATCAGACATTAGATTCTCATAAGGAGCCCACAACCTAGATCCCTGGTATGCACAGTTCACAATAGGGTTCATGCTCCTATGAGAATCTAATGCTGCCACTGATCTGACAGGAGGCGTGGCTCAGGTGGTAATATGAGCAATGGGGAGTGGCTGTAAATGCAGATGAAGCTTTGCTTGCTCACCTGCTGCTCACCTCCTGCTGTGCAGCCTGGTTCCTAATGGGCCACAGGTGGTACTGGTCCATGGTTCAGGGGTTGGGGACCCCAATGTATAGTATTATTCTTACTTTGTAAAATAAAATGCATGTGTATTAATTTATGAAAAATAAGCATGAAGAATGAATCTGTAAAATGATATACCAAATTATTAGCAATGTCATCTGGAACCATATGATTCTCCTTTTATTTTCATTTATAAAAATATCTGTATGTCTAATTTTTTTACACTGGATATATAGCATGTGTTCAATAAAGAAATAGGAAGGAAGAAAGGGGGGGAGGGAGGGAAGGAGGGAGGGAGGGAGGGAGGGAATGCATTCACACCCACACCTTTATATATATATATTTTTTTTTTTTAAATAGAGACAGCATCTCACTGTGTTTCTCAGGCTGGCCTTGACCTTATGAGCTCAAGCAATCCTCTTACCTTGTCCTCTCAAACTTGTGGGATTATGGGTGTGAACCACCACAGCCCGCCCACATCTTTATATCTTTTGAAAAAAATCAAGATACTGTATTTTTACATTGCAAGATCATAGGGATCATTACACCCAAGTAGATGTTACATCCTCCATCCAAGAGTCCTTTGAAACACTTAAGTTTATTTGAGTGAGAGTGCATAACCATTGCTCTGAACAAAAGGGGCACACATACTAGTGTGTACTCTCTCTTTAAAAAGCACCATGAATATTACAACATCTACTCTCCCTTTTGTGATCAGGAAGAAACTTAAAACGAGCTCTTGTGGGTAGGGACCAGGTAGAATCTCTTCCTTCTATTCCTGCTTCTGGCATTGAGCATTGTTACAATGGGGATGTCAAGACTGGGACTAGCCAGTGCAGTGTCAGTGGTCACCATGTGAATGGCTCACCCTGTGTGTGTGCATGTGCATGTGTGTCTCTGTGATTGAGTGCACATATGCGCCTGCACATGTCTTTTTCATGGCAG
Source organism: Homo sapiens (assembly GCF_000001405.40). Lineage (NCBI taxonomy): Eukaryota > Metazoa > Chordata > Mammalia > Primates > Hominidae > Homo > Homo sapiens. Next base: position 101,860,866 of record NC_000012.12, on the reverse strand, counting down.
AGGCCCCTCACCTGTGAATGGATTCTAGGCCCTGTTCGCTGGTGTGGAGGGAAGCACTCCTTTATAGAAACTGGGGACACTTCAACATGTTCTCAGTGAGTTTTGGATAAGACAGAGATTACACAGCGAGCTGGAGACTTTTCTGAGCTATACTTACTTATATATAACTAACCTCCAAAGATACACTGTTCATTTCTTTGTGGATCATTCATCTGGCAAGCTTCTGTTCTTTCTTCACGTTATTCTCCTAGAATGTAAGCTTCATGCAGGTAGGAATATCTTTCTCCTTTATTCACTACTGTATACCCAGGCTTGGAGCTGGGCTTGACATAGGCACTTAATAAATGCTTGTGGATTGTATTCTCCTCAGCAATGGCCTTCTTCAGGAAGCCCTTCCTAACAGCCCCAAAGTGTGACCTCTGTGTCACTTCTCTGTATCCTCAGGCTCTTTATATTACAGATTTCACAATGTTAACTTGTCAACCTAGTGGATAGACTCTAGACTCTAAATGTTGTGAGCAGGAATTGAATCTTACATATTTCTATTTCCAGTGCCAAGCACCAGCACAAAATAAGTGGTTAATACATGTTTATTGAAAACATGTGTACAGATAGATGCATGCTTGATAGTAGTTTGACACTATTACCTATAGAATCTGATGCTATACATTTGTACATACCAGCAGCATAGTAGCACCTCATAAAAGGTACTGTAAACCCTGTGAGTACAGACATCAGAAGGAAGAAGCAAAGGTTTAAAATTTTTCATTACTCAAAGGGAGAGAGCACCAGTGCCCTTTGTGGGAATGACACTTGACTGTTTTAAGGATAATCTGATTATTACAAGTTATTACAAGTTTGGGCAATGGCATTAAATACATCTTAAGTTTCATATTTTTTGGCAGATGCTTTCATGCTACCAGAGATGAAGAAAAAAAGCACATTTGAGAAATTTGGGAATTTCCATTATGACAATGTGAGAAATTCTTGTAAGTTTTAAGAGGTCAGGTTTTTTTTCTCCCTTCCCCTTATGAATAGTTTCTAAATTACCTCATGAATATAGGAACTCATATGATCTGACTTTCTCAGTTTAGCTAATCATAAATCTCTATTTACTTCAACAATTCTACATAGGGTATTCCTACAAGGTGCAGTTCATGTTTTAGTTGTCATTATCTGCAGACAAACTGAGTATGATACTCCCATTCACAAAGATCTCATTGATTTATCTCTCCACACAGTGAATACATTACAAAAGGAGGAAAAGATTTTGTCAGGTTTTTTTGTTTGTTTTTTTGTTTGTTTGTTTGTTTTTTGATACAGAGTCTCCTTCTGTTGTCCAGGTTGGAGTGCAGTGGCGTGATCTTGGCTCACTGCAAACTCTGCCTCCCAGGTTCAAGCGATTCTCCCCCTTCAGCTTCCCGAGTAGCTGGGACTATAGGCGCCCACCACCATGCCTGGCTAATTTTTGTATTTTCAGTAGAATCGGGGTTTCTCTGTGTTGCCTGGGCTGGTCTCAAAATCCTGACCTCAGATGATCCACCCGCCTCGGCCTCCCAAAGTGCTGCAATTACAGGCATGAGCCACCACTCCTGGCCACAGTTGTTTTTCTTTTTATATCTGATATGAATTGGACAAGAATTGAAAGTGGCTATGATAATGACAAAAAGTTCAGAAGGTAATTGTTTGCTTCCCTGCTCAAGGACAAAGAGAGGAGGATTCTTTTGAGAGAGGGGTTTCTTTCATAATTCTTTTACTTAAAAATTAATATCTTGCTGGGCACAGTGGCTCATGCCTGTAATCCCAGCACTTTGGGAGACCAAGGCAGGAGGATCACTTGAGGTTAGGAGTTTGAGACCAGCCTGGCCAAAATGGTGAAACCCCATCTCTACTAAAAATACAAAAATAAGTCGGGCGTGGTGGCATGCACCTGCAGTCCCAGCTACTCAGGAGGCTGAGGGAAAAGAATCACTTGAACCCTGGAGGCAGAGGTTGCGGTGAGCCCAGATCAAGCCACTGCACTCCAGCCTGGGAGACAGAAAGAGACTTTGTCTCAAAAAATATGTAATAATAATAATATTAATTAATGTCTTATTCAGAAACCACTATCCAGGATCCATGATTAATTCATTCAAAAGTTGATTGAGGATGTACAATTTGTCATTGTGCTTTGTGATCAAGAATATGGAAAGGAAACACTCAGTGCCTGAATTCAAGGTCATGGTGTTCAAATGAACTTGATTCATCTAGGGGATAAGTGGTCCAGTGTGACTGGAACACATGAGGATAAGGCTGGGGAGACTGGTGGTGATGACATTATAAAGGACCTTGTGTAACATGCTAAGGAGATTGGATTTTGCCCTGAGAGCAACAAGGAGAGCTCATGAGTAGGGTGGTGTCATCACCAAGTTTATTTTTTGTGGTGATAACTCCGGCAACCCTTAGATAGATTGGACTAGAGATAGCATTAGCGATTAACATCAGGAGGGTCGTTTTAAGAAATGCTAAAAACCTAATTTAAGGCAGTAGATTGTGGATGGAGAAAAAGGATTTGCTGGCCAATTGGATGAGCAGAGTAAGAGATAGAAGAGTTGAAGAAGAGGAGAAGTTGGTTCTAGTTTGAAAGGCTCAATGAACTGGGCATGGTGTCTAGTGCCTGTATGCCCAACACTCTGGGAGTCTGAGGCGGGCAGATCACTTGAGGCCAAGAGTTCCAGACCAGCCTGGCTAACGTTGTGAAACCCCATCTCTACTAAAAATAATACAACATGTAGGCCAGCATGGTGGTGCACATCTGTAATCCCAGATACTTGGGAGGCTGAGACATGAGAATTGCTTGAATTTGGGAGGTGGAGGTTGCAGTGGGCCAAGATGGTGACACTGCACTCCAGCCTAGGTGACAGAGTGAGACTGTCTCAAAAAAAAAAAAAAAAAGGATCAGTGAATATTAATCATTAATTGAGCCAGGGAATAGAAGAAGTCTGGAGGATTATGAATTTGGTTTTAGACATCCAACAGTTTGAGATGTCTGTAGGACACCTAGGTGAAGACAACTGCTAGATAGTTGGAAATTGACTTGGGAAACATCAGTGGAAAGGGGTTGGTATATATGAGATTACCAAAGAGCAAATGCTGCAGTGGAATCAGCACAAAGGGGAAAAGAAGAGGTCGGTTTGGGCAGATAAGCAGTCACTGGCAATCTTTGTAGGAATTTCAGGAGAGTGGTACAGATAGAAGCTGGATTGCATGGAACTGAAAAGTAAAGCAGTAGGTTCAGACTTCTATTCCAAGAAGATAGGTGGAGAAGCACAAGAAGACAAAATGGAGAGATACATTTGGGGGTTAGAACAGAATGCTTTCTGAGAGAGAATATGAAGACATAGCAGAAGTAAGTGATGAAGCAAGAGCAGGAGGAGGAGGAAGGAATTAATAGTAACAAAAATGTGTTTACTTCTCAGAAAATTTTCAGGTTTACCCATCTCAGCCATGTAATTCATGTGCCTGTGCTTAGACCGGATATATCATTCAGGAGTTCTTTCCATTCTGGCTAATTATAATGACCCCAAATCCTAAGGGGCTGGAGAGTTACATAATAGCACTGTAATGCATTGCAGTTCCAGTGAGAGGTTAACATGTGACTCAATGAATAACTCAGCTTGCTGACACATTTATGGACAATGAGCCATCTGAGCATTTCAGAAAAAATTATAGATCTACAGAAAGGTTCCTTAGAGGTCATCTAGTCTAATGCCTTGGATTTGTGCAAGAGGAAACTGTAAAACCAGAGAGGTAATGTGTGCATACTCACATATTATTTAGTGGCAGTCTCCTTCATAATGATCATAATCCAGGTTTTATGGTCTCATCCAGGACCTTTGTCCTCACATTTCTTTGGTTAAAGAATTAAAATAAGAGGCCGGGGGCAGTGGCTCACACCTGTAATCCCAGCACTTTGGGAGACTGAAGAGGCAGTATCACTTGAGGTCAGGAGTTCGAGACCAGCCTGGCCAACAGGGTGAAACCCCATCTCTACTAAAAATACACAAATTAGCCATGCGTGGTGTTGTGCACCTGTAGTCCCAGCTTTCAGGAGGCTGTGGCAGGAGAATCACTTGAGCCCGGGAGGTGGAGGTTGCAGTGAGCTGAGATCACGCTACTACACTCTAGCCTGGGTGACAGAGCAAGACATCATCTTTGAAAAAAAAAAAAGAATTAAAATAAGAAAAGTCTTATTTAAGATTGGCTCAAATTACTCATCAGCAGACCAAAATCTGAAGCATTAAGTATTCTGATTACTTTTTTATGTTTATTTTTTATAAACAGGTCTTTGTGGCAGAATGCATTCCAATTCCTATCAAGTGCAGTTTTCAGTGCTTTTGCTCAATTCTGTCGTTATTATGTCATCATTAATATGTATTGAGCTCCAATGTTTCAATATCAAAATTTAAATATTATGTGTTAGCCTGTTCTCATGCTGCTGTAAGGACATATCTGAGCCTGTGTAATTTATAAAGGAAAGAGGTTTAACTGGATCACAGTTCCACAGGGCTTGGGAGGCCTCAGGAAACTTATAATCATGGCAGAAGGGGAAGTAAACATGTCCTTCTTCACATGGTGGCAGCAGGAAGTGCAGAGTGAAGGTGGTGTAGGGGGGACGCTCTTTAAAACCATCAGATCTGGGGAAACTCACTCACTATCACGAGAACAGCATGGGGGTAACTGCCTCCATGATTCAATTACCTTCTACTAGGTCTCTCCCATGACACGTGGGGATTATGGGAACTCTAGTTCAAAATGAGATTTGAGTGGGGACACAGCCAGACCATATCATATATCTTAGCTATGTAAAAACATGTACTCTTGATTTTGTATAATTAATCTAAAAAGAGAAGAGGAGCAGAAGACACTCAAATTTGATAGTTAAAGGGTGATATAAATGTTGTACCTCCCCAAATAGTTTTTTCTCTATAAACTTTTTCCCGTTCTTGCAAACATTCCTCACTTTGGGACTAGGAGATGTTTATTGCCTCAGGGAAAAGAAAGAGAAGAACTAGCTTTAGGTCAAGGAAGAAAAACAAAAATTCTAAAAGGGACGTCTACCCAGAGGGAAGCCTTCCTCTGGTCTAGTGGTGCAGGGTGTAGAAGATGTGCAGGAAGAGATTAGACACCAAGACCCTTGCTTTACACATAGCTCCTTCTCCCTGTTGAAACTCAAGGGGTTGTAGTGATAAGTGTTAGCCAGCTTGCTTTAGGCAGACAGTAAGGGAAGGGTCCCCGGAGAACCTCCCACCCACCCTACAAGTGCTTACACCAGATGTTTTGTGCAGATAAGGGAACTTGCACGGGGAGCTTGCCTAAACATGCCTGCAGTGGAAAATTCCATTCCTTAACACATACACAGTAAGGGAAATAAATCAATATGGAGCTGCTCAGTCCAAGGGCCTGCATCAGCACTGGAAGGACAGGGTGGAGCCACCAGAAATTCATGCCTTAAGCCCTGGTATTCAACTGTGAAGGGGGCAACCAGTAAACTGCTTTCAGGTCCCCTCTTTTTGCTGAGAGCTTTCCTTTCACTTAATAAATTCTGCTCCACTCACTCTTCAAGTGTCTGCATGCCTAATTCTTCCTGGTTGTGAGATGAGAACCCAGACCTAGTGGTGGTAAGGAATAAAAAATCCTGCATCAGTAGCTGATTAGAAAAGTGAAAACCCAGTTTATGTTGAAGAGAGAAAATATATGTAAAGACAGATTTAACCTGACTTCTTGTTTTGAAATGGAGAGAACACCACTGCAGAGTGCACCTAGGCTTACGGTGATGTAATGGTAGCCTAATTAGCCTAATTCAACAGTGCAGACCTCCCTTGATGACTTGGAAGAGAGTCAAAAGACCCCTTTTCAGCATCCTTTTTGGGGAAGTGAAAGGTAATTGAGTGTGACCTGCCATTGGGTCACCATGAGGAAGTGGGTAGACAGGGACCTGATAACCTCTACCACATGTCTGAGGGAGGCAGTGGCTGAGCCTTGAAGGGATGCAAAAGTGAGGTCAAGTCACATTTGTAGATCAATGGGCCCTACCACAACTGATATGGTTTGGCTGTGTCCTCACCCAAATCTCACCTTGAATTGTAATAATCCCCAGGTGTCAAGGGCAGGGACAGGTGGAGATAATTGAATCATAGGGCATTTTCACCCATACTATTCCTGTGGTAGTGAATAAGTCTCTCAAGATCTGATGGTTTTATAAAGGGCAGTTTCCCTGCACAAGCTCTCTTGCCTGCCACTGTGAAAGACATGCCTTTGCTCCTCACTCGTCTACCGCCATGATAGTGAGGCCTCCCAGCCATGCGGAACTGAGTCAACTAAACCTCTTTTCTTTATAAATTACCCAGTCTCAGGTATGTCTTTACTAGCAGTGCGAGAACAGACTAATATACGCCAACCAAGAGGACAGACCAATAGTCATACTGCACACTCTAGCAGCAAATGTCCCCAGTGTCCCAGTGGCTGAGCATAACCAGGGTATCAATACTAAGTTGAGCAAAAACCTTGAAGCCTACAAGGATTCCAAAGCCTATGGAGAGACTCATTTATGGGTAAATGTGCCAAGAGTGCACATGGCTTGCCCATGGAACCCTGACACCTTGAAAAGTAAGAGAAAGAAGGATGAAATGGCTCTGATGTGGAGTTAAATATTAGATTATTTAATATTTACTCAGCAAGAGATAATCTTAACCATCTTGCAGAGACTAACGGACCTTTATTTGACAAGTTTAACTCCTGCGGCATCCTACTTCTCTGCCTTCCTCCTCCCTCAAACCAAATGGAGTTTACTGAGAATGTTTAGATCAATTATAAACAGAGACAAAGGAGTAACAGTTGTGGCCTATGGGAGTTGCGGTATTTAAATTTTTAACCTTATGCTGAGCATGGTGGCTCACACCTATAATCCCAGTATTTTGGGAAGCTGAGGCAGGTGGATCACTTGAGGCCAGGAGTTCGAGACCAGCTGGGCCAACATGGCAAAACCTGTCTCTACTAAAAATACAAAAAAAATTGGCTGGACGTGATGGCTCCTACCTGTAATCCTAGCACTTTGGGAGGCCAAGGCGGGCGGATCACCTGAGGTCAGGAGTTCGAGACCAGCCTGGCCAGCATGGCGAAACCCCGCCTCTACTAAAAATACAAAAATGAGCTGGGCGTGGTGGTGGGGAGCCTGTAATCCCAGCTACTTGGGAGGCTGAGAGAGGAGAATTGCCTGAACCCGGGAGACAGAGGTTGCAGTGAGCAGAGATCGCACCACTGCACTCCAGCCTGGGCAACAAAGAGCGAAACTCTGTCTAAACAAAAAAAAAAAAAAAAAATGAGCTGGGCGTAGGGGTGCAGGCCTGTGATCCCAGCTACTCAGGAGGCTGAGGCAGGAGAATCACTTGAACCTGGGAGGCAGAGGTTGCAGTGAGCTGAGATCACGCCACTGCACTTCAGCCTGGGTGACAGAGGAACACTGTCTCAAAAACTAATAATAATAAAATAACAAAATGAATAAATAAAATTTTAACCTTATAACACTTGCTATGTATCAGGCACCATGCTGAGATCTTTATGTGCATTATCTCATTTGATCCACACAGCAGCCTTGTAAGTTATTATTATACCCATTTTACACATGAGGAAACTGAGACTTAGAAATGATAAGAGGAGACCTGGTATCAAGTCACACTGATTGATTCCAGAGGCTATGTTTTTGATGTTTCCCTGTAGGTCTCTATGTTTTCCCTGTAGGTCAAGTAGGATACTTAATGAAAGAATAAACACTTCAATCATCACTGATTGATTGAGGTTTTATATACCACCCTAAACTTTTATGTCTCTGAAATTCCAAGTGTCATTCATTCATTCAACAAATATTTTTGAGTACTTACTATGTGTCAGTCCCTGGGCTTAGCAATAGGTGTATAATGGTTAATAAACTGCATTTGACAAAATCGGGGTGGTCACCCAAAAGGAAATCAGGATCTCTTGCCCTGATGTTGAACCTAAGTCAGTTTTCAGACCTGGTACTGGTGGACTGAAGAGGTGGCCAGGTCCCCAGAATAAAGAACCCTGAAACATCATCTTGAGTATATTCTGTAATGATTTTCAGTCCTTTATCAAAAAGACCAGTGGTCATTTACTGAGGTAGCTGTGCACTGGGGAAAGAGGAATACCCAGAGGCATTCAAGGACTATTCAACACGGACTGAGCTGACACTGAGATTTGGAGTCCTGAAGCATTATCATGTGTTGTTTGTCTTTGTCTTTTAGTGTTTAAGTTAATAATAGGTACATCACACACTTAACATATATGAGTTTCAAACATTTTTTCAGGGCTGGGTGTGGTGGCTCATGCCTATAAACCCAGCACTTTGGGAAGTCCAGGTGGGCAGATCACTTGAGCCCAAGAGTTCCAGACCAGCCTGGGTGACATGGTGAGACCCCATCTCTAGAAAAACAAACAAACAAACACACACACACACACACACACACACACAAACCAAGAAATTAGCCAAGCACGGCTATTTAGGAGCTATTTAGGAGGCTGAGATGGGAGGATCACTGGAGCTTATGAGGCGGAGGTTCCAGTGAGCTGAGATCACACCACTGCACCCCAGCCTGGGGGACAGAGTGAGACCCTGTCTCAAAACAAGCCACAAAAACAAAAACACAAATTTTAAAAATAGATCTAGATTTGTCATTCTTCAAAATAAGGTTTTAATTGGTTTTAGATTTTCTTTTTTTTCTTTTTTTTTGTTTTTTGAGATGGAGTCTTGCTCTGTAACCCAGGTTGCAGTGCAGTGGTACGATCTCAGCTCACTGCAACCTCTGCCTCCCATGTTCAAGCAATTCTCCTGCCTCAGCCTCCCTAGTAGCTGGGATTACAGGAGCACGCCACCACGCCCAGCTAATTTTTGTATTTTTAGTAGAAACGGGGTTTCACTGCGTTGGCCAGGCTAGTCTCGAACGCCTGACCTCAGGTGATCCACCTGCCTTGGCCTCACAAAGTGCTGGGATTACAGGTGTGAGCCTCCATGCCTGGCCAAATTTGCATTTTTTAGGCTACATTATTTCTAGCAGATATAGATTTATTTCCAGTTTAAGACAAAAAGACATTGTGCATGATCCAGTATGTTGTAAAGATTCACTTACTGCCTTTATCTAATAACTTCTGGTTTTTCATAAAATACTGACATCTTAATTGGAAATTTTTTTCACATAACTAATTATTTGTTTGCATTTTCAGAAATGTATAAAAGATCAATCCAAAGTTCAGAATAATCTCTTTTTTTTTTTTTTTTGAGACGGAGTCTGGCTCTGTCACCCAGGCTGGAGTGCAGTGGTAGGATCTCCGCTCACTGCAAGCTCCGCCTCCCGGGTTCATGCCATTCTCCTGCCTCAGTCTCCTGAGTAGCTGGGACCAGCCAGCGCCACTGCACTTCAGCCTGGGCAACAGAGCTAGACTCAGTCTCGAGGAAGAAAAAAAAGAGAAGTTTCTGTGTAATCTGCCCCTTAATTTGCAAGTAATTAAAGGTGGATATAAATATGACTGTGGAACTGCCTCTGAGCTGCTACTCTGGGCACACTGCCTATGGGGTGGCCCTGCTCTACGACAAGCAGTCCCTTTGCTGCTGCTGTACACTGCCAGTTCAAGAAAAGTTGCTATTTAACACCACCAGCTCACCCTTGAATTCTTTCCTGGGTGAGGCCAAGAATCCTCCCAGGCTATGACCCAATTTTTGGGCTCGCCTGCCCTGCATCAGTACAAACAGACCCTGGAAACTACTCAGCAGTAAAGATTAAATAACTACCGATACATGAAACAACATGGATGTATCATAAAAGCATTACGCTAAGCCAGGCACAAACGCTATTCACTGTATGATTCCATTTATGTGACATTCTAGAGAATATAAGACTACAGGTACAAGAAATCGATTTCCAGAGACTCAGAGTGAAAAAAGGAGATTGATCTCAAAGGGCACAAGTGATGTTTTTTGGGGGAGGTTGCTGGTAGAATAGTTTTCTTATCTTGATTGTGGGGGTGGTTACACAACTGTACACCTTTGTCAGAAGTCATTGCATTTTAAAAGGATGAATTTTACTGCATGTAAATAATACCTCAATAAATCTGACTTTTAAACAAGTATGAAAATATATCCTTACTATTGGCCTAACTCAAAATCATTAAATGTATTGAAATCACAGACTGATTAACATTTAGTGATGGAAGGGGTTGGAAGTCTATGAAACTGCTATGCTCATACATTTAATAGATGAAAAGGTGGAGGGAAAAAAAAGCTGTTTCATCTCAGTAGTAATTAGGGAAAGACAACTTAGAACACAAATGGAGGTTTCTCAGTTTCATCAAGTCTCCATCTCAGGGCCTTTGCATATCCTGCCTGAAATGATCATTCCCCAGAGTTTCACATGGCTCTCCCTCACTTCATTCACATGTGCTAAAAAGTCACTTCCTCTGAGACCCTTCCTGATGACACTATCTAACCCTTCATTTCATCACTCTCTACTTCCTTATTCTGCTTTATTTTTCTTCATCACACTCATCATCACCTAACACTATATTGTATAGTAATTTACCGATTTCTTTATTGACTGTCTATCCTTAGTAGATTATACACTTAGCAGATTGTATACAATATCTACAGGGGAAGGAATTTTTTTTATTGTTCATCAATTGTGTCTTTGGCCTAGCACAATGCTTGTAACATAATTGGTACTCAATGAATATTTGTTAAATAATTAAATGAATAAATGTATGAATGAGAAATGATTTTATATAGGTAGTTTTCTTTCACTGGATGTGTAAAACTTAGAATGTTCTGGGAGATACAAAAAATTGGGTCCTTTTTTTTTTTTTTTTTTTTTTTTGGGACATGGTCTCATTCTGTTACCCAGCCTGGACTACAGTGATGAGATCACAGCTCACTGCGGTCTCAGCCTCTGGGGTTCAAGCAATCCTTCCATCTCAGCCTCTTGAGTAGCTGAGACTACAGACGCATGTCACCAGGCCCAGCTAATTTTTGCATTTTTTGTAGAGATGGAATTTCACCACATTGTCCAGGCTGGTCTTGAACTCCTGAGCTCAAGCGATCTGCCCCCATTGGCCTCCCAAAGTGCTGGGATTATGTGCCTGAGCCATCATGCCTTGCCAGAAATTTAGTACTATTATATTCCATAGAGGAACGGAGACTGGCACAGTGTTTTTGGAGGGCAGTTAACCGATATCTATCAACATTAAAATGTGTGTACTTTTTTGATTCAGTAAGTCTATTTCTAGAGTCTATTTGACAGAAATATTTAGAAATATGTACAGAGATATACAAACAAGGATCTTCACTGTATCATTAAATGTAACAGTGAAGAATTAGTTAAAAAGTAAGGGAATTAGGCCAGGTGTGGTGGCTTACGCCTGTAATCTCAGCATTTCGGGAGGCCGAGGCTGGTGGATCACCTGAGGTCAGGAGTTCGAGACCAGCCCGGACAACGTGGCAAAACCCTGTCTCTACTAAAAATATAAATATTAGCCGGGCATGGTGTTGGGTTCCTGAAATCCCAGCTACTTGGGAGGCTGAGGCAGGAGAATCACTTGAACTTGGGAGGCGGAGGTTGCAGTGAGCCGAGATCGTACCACTGCACTCCAGCCTGGGTGACAGAGCATGACACCAGCTTGGAAAAAAAAAAAAAAAAGTAAAGGAATTATTATTACATTTAAGCTAATTCAGTGGAATATTTTGCACCTGTAAAGAAAGAATAGGGTAGATTACATGTTATTAACACGGAGACAATGCACTAGAGGACCGTACAGAGTAATAGTGCAGTTTTTGGGCTCTGGAGCTGAGCTGTCTGGGTTTATACCCCAGCTTTGCCATTTACTAGCACTGTGTTCTTGGGCAAGTTACTTAATTTCTCTGTGTCTCAGTCTCATCTTCTGCCACACAAGGACTGCAGTTGTTCTCACCTTATAGAGTTAAATTTATTAATAATTGAAAGTACTTAGAACAGTGTCAGGAATATGGTAGGCACACAATAAATAACTTTATTATTATGCTGTTATAATAATAATTTTTATATGTTTTACTACTAATTGTTATTATTACTACTATTATAGAAATAGTTTCAAACGCTGCATTAGAGTAAGCTTTTCTAGGATGAGTTACGAAGTGTGTTTGTTTTGCTTGTCATTGTAACCCCAGAGCCTAGCCAAGTATTTGGCACATAGTAAACCGTTAATAAATATTGACTTATTGAATGATAATATATTTATACCACAAGCTGTAGAACAATATGTATAATATGCCCTTTAAAAGGTAATTTGGCAGGGTACAGTGGCTCACGCCTGTAATTCCATCACTTTGGGAGGCCACGGCAAGCAGATCGTTTGAGATCAGGAGTTTGAAACCAGCCTGGCCAACATGGCGAAATCCCATCTCTACCAAAAATACAAAACACTAGCTGAGTGTGGTGGTGCATGCCTGTAATCCCAGCTAATCGGAAGGCTGAGGCAGGAGAATCACTTGTACCCAGGAGGCACAGGTTGCAGTGAGCTAAGATTGTGCCACTGTACTCCAGCCTGGGCAACAGAGCAAGACTCCGTCTCAAAAAAAAAAAAGAGTAACTTATTTTTATTTTTTGAGACAGAGTTTCACTCTTGTTGCCCAGGCTGGAGGGCAATGGTGTGATCTCGGCTCACCACAACCTCCAACCTCCGCCTCAACTCCTCCGCTTCAACCCCTCCGCCGGGTTCAAGTGATTCTTCTGCCTCAGCCTTCCTGAGTAGCTGGGATTACAGGCATGCACCACCACACCCAGCTAATTTTGTATTTTTAGTAGAAGTGGGGTTTCTCCGTGTTAGTCAGGCTGGTCTCAAACTCCTGACCTCAGGTGATCCACCCACCTTGGCCTCCCAAAGTGCTGGGAGTACAGGCGTGAGCCACTGCGCCCAGCCGAAAAAGAGTAATTTAATGCTAAAGTGTTTAGAGATGAAGTATATTCACCTCTGCAACTTACTCCGAAATACATTTTTCAAAAGATGAATTATTGATGAATGGGAATTCGCATAGATGGCTGGATAGATATGTGATAAAGCAAATAAGACAAAATGTTAATAGTAGAATCTAAGTGGTGGGTACATGAGAGTTTCAGTGTACAAGGCTTTCAACTTTTGTGTATGAGACTGTGTGTGTGTGTGGTATGTGTATGTGTGTGTGTGTGTGTTCACCTGCACGTGCATACGTTTAGTTAGCATGGAAGAGATTGATCGTACAGGGTTTCTCAGCAGGGGGTGCTAGCAGCATTCCACGTTCTGGAACATTGCTCTGTTGCTTGGGAGCCTACTGGACATACCACAGTTGTTAACATCCCTGAGCACTATGCCCTCAACGAGTAGTAGAGCTACTCACTGTGACAACCAAAAATGCTCTTCCACATTTCCAAATGCCCAAGTGTTAAGAACCATAATCCACATGAAACTGGTGACTATGATTACTTCTATGCAGTTTCATTTGAGGGATCTAGGGGTAAGGGAAGGAAGTAGAAAAAGAGAATATTACTCGTGTTGTACTTGTAATAAAACAAATGCTTACACTTTTTTTAAAAAAGCAACTACATTACAGAAAATAATTGTCTGGAACAATACAATAGCTAACTCCTTAGGAGGGAGAACAAGGCCTTGGAGAGAAGGAAGTCTTTAACTTTTTACTCTATGCACTTTTAATTGCTTTTATTTTTATGAGTATGAATTGTTTTAGAATAATATAATTTTTTTTTCTAGGGATGGGGTCTCGCTATGTTGGCTAGGGTGGTCTCAAACTCCTGGCCTCAAGCAATCCTCCCACCTCAGCCTAGCACTCCCAAAGTACTAGGGTTTTTTTTTGTTTTCTTTTTGAGACGGAGTCACGCTCTGTGGCCCAGGCTGGAGTGCAGTGGCACCATCTCGGCTCACTGCAAGCTCCGCCTCCTGGGTTCACGCCATTCTCCTGCCTCAGCCTCCCAAGTAGCTGGGACTACAGGCACCTGCCACCACGCCCGGTTAATTTTTTGTATTTTTAGTAGAGATGGGGTTTCACTGTGTTAGCCAGGATGGTCTCAATCTCCTGACCTTGTGATCCACCCGCCTTGGCCTCCCAAAGTGCTAGGATTACAGGCGTGAGCCACCGCGCCCGGCCTCAAAGTACTAGGATTACAGACATGAGCCACCATGCCCAGCCAGAACAATATAACATTGAGGTCAGTTTACAAAAGACAAAACAAAGGTGAAACATTTACAGAGAAAACAAGCAGCAGGGAGAGCTATAGGAGATTTTGTCTTCTTTTACATGTTTTGTACTAAGAATATAATAGTTTAAGAAAATAAAACTAAACTTTAAAAACAAAAAGAATATTAAAATGCATTTCAATCATACATGAAAGCAAATATTTACTATTAGCAGTAGGTTTTTTTGATTCTCAACTATATTTATGTAAAATTTTTAGCCAGGTTCTGCGGCTCACGCCTGTAATCTCAACACTTTGGGAGTCCGAGGCAGGTGGATCACTTGAGGTCAGGAGTTCAAGACCAACCTGACCAGCATGATGAAACCCTGTCTCTACTAAAAATACAAAAATTAGCTGGGCATGGTGGCATGTGCCTGTAATCCCAGCTACTCAGGAGGCTGAGGCAGGAGAATCACTTGAGCCCGGGAGGCAGAGGTTGCCGTGAGCCGAGATCGTGCCACTGCACTCCAGCCTAGGTGACAGAGTGAGTGAGACCCTGCGGCTGGGCTGGGTGCAGCAGTTCACACTTGTAATCCCAGTGTTTTGGGAGGCTGAGGTGAACTCAGGGGTTTGAGACCAACCTGGGCAACACAGCAAAACCCCATCTCTATTTACCCTAAAATTAAAAAAAAAAAAGAAATTATTAAGTGCAGTGGCTCACACCTGTATTCCCAGCACTTTGGGAAGCTGAGATGGGGGATCACTTGAGGCCAGGATTTGAGACCAGCCTGGGCAACATACTGAGATCCCATCTCTCAAAAAAAATAAATAAATTTAATTAGCTGGGCATGGTTGTGCTTGCCTGTCATCCCAGCTACTCAGGAGGCTGAGGTGGGAGGATCACTTGAGCCCAGACCTCAAGGCTGCAGTGAGCTATGATTACACCACTGCACTCCAGCCCGAGTGACAGAGTGAGATCCTGAAAAGAAAGAAAGAGAGAGAGAGAGAGAAAGCAAGCAAGAAAGAAAGAATCTTCTTTAGAGTAACCCAGTCCACACAGAAAGTAATTCACTGGTCATTTCCACTAGAAAGAGATTAGTCTGACTAGCTGGTTATGATCTTATTGTAGTCTTGTTACTATGGTTACTGAAGTCGCAGTGATGTGCTTGCTGGTGTTGAACATCTTTGGAAGTTATCATTGTGGATGCTGCCACTTACTAGTGAAATGTGTTGACTCTGTTGCCATATTCTGTCATTTGGACAAGGAATTCAGGCAAGTTGTAGGCCCATGTCCACCGTGAACAGATCATTCATTTATTTATTTTACAAGCGTTGCTGAGTCCCTACCCTGACAGAATGCTGAGGGGCACAATGAGGATTTGAAGTATGAAGCACAGACCCTGCCCTGAAAATGCTCATTCAAGAGATAAGTACACACATGAGGATTTTAATTAAACCGTGATGTTAAGTACCATGAAATTGTGAAGTCTCACATTTATAGAGGATTCAACAGTCCAATCCTATGAGATGGGTAATGCCAAATAAGGGATAAGAATTTACTAACAGGAAAAAAAAAAATCCATGAAGGGAGTTGGAGTGATTTCTGAGGTTCCAGCTTAAGAGGCTGGGAGAGTAATGGTGCCATTGATGGAGGCACAGAAGTTAAAACAGGGAGATGATTTAGGCACAAAAGATGGTGAGGGCCGGACGTGGTGGCTCACGCCTATAATCCCAACACTGGGAGGCCGAGGCAGGCAGATCACTTGCAGTCAGGAGTTCAAGACCAGCCTAGCCAACATGATGAAACCCCATCTCTACTAAAAATACAAAAATTAGTCGGGTGTGGTGGTGTGTGCCTGTAATCCCAGCTACTCGGGTTGCTGAGGCAGGAGAATTGCTTCAACCTGGGAGGCAGGAGGCTGCAGTGAGCCGAGATCACACCACTGAACTCCAGCCTGGATGACAGAGAAAGACTCTGACTCAAAAAAAAAAAAACACGGTGAGATGGTGAGATGTTTGCTTTAGACCCCGAATGTATTGGCTAGTTTTCATTTGCTCCCAGATTCATTCCCATACCCTTTGCTGACCACATGGACGGTTTTACACAGACTCTCCTAACCTCTGGTTTCAACCAATGGGAGGCACCAGGAAGAGATCAAAGGGGTGTTTCTCTCCTGCCTAGCTGCATCCCTTCTCACAGTGCTGCATCCCTCCACTATGGTAGGGCCTGTCATTTAGTTTCCTTCCCACGGCTCCAGCTCTCACCATGCTTACATAACACCAGTTTCTTGATGACATCATCAGATATCTCACTGCCTTCTATAAAATTTCTTTTTTTCCCTCCTTCTTTTTTTTTTTTTTAGAGATGGAGTCTCACTGTGTCCCCCAGGCTGGAGTGCAGTGGCGCAATCTTGGCTCACTCCAGCCTGTGCCTCCCAGGTTCAGTAGATTCTCATGCCTCAGCCTCCTGAGTAGCTGGGACTACAAGCACCCACCACCACACCTGGCTAATCTAGAAATTTTCTTGAAGACATTATAGTTGCCATGAAATAAAATGTAGAAGTAAAGCAGAGGGCAGAGGTCTAGTCTATGTGAACTGAACCACCACCTAGAAACGGCAGGAGGTAGACTACAACCCAGAAAAGGAAGTCATCAAAGATCTTCCAGAAAAATCAGAAACGTATTCTGTCCTGGACACCAAAGTAAGACAACATTTCAAGAAAAGATTATTGAAGACATCCAATACTGCAGGAGGGTCAAGGAGAAGATAAACCAAAATATACTACTGGACTTGTTAGTTAGGATTCACTATATCCACTGCATTTCATTATTTCAGACGTTAGTTTTAATAGAAGCAGGAGTAGATGCCAGGTTGTTGAAGGTTAACCAAATTTAAAAAGTGGGCAGAGGGTTTGAAGAAGACTTTTCAGCAAAGAAAGCACACAAATGGCATGCACATATAGTGGCACTGTTCACCTATAATGAGTTTATTTTATTTTATTTATTTTGAGACAGGGTCTCACTCTGTTGCCCAGGCTGGATTACAATCTAGTGTCATGATCACAGCTCACTGCAGCCTCGACCTGCTGGGCTTAAGCAATCCTCCCACCTCAGCCTCCCAAGTAGCTGGGACTACAGGTGTGTGCCAACATGCCTAGCTAATTAAAAAAAATTTTTTTTTTGTAGAAATGGGTCTCACTATGTTGCCCAGGCTAGTCTGGAACTCCTGAGCTCAAATGATCCTCTCTCCTTGGCCTCCCAAAATACTGGGATTACAGATGTGAGTTACTGTACCCAGCTAATGGGTCAATTTTATAGAATCTTGTTTTGTGTGTGTATATGTGTGTGTGTGTGTGTGTTTCTTTGTTTGTTTTTTGAGACAAAGTCTTGCTCTGTAGCCCAGGCTGGAGTACGGTGGCACGATCTTGGCTCACTGCAAACTCTGCCTCTTGGGTTTAAGCTATTCTCCTGCCTCAGCCTTCTGAGAAGCTGGAATTACAGGCCCACGCCACAATGCCTGGCTAATTTTTTGTATTTTTTTTTACAGAGATGGGGTTTCACCATGTTGGCCTAGGTCTCAAACTCATGACTTTGTGATCCACCCGCCTTGGCCTCCCAAAGTGCTGGGATTACAGGCATGAGCCACCGCGCCTGGCCTAATTTTATAGGATCTTAATTATAATCTCAATAAAGTTAAATAGAGAATTTTCAAGGAAATTGAGGAAGAATAATTAAAGCAATATACATGATTGCTCAGCAGACAATGAGGCTTTGACCCATGATTTTTTGTTTATTTAACCTTATTTGAGAGAAATTTATCTTAATAAAAAAGCACGTTTCTAGAGGAGAATTCTCAAAATTAATTAGTGGTGAATCTGCATATTGTGTGACACGAAAATAAATCCAACAAGAATGACTTTACTTTGAATCTAGGTTAATATGATGTAAGATGTGAAAATGGTAAAACCAGTCCTGCCTTATCTCATTTACAATTTTAATGTTGCTGCTTTAAACTAAGAATCCAAAGAATATATAGGCCTTGGAAAGGAATAGGGCTGTCCACATTGGAAGGGACTTATAATGTAGCTTTTAGAATCTTTTTGTTTTACGTGCACCTCATAGCAGAGCAATTGAGATAAACCTGCAGCTGGTTCGAACTTGATGACAGAAGAAAAGACAACAGAAAATCTTTTTCCTTTTCATAAGCTTCTCTCTATTCACACTAACCCTAATAATTATTCACCCTTCTTTTGGTATAATCTAGGGGTTCTTGCCACATTCATTTATTCGTTCCTTTAGCCTAAAATGTCAGAAGCACCAGTTATTACTCTTTCACTGTGATATTTATACTTTGGATAAATTAACTCTGAAATTTCCTTGTTGGTTGGCATCACTTGGACTTTTACTGTGCTCCTGGGATTGGTTACAGTGAGTTTAATACATCTAGAGCACTGCCAAAGCATTATAGCAAAATATCAGAGTATCCCTGACAGTATTCTGGAAAGCAGACTATGCAAAATGCAAAAGTCTCCCTATTTAATTATGAACTTGACATTGCAATGAATTAGAGAATCAGCATTTATGGATAATCAAATATATATATTGAGTGCTCACTGCTTTGGGTGTTTTGTTTGCTTGTTTGTTTGTTTCCGGTGGGGTTGGAAGCTTTGGTTTTAAGGAGATGAAAACTAAAGAAAGTTCCAAATGCTTGGAGATCAGAAAATTGATCCAGTTTTCAAACACCAGGTACAAAGATGAGGGTAGGAGTTAGCTTTTGCAAATAGGTAGATTCTGCAAAGTACATCACAGTGGACTTCATATTGATCCTGAGGTTTGTGAGAACTTAAACAGGGAAGAAATTAGGAACTAAGGGGGAGACAGGAGAGACAAGACAGACAGAAAAATACACAGAGGGAATTTTCTTTCTTTCTTTCTTTCTCTCTTTCTTTCTTTTTTTTTGAGACAAAGTCTCACTCTGTTGCCCAGGCTGGAGTGCAGTGGCCTGATCTCGGCTCACTGCAAGCTCTGCCTCCTGGGGTTCACGCCATTCTCCTGCCTCAGCCTCCCGAGTAGCTGGGACTACAGGCGCCTGCCACCACACCCGGCTAATTTTTTGTATTTTTAGTAGAGACGGGGTTTCACCATGTTAGCCAGGATGGTCTCCATCTCCTGACCTCGTGATCCGCCCACCTTGGCCTCCCAAAGTGCTGGGATTATAGGCGTGAAACACTGAGCCCAGCCTCTTTGTTTCTTTCTCTCTCTCTTTCTTTCTTTCTCTCTCTCTCGCTCTCTCTTTTTCTTTTTCTTTCTTTCTTTCTTCTTTCTTTCTTTTCTTTCTTTCTTTCTTTTTCTTTCTTTCCCCCTCTCTCTCCCTTCCTTCCTTTCTTCCTCCTTTCCTTCTTTTCTTTTCTTTTGTCTTACTCTTTTGCCCAGGATGGAGTGCAGTGGTGCTATCACAACTCATTGTAACCTCAAACTTCTCAGCTCAAGTGATCCTCCCTCCTCAGCCTCCCAAGTAGCTAGAACTACAAGTCTGTACCACCACACCTAGCTAATTTAATTTTTTTTTTTTTTGAGATGGAGTCTCACTCTTATCACCCAGGCTAGAGTACAATGGCACAATCTCGACTCACTGCAACCTCCCCCTCCCGGGTTCAAGCGATTCTCAAGCCTCAGCCTCCTGAGTAGCTCGGATTACAGGCATGCGCCACCAGGCCTGGCTAATTTTTTTATTTTTAGTAGAGACGAGGTTTCGCCATGTTGGCCAGGCTGGTCCGTCTTGAACTCCTGATCTCAGGTGATCCACCCGCCTTGGCCTCCCAAAGTGCTGGGATTACAGGCGTGAGCCACTGCACGCGGCTAATTTTTTTTCTTTTCATAGAGATGGGTCTCACGATGTGCCCAGGCCAGTCTTAAACTCCTGGGCTCAAGCGACCCTCCAACCTTGGCCTCCCAAAGCACTGGGATTACAGGCATGAGCCAAAGCCATTGGTGAGAATATTTTCTTTTTGAGCAAACCTGAAACTTTACAAAAATGGACAATGTGCTAGGCAACGAAGGAAGAGTCAATGAATTCCAAGGAGTTTTACTATTATACAAGCTATGTTCTCTTACCTTATTTTGGTCAGGGTAATTATTTGTAGATTAAGGAATCTATTCACTGATTTAAACAGAAAGGGATTAAGTTGGCCTACCCATAAGCCCTCAGGAGGTCTGAACAAAGAGCCTTTACCTATGACAGTATTCTAGATAGAGACTACTAGGTTGAATTTGTAAGATCAGGTCCTAATACTCCACTGAACTAAGCTGTCAAGGGAGCTACTGACGCTGCCGGGATCAGAAAGAGCAGGATCAGGATGCTTTCTACAGAGGCAGGAAGCTGCTTCCAACTGCACCACACCTGCCTTGACTCACTCACTCCAGCCAAAACAGGCGCCCTTTGCACTGCCTCTCTCTCTCCATGTAGCTTACTTCCAGGTTGAAATCTTCTGTGAATTCACCTGATTAGGAGAACTTCAACCACACCTAGAACCCTGGCTTCAAGGATATGCCAATAATCAATTGTTGCCTCTCAGTTCCAAATTCACTCCTTCAGAACTTGCTGTGTATTAATGAATTGGACTTCTTTTGAAGCGTTTCTTTTGCAGTGAGTGTGATGTGAAGCTTTGCCAGTAGAGGGCGATGAAGGAATGTTGCAGGAAGAAGGTGGCATCACCCCCCGCCCCAACTCTTTCCATATTTGCTCCCCTCCCTTCCTCCGTCCTTTTAAAAATATTTATTTATTTGGCATAAAATTTTTTTACTGCTCTTTGTGGAGCAGGGCTACCCCATGGTGTGCCCATTTATTTTTTATTTATTTATTTTTTTAGAGACAGGGTCTCACTATGCTGCCCAGGCTGATCTCAAACTCCTGGGCTCAAGTGATCCTCCCACCTTGGCCTCCCAAAGTGTGCTGGGATTACAGGCATGAGGCATTGTTCCTGGGTTTTTTGTTTGTTTGTTTTGTTGTTGTTATTGTTTGTTTGTTTGTTTTTTTTTTCCACAGGATCTTGCTCTGTCACCCAGGCTGGAGAGCAGTGGTACAATCACAGCTCACTGCAGCCTCAAACTCTTGGGCTCAGGAAACTCTCCTGCCTCAGCCTCCTGAGTACTGAGTAGCTGGTACTACAGGCACGGGCCACAATGCCTGGCTAATTTCTTTCTTTAAAAAGTTTTTGTAGAGATGGGGATCTCAATATGTTTCCCAGGCTGGTCTTGAACTCATGACCTCAAGCAATCCTCCTGCCTTGGTGTTCCAAGGTTCTGGGACTACTGGCATGAGCCACTGGGCCACTCTTCTTTTCTAGATTTCATTGTTTGGTTTTTGTGTTTTCTTCTTCCTGCCACATGGTGGGTTAGGGTACCAGTATGGGAGGACATCAGCTGTGCTCTGCAGCAGCCATGCGTATCCAGAGATCACAGTATCTCAGAACCTTGCCACCCTGGCCTAGGCCTGGTGACCTCCTTGCCTTGGTCCTCCTGATGGGTACATTGTGTGCCCAGGCCTGACACCCACTGCAGTGCCCCAACTCCCAATTGTGCACCTGCATTCTGTGCCAATATTGATGGGATGCAATAAAATTAGTAATTAGAGGGACATTTATGCTTTGGAAAACATTTATTAAAAAACCATAAAATTGAAAAAATTGAGCTAAATATTAAATTTGAAAAATGAGTTCAAGAGCAACAGAGCAACAGAGCAAACAGAATAAGGGGGGAAAATTACCAAGACAGAGACACAAATCAATGAATAGAAAACCACAGAACATTAGAGAGAATGACCCAAACAGGAAGCTGGGTTTTTTTTTTGTCTGTTTGGTGTGTTTTTTTTTTTTTTTTGTCTTTTTTTTTTTTTTTTTTGGAGACGGAGTCTCACTCTGTTGCCCAGGCTGGAATGCAGTGGTGCAATCTCAGCTCACTGCAACCTCTGCCTCCCAGGTTCAGGTGATTCTTCCGCCTCAGCCTCCTGAGTAGCTGGGACTACAGGCGCACACCACCATGCCCAGCACATTTTTTGTATTTTTAGTAGAGACAGGGCATCTCGATATATTTCCCAGGCTGGTCTTGAACTCATGACCTCAAGCAATCCTCCTGCCTTGGTGTCCCAAGGTTCTGGGACTACTGGGCCAGCCTTCTTTTCCAGATTCCATTGTGAGCCACCGTGCCTGGCAGAAGCTGGTTTTTGAAAAGATTATTTAGGCTGGGCACAATGGCTCATGCCTGTAATCCCAGCACTCTGGGAGGCCGAGATGGGTGGATTGCCTGAGCTCAGGAGTTCAAGACCAGCCTGGACAACATGGCGAAAACCCATCTCTACAAAAAATACAAAAATTAGCCAGGCATATTGGTGCACACCTGTAATCCCAGCTACTCCAGGGGCTGCAGTGGGAGGATCGCTTGAGCCCAGGAGGTCGAGGCTGCAGTAAGCCAAGATGGTATCACTGCACTCCAGCCAGGGTGACAGAGAGACCCTGTCTCTAAAAAAAGAAAAGGTTATTTAGGCAAAGGGAGAAAAGATACAAAGAAGTAGTAGACAAAATGAAGCAAACAAACAACCAGAGTCAATAATGATAGAAATAACAGAGGTTTTAAAACCAAGTTGACATTAGTATATTCCACTATATAAAAATGATCCCAAGCTAGAAAGTTTTCCAAATGAGCTCTACCTCAAAACATAGGGTTATTCTCTATATCCTTTAATAACACACTGTAATTCAATTCATCAAAACTTTATACAACTCTGTGATTGGAACTTTTTTTTTTTTGAAACAGAGTCCCTCTCTGTCGCCCAGGCTGGAGTGCAGTGGCGCAATCTCGGCTCGCTGCAATCTCTGCCTCCCAGGCTCAAGCAATTCTCCTGCTTCAGTCTCCCACATAGCTGAGATTACAAGCATACACCATCACACCTGGCTAATTTTTGTATTTTTAGTAGAAATGTGGTTTCGCCATGTTGGCCAGGCTGGTTTCGAACTCCTGGGCTCAAGTGATCCACCCTCCTTGGCCTACCAAAGTGCAGGCATTACAGGTGTGAGCCACCTCAGCCAATGGTTGGTACTTTTATCAGTGCAAAATATATTAATTCATGTAATAAATTTTTATCAATTAGTTTCTATTGGCAAGACACAATGCTAAGATTAGGGATACATTTCTGGATAAGATGGGTAAGTCTCTTGCCTTTATGTTGCTTATATTCCAGTGGATGAAATGTACAAAAAAACCCACAAGTAAATATCACATAAACAGAATAAAGTATGGTTGGGCCTGGTGCGGTGGCTTATGCCTGTAATCCTAGGATTTTGGGAGGCCAAGGTGGGCGGATCATCTGAGGTCGAGAGTTTGAGACCAGCCTGGCTAACATGGTAAAACCCCATTTCTACTAAAAATACTAAATTAACTGGGCGTGGTGGCACATTCCTGTAATCTCAGCTACTTGGGAGGCTGAGGCAGGAGAATTGCTTGAACGTGGGAGGTAGAGGTTGCAGTGAGCCAAGATTGTGCCATTGCACTCCAGCCTGGGTAACAGGGCGAGGCTTCATCTCAAAAAAAAAAAAAAAAAAAAAAAAAGGACAAAGTATGGTTACATTTATGTGAAAATTAGGTATTTTATATATATGTGATGTGTTTGAACTCACAAAAAAGTTAACAGTGAGCCATGTTATGTTTTGGCTCTTGAAATTCTTCCATCCAAGTACTAACCAGGCCCAAACCTGCTTAGCTTTAAGGAGATCAGATGAAATTGGGCGCCTTCAGGGTGGTATGGCCATAGATTTGGCTCTTGAAATTCTGTCAGAGGCTGGCTGCGGTGGCTCATGCCTGTAATCCCAGCACTTTGGGAGGCCGAGGCAGGCGGATTACCTGAAGCCAGAAGTTTGAGACCAGCCTGGCCAACATGGTGAAACCCCATTTCTACTAAAAATACAAAAATTAGCCAGGCATGGTGGCAGGTGCTTGTAATCCCAGACACTTGGGAAGCTGAGGCAGGAGAGTCACTTGAACCAAGGAGGCGGAGGTTGCAATGAGCAGAGACCATGCCAAAGCACTCCTGCCTGGGCATCAGAGTGAGACTCCATCTCAAAAAAAAAAAGAAAAAAAAAAAAAAGAAAAGGAAATTCTATCAGAAACAGTTAAATTACTTAATAATTTTGTTTGCACTAGTTTGCAAAAATTAAAAGCCATCCTCACTTTCTTTTTAAAATGTATTTAATTTTATTCCAGATTGAAGGGATACACATGCATGTTTGTTAAATGGGTATACTGAATACTAGTAAAGATTGAGCTTCTAGTGTACCCATTACCCAAATAGTGAACACTGTACCTGACAGGTAATTTTTCAAATCTCATCACCCCCCAACTGTCACCTTTTTTGGAGTCCCTGGTTTTAATTATTAATATTGCCATTTTTATGCCCATGTGTACCCGTTGTTTAGCTCCCACTTATAAATGAGAACATGCAGCATTTGATTTTCTGTTTCTGAGTTAGTTCACTTAGGATAATAGCACCCAGCTCCATTCATGTTGCTGCAAAGGACATAATTTCATTCTTTTTTATGGCTGTCTGGCTTTCTTAGACTAAAGAAAGGAATAGGATGACTTACAACTTACATGTCTATGAATATACACTAAGGGAGGGAATAAAATCAAAATGTGTTTCCTGGGAACAAGCAAGATTTTCAAGCCTAGAGCTTAAAAGGAAAGCATTTACAACATGAACATTTTATCTTCTTATCATTAATAAAGGAAGGACTTAATTAAATATACACTTAACAGGAGGTATTTTAACTTTAATCAGCTACTGAAAGCTCTTTAATTTTCTTATGACCTCACAGTGAGGCTTTTGAAGCACACTATTTCTATACACAAAATATGTGTAGGCCTGGGACAAGAGGTCCCTGATTGAGCAAGATTGTTTTCTTTGGATGTTCAGTTTTCACCCTGGCTAAGCAAAGGGAGACTCAAAGATGGTAAATGTTTTAGGGTCCAATACATAAAAACATTCTCATTGTCTCCTGAGTTTTGAACCAATTGAGAAGATCATGCAAGATACAGGCAGATGAGGATCAGCTTTAATATTAATGAAATTAACTGCAGAATGTTGTTTTACATCTATGGACAAGGGGATATATAGGCTAATACTTCATCCCTGACTCAGATACACTTTCTAGGCACTGGCTTGGGCCAAGGGACAGGAATTCCCATGCCTGGTCAAGAGTGGCTCAGAACATCTGCAGCAAATAAAAATACAGGACACAGCTGGGCACGGTGGCTCACGTCTGTAATCCCAACACTTTAGGAGGCTGAGGCGGGTGGATCACCTGAGGTCAGGAGTTCAAGACCAGCCTGGCCAACATGGTGAAACCCTGTCTCTACTAAAAATACAAAAAATTAGCTGAGTGTGGTGGTGGGCACCTGTAATACGAGCTACTCAGGAGGCTGAGGCATGAGAATCACTTGAACCCAAAAGGCAGAGGTTACAGTGAGCCAAGATCACGTCATTGCAATCTGGCCTGGGCAGTAAGAGCGAAACTCCATCTCAAAAAAATAAAATAAAATAAAAAATACAGGACACACAGTTATATGTGAATTTCAAGTAAATAAAGCTTTTTAAGTATTGCATGGGATTTGCTTATGCTAAATGTATGTGGCTGCTTATCTGAAATTCACATTTAACTGGGTATTTTATCTGGCAACTCTACTATCACTGGTCTCATTTCAACTCCTCAGGCCCCCTCCAATACATTTTCCACGCCACAGTTATGATAACTCTTGAAATTCATTATCTGATTGTGTCATTTGTTAGACTTTATTAAAATTCTTCATTGTCTTTAGGATAAGGTCTTTCATTCTTGCTATGGCCTTTAAGATCCTGCCAGACTCTCTAGTTCCATTTCATTGCATCTCCAGCCCTTCTTGCCTTAGATTAGGCCTTCCATGTGGCCAGCCTTGCCTGGAACATAGTTCCCTTCCCACCCCACATCTTGAGTCCTCCAGCTCAATCTTTAGTATCACCTCCTCCAGGAAGCCATCCCTGACCTCCCAGGCTAGGTTA
This sequence comes from Homo sapiens, assembly GCF_000001405.40. NCBI lineage: Eukaryota > Metazoa > Chordata > Mammalia > Primates > Hominidae > Homo > Homo sapiens. The sequence continues at coordinate 101,834,538 of NC_000012.12, read as the reverse complement.
GTGCCCCTCACAATACTAATCCAATATATATATGCCCCTCCAGAGTGTAAATCCCACAAAAGCAGGGACCATGTCTTTCTTGGTACCCAAGTATTGGGGTACCTAAGTCATTACGAGATAGACTCAATGTCCAATAAAATGCCCAGCACAAAGCATTCATTCACAAATGCTGAATAAACACTAACCATTACTTAAACTTTTCTCATAGATTGAGCTCACCACTATATGCCATATTAGCCTACTGACTGTACTTGGAGGTACTGTTGCCTTCACTCTATCTCTCTGCTCTTACAGATATCTACATCATTGATGTGAAGATGATTACATTTTTGGAATTCATTTGACTTTTTTAAAAAATATTTTCTACATCATTTTTTTCTCTAGTTACTTCATGTTTGGGAGAAAGGCAGGAAAGGGACCTCTTTATTTATTTATTTATCTGCTATAGACTGAGAACCCAGATGACAGTTTCTCGGAATTATATTTATCAGATTTTGAGAGGGACTGTGGGGTTCTTCTAAAAGCAAAACTCAGGGGTTTCACTGGGTTCCTGGGAATCCTTTTTGATCTTTTGGCTTTTCTGGCTCTTTTAGGTTGCCAGATAAAATATTTCCAGATAAATGGGATGCTACTGCATATTTTTTCCACTGTTCAGATGTGGAGAGTTTAAAATCATTTCCAGGCCAGGTGAGGTGGCTCCCAGCATGTTGGGAGGCCAAAGTGGGAGGATTGCTTGAGCCCAGAAGTTCAACACCAGCCTGGGCAACATAGTGAGACCCTGTCTCTACAAAAAATTTAAAAAAATAATTTCCACAACTTATGCATTTACATACTACTAATGTTCTTGAAGTGCATATTTAATCAGTTAATTCTCCTGCTGAAAACCTCATTGCTTTCAGAACAAGGCTAAATGTTAATTTTCTTAAATTTTTCCAACACTAAAAATGTCGCAGGCACTTGAGCATTTTCATGTGTTATTTTACATAACCCTCCTAACTGTATAAGGTAGCTACTACAGGTATATCATATTGCACCCACATTTATTTTATTTAAGTTCAACCATACTGCCTGAGGAGGGGGAAAAGGGAGTGAACAAGAGCAAGTTCTCTAGAAGAAAGGACTTAGACAATGCTCCTGACCTCCCTTGAGGCTGTCTAGTTGGAGCCTAAAGATAAAGGAAAAATTTAAGGGTAATTCATACTACAACAAAGCATACTTTTTAAGAAGGACAGGTTCTAGGCAAGGCTAGGACTAAAGTGAGGACAGTGAAGCACTTGTCTTGGGTGGAAAATCCGAGGGAACTCCAAAAAACTCACTAATCAAGAGGAATAATATTTTAATGCTATATATATATATTTTTTTTTTTTTTTTTATTAGATGGAGTTTCACTCTTGTTGCCCAGGCTGGAGTGCAATGGCACGATCTCGGCTGACCGCAACCTCTGCCTCCCGGGTTCAAGTGATTCTCCTGCCTCAGCTTCCTGAGTAGCTGGGATTACAGGCATGTGCCACCATGCCCTGCTAATTTTGTATTTTTAGTAGAGATGGGGTTTCTCCATGTTGGTCAGGCTGGTCTCAGACTCCTGACCTCAGGTGATCCACTCGCCTCAGCCTCCCAAAGTGCTGGGATTATAGGCGTGAGCCACCGTGCCCAGCCTAATGCAATATTTTTAAAAAATCAAAATTAATGGTTGGGCGCAGTGGCTCATGCTTGTAATCCTAGCACTTTGGGAGGTCAAGGCAGGTGAATCACTTGAGGTCAGGAGTTCAAGACCAGCCTGACCAAGATGCTGAAACCCCATCTCTACTAAAAATGCAAAAATTAGCCGGGGGTGGTGGCATGTGCCTGTAATCCCAGCTACTCAGGAGGCTGAGTCAGGAGAATTGCTTGAAGCCAGGAGGCGGATGTTGCAGTGAGCTGAGATCACGCCACTGCAACCCAGCCTGGGCAACAGAGCAAGACTCTGTCTCAAAAAAAAAAAAAAAACCCAAAAAACAAAAAAAACAAAAAACATTACTGAAGAATATCCATGAAAAGCAAAACACCCAAACTTTATGTTTTATTTTACGTTTTAAATTTTTTTTTTATTTTAATAGGAACAGGGTCTGTTACCCAGGCTGGTCTCAAACTTCTGGGCTCCCAGACTCCTGGGCTCAAGCTATCCTCCCACATTGACCTCCCAAAGTATTGGGATTACATGCATGAGCCACCACACCCAGCCCCGATATCAAAACTATAAACAAAGACAGAATCTCACTCCAAACTTGCATGACTCATTTCACAGTACCTTCCCCTAATCTTGGCCCTGTTCTACAGCCTAAGTACCTGGTTCAAATCTCAATTCTGTCATTTACTATTTGTGTGATGTTAGATAGTTACTTTTTTTCATCACAGTTTCTTGATCTGTAGAATGGGGATAATAATGGTATCTCCATTATAAGATTATTGTGAGGATTAGATGAGCTGGGCACATGGCAGATGCTACATAAATGTTGGCCATTATCCTGAGAGTCCTGTTGAGTGGCAGATGTTTTTATATCTGTTACCATGCTTTTTTACCCCTTCTGATTAAGTCCTCAGATCTGTTATCATGCTTGAAAAGACCTCAGAACTATATGTGTCTTGTACAACTGCAATAATCTTTTGCCATGTACATATAGCATATATCAATCATCTTTTTTAAAAGAAGGATTAAAAGAAGTGACTGCAAAGTGTAAAAAATCTTGCCTTGGATTGGAGTGAAGCTAACCCCTTTTGCAAGTCTGTTAATTCCACCTGACCATCAAACTGAGGGTGCGAATTTGAGTATTTCCTGAAGCTGGTTCCCAAGATATTTTTAAAAATGCTTTGAATGATGGCAACATTAGATAAGTGTATTGTTTCCCAGGGTGACTAGGAAAAAAATCTTATTGACTAGGGTGCATTGGGATTAAGAAAAAGATCTCCCTTTCGTAAATCAGAGGCACCAAGGAAAGGATCTCGTGGGAAAAACCTGCTGTCAAAGTCGGATTACCTGGCCACCCCTGAGCTGGTTCCCCTCCAGTTCATCGCATGATTTCTATCATAACAACTCTTGTATTTAGTGGTTTACATGTTTATCTCCCCCACTAGACTCTCTGAGAACAGTAGCCAGGTCTAGTTCATTTTTGAATACCTGACACCAAGCACTATGCCACCTAACAGGCACAAATTACATATTTAACGACTAAATGAATGAACGAAATTCGGTTTTGGCAGATTTAACCCAAAGGTTTCCTCTTTCAAACAATATAGTTGGGGGTTGGAGGAAAGGAGCCACATACAGCATCTCCTTTTAGCACTCTGCAGAGAATGCTAAGTGCAGAGAAGGTTTTATGCACAAAAATATTCATGGCATTATAGTACCGTCTATGGCACAGTCTCGACGCAGGGGGCAGTTTTCTCTTGGTCGCCTGCCCAACCGGGTAAGTGGATCCCAGCTCAGCTCCGCCCCTCCCAGCCCAGCCCTCAGGGCCCGCTGCGCAAGCGCAGGTGGGGAGGGCGCGCACCTTCCCTATGCCCCTCCGTCCTCCAGGTGGCGCTGGAGACCCCGCCGCCGCCGCAGCCGCCTCTCGCCCGGCCAGACCCGGGCGGCGCCGGCCGCCTCGCCGGCCGCAGGTCCGCCTCCGCCGCGCCGAGGGCGTGGGCTCCCGGCTCCCGGAAGCGGCGGCCGCGGCGCGGAGCCGAGCGGGCGTCCGTCGCCGGAGCTGCAATGAGCGGCGCCCGGAGGCTGTGACCTGCGCGCGGCGGCCCGACCGGGGCCCCTGAATGGCGGCTCGCTGAGGCGGCGGCGGCGGCGGCGGCGGCTCAGGCTCCTCGGGGCGTGGCGTGGCGGTGAAGGGGTGATGCTGTTCAAGCTCCTGCAGAGACAGACCTATACCTGCCTGTCCCACAGGTATGGGCTCTACGTGTGCTTCTTGGGCGTCGTTGTCACCATCGTCTCCGCCTTCCAGTTCGGAGAGGTGAGTAGCGGCGCCGCAGCCTGGACCGGGCGCCTCGACCCTGCACTGCCCTCGCCGTGCCCCGCGATGCCCCGATACAGTATGTATTTTTTCATTATTAGAGACGGGGTTTTGCCATGTTGCCCAGGCTGGTCTCGAACTCCTGAGCTCAGGCGATCGCCCTGTCTCGGCGTCCCCGAGTGCTGGGATTACAGGCGTGAGCCACCGCTCCCGGCCAAATACAGTATTCTTTATCATAAACGTGTGCAGAGACTATGAGCAAGTCAGAACTGGAAAAAGGCATGTATGTGATTTTAGATATTGCTCCCTCGCCCACCGTTTTTTAAAAATAGAGACGGAGGTCTCCCTATGTTGCCCAGGTTGGTCTGGAAGTCCTGGGCTCAAGTGATCCTCCCTTCTTGGCTTTCTAAAGTGCTGGGGTTACAGGCATGAGCTACCGCACCTGGCCCAAGAAAGCCACTTTTAGCAACGGGGAGGAAAGCTGTATTTTTAAGTGGTTTGAAATCTGTTCCTTAGTTTTAGTTTTTTTCTTTTTCTTTTTTTTTTTTTTTTTTGGTAGGAGGTTACAAAAGGTTTTAAAATTTAACAGAGTAGTTTTTAGAAATGCCACAGTATACATTTGCTTGAAGTCTTTACCCATGCTGGATTGTAAGCTCCGTAAGAGAAGGTGCTGTCTGTAAATACTGTAACCCTGGCCCAAGCACAGTGCCAGGTACTGCCAGAGAATGCAGTGCAAGTGTTTGTTTAATGGCTAAATTATATGGCATGAATTCTGAGCATGTACTTTTTTAGTAGTTCTTGGTTCTAGAGGCTGGGAAAAAATGTCTTACCATAAGGGTGAGAAAGCTCCAGATTTGTAAGTGTGAAATATGTACTTAATATTATAGTACTTGCTCGTCTTTGTTTCATGTGTTGCAACTTAATGTATCTGTGTGTAGTTAGGTGCCTTATTGCTTTTGTGTGATTTTTTTGGCCTTGATTAATTTTGAGTTAACTGTTTATTAAGTCCCATGCAGTGTGAAGATGACTTAAAGGCATCAGGTGTTAGAATTCTTCATTTTATTTTATTTTTTTGAGACAGAGTCTTGCTCTGTTGCCCAGGCTGGAATGCAGTGGCTCCATCTCGGCTCATTGCAACCTCTACCTCTCAGGTTCAAGAAATTCTCCTACCTCAGCCTCCTGAGTAGCTGGGACTACAGGCGCGTACCACCATGCACAGCTAATTTTTGTATTTTTAGTAGAGATGGAGTTTCACTATGTTGGCCAGGCTGGTCTCAAACTTCTGACCTCAAGTGATCTGCCTGCCTTGGCCTCCCAAAGTGTTGGGATTACAGGTGTAAGCCACCGCACCTGGCCCGAATTTTTCATTTTATATCCTTTTCTTTTTGCTTTCATTCCATGCTTGGCTGTTTACCAAAAGAGAGACATTTTGTTGCAGTCCTGAAATGGCCACAGATCATAAGGTTTGGAACAGACAAGAGAAATGAGAGGCAGACAGTGCCAACAGGTGTCATGAGAGGTGAAGGCAGCTGGCCTGTGGTTAACTTGTAAGGCATAATGGAAAAGAGGAGCTGCATGATTAGGCAGATTTGGCCTTGATTGCTGACTCCAGTTGATAATGATCATAATAATAGCTAATACTTATATTGGTCTTAACAGGTATCAGGCACTCTCTTAATTGCTTTACATATGTTAACTGATTTAATCCTCACAACATCACCCCTGTGGGATAGGTGCTATTATTATAACCATTTTATAGGTGATGAAATGGATGCATTTGCATTAGAATCCAGCTAATTTGTGGCAGAGCTGGGCTTCAAACCAAGCCAGGCTGGCTCAGAGCTGTGCTTTTTTTTTTGTTTGTTTTTTGAGATGGAGTCTCACACTGTCACCCAAGCTGGAGTGCAATGGCGCAATCTCGGCTCACTGCAACCTCTGCCTCCTGGGTTCACGTGATTCTCATGTCTCGCCTCCTGGGTTCACGTGATTCTCATGTCTCAGCCTCCCAAGTAGCTGGGATTACAGGTGCGTGCCACCACACCTGGCTAATTTTTTGTATTTTTAGTAGAGATGGGGTTTCACTATGTTGGCCAGACTGGTCTCGAACTCCTGACCTCATGATTCGCTTGCTTTGGTCTCCCATGGGATTACAGGCGTGAGCCACCACGACCAGCCTAAGCTGTGCTCTTGAGCACCCCTTTTTATGGTTTCTCAAACAGCCCAGGCTGTTCCTTGTCTGATCTTGGGAAGGATATTTAACCTCTCTGAGCTTCCTTATCTTTGAAATGGAGGCCAGATTACCTTCCTTGCAGGGTTGATGAGGATTAAATAAGATGGGTATGTAAAGCACCTCACACAGTTCCTACTACATAACAGACCCTCATTAAATGGTCATGGCTACTGCTGCTATTATATTATCAACTCTTTTATGTCCTTAAACCTTATTTTGAAATATATCCTTGAATCAGAATACTTTGATCATATAGTTAATATTACCAACTTGTTAATAATCTCACTAATTGTAATGGATTGTAAGCTCACTAATTGTAAGTCCTTTTGGACTAAGAAGATCATTGTTTTTTTTGTTTTGTTTTGAGATAGAGTCTCACTCTTGCCCACGCTGGAGTGCAGTGGGGTGATCTCAGCTCACTGCAACCTCCACCTTCCAGGTTCAAGTAATTTTCCCTGCCCCACCCTCCGGAGTAGCTGGGATTATAGGCACCCGCCATCACGCTAGACTAAGTTTTTGTATTTTTAGTAGAGACAGGGTTTCACCATGTTGGCCAGGCTGGTCTCAAACTCTGGACCTTAGGTGATCCGCCTGCCTTGGCCTCCCAAAATGCTGGGATTATAGGTGCGAGCCACTGTGCCTGGCCCTCAGAAGATCATTGTTAACTGTAAATTTGTTATCGTCTCCTCCTCTCAATATAACAGGTATTTGATGCTGTATTTTGATAAGCCTTTTCTATATTCATCCAAACTTCGAGAAGTAGAATTGAGGGAAGGAAGTATCAAACAAAACAAGCTGGGTGAGGTGGCTCATGCCTGTAATCCCAGGACTTTGGGAGACTAAGGCTGGAGGATTGCTTGAAGTCAGGAGTTGGACAAGCCTGGGAAACAAAGGAGACCCTGTCTCTACAAAAAAAAATAAAAATAAAGGCTGGGCGTGGTGGCTCACACCTGTAATCCCAGCACTTTGGCAGGCCGAGGCAGGAGAATTGCTTGAGCTCAGGAGTTTGAGACCAGCCTGGGCAACATGGCGAAACCCTATCTCTGCAAAAAAAGTAGAGTAGTCCCAGTTGCTTGGGAGACTGGGGTGGGAGGATCACTTGAGCCCTGGTGGTTGAGGCTGCATGAGCCGTGATTGCACCACTGCACTTAAGCCTGGGTGACAGAGTGAAACCTTGTCTCAAAAATAAATACATAAATAAAAAAAGTTAGCTAGGTGTGGTGGCACATGCCTGTAGTCCCAGCTGCTCAGGAGGCAGGAGGCTGTGGCAGGAGTGTTGCTTGAGCCCAGGAGTTTGAGGTGCAGTGCCTGTGATTGTGCCATGCACTCCAGCCTGGTAGACCTGGTCTCAAAAAAAAAAAAAAAAAAAAAAAAAAAACAACTCCCACAGGGAGAGCCTTCAGAATGGGGACTAGTGGTCACAAAAATGCATTGCCTTGGACTGTAGGTAGCAGGTAATCAGTCTATTGTAAATTAGTTAGCTCCACAAATGGTGTTACTAGATTGACTGCTCTTAAGATCCTTTTTAGCTTAGAAACTTCTGGTTTTTAAATAATTTGTTCTCTGTTAGTTGCTACTGTATAGATTTTAAAACGTGTTTTTGAGTTAAAATTTATTATTTCAGGGCCATCATTATTTAATCGAACCATTTATATACAAGTCCACAATTCTTCACACTCAGGAAAATACAGACTATACCTAGCCTCAAGTCAGTTTAGTCATTTTGCCACCAAATAAGTACAGGGCAGGTCAAGTTTAGTTGCCAAATAAGGTACAAAAAGATCTCTAGGTAGGGCTGGTCTGTTTTGAAAAAAAAAAAAAATTAAAAATCAGAAAAATAAAATTAAAAAAATTAAAAATTAGAAACAAAAAGTTGAAAGCCCCTCCAGTATTCAGAGCATTTTGGATTTCAGGATTACTAATAGAGGGTTGTAGATCAGTGTGTATATGTGTATGTGTATCTGTGTGTGGGGGTATGGTGTATGTATAACGTATCACTTCCTTTGTGCACTAAGTATGGAAACAAATATCCAAGAATTAACTTGCATAAGGAAGCAAAATAGGTTCACATAGAATCTACTCGTAATGAATGGTAATTTTTCCGTGACCTCTCTGCTCCCTTTTGCTTTCCTGCTTTTCTGTTGCCATTTTGAATCAATGAGTTATTTTCTGTGAAAAGGAGAATTGAAAACTGGGTCTAGCTCAAGTTATGTTCAGCCTCAGTGGTGACCAGTGTCTTATACTGGCCTTATTTCAAGAAATTAGTTATCATTTTTGTATTTGATTAGTTCACTCATTAAACAGATATATTTGAGTGTGTTCTTGGCCAAAGGCAACAAACAGATGAGTTAGAAAGAGGCCTGGCCTGAGAGTGGGGACCGTCTGGCCTGCTCCTAGGTGCAGCACAAATTGTGATCCTCAGTGGTTCCCAAACTGAGTTACTCCCAGCTGCCTTGTGGGTTGGGAGTAGCCCCTCTTATCTATTTCGTGTGGACTTGTTTTCTGGGAAAGGTTTCATTGTTTAAAAAATGTTTACAAACTATGAGACTATATTTCTAAGAGCCTCATTTTAGCTTTAATGTTTTGTGAATATACATTTATTGGATACTTCACATGAGAAGCATGACTTGTAATGGATTTTATACTAGAGATGCCAATGGCCACACAGAGCCTTTTTAAAGGGTCTCTTTGTTTTGGGGGGTTTGTGAGAGGTACATAGTCCAGCTAACTATCAAAGTAGGGACCTTGTCTTATTCTCTGCTGTATTCTTAGCCACTAGAAAGTGATTGGTACCCAGTAGATGCTGAATAAATACTTGATGGATGCATGAATGAATGGATTGATTAATTGGGTTGATCTTAACTGACATCCTTTCAAATTTATTTCAAGTAAAGGTAAATTTTTTGCTCTGATGTAGCGTTTATAGTTCCCTTTTATTTCTCAAATGTGATTGATCTGATATAACTTGAACATTTTCATGCTCTGAGAGTCATTCCTGCTCTGGTAACTTTCTCTAAAAATCTGAGACCTGTTGTTAGACTGTACAGTGGAAGATGCTGTCGTCAGAATATACAGTGGAAAATGCTGTCAGAGATACAAATAATTATAGCTCATGCCTTTGGCTATTGTTTAGTTGAGATGAGGCCAAGATGTATGTATGAGGACTGAATAACAACACAGGGGAATAAGCAATTGAATGCCTGAGTTAGTACACAACAATTGCTTAGAAAGTCAGAAGACAGAAGAATGTTGTGGGTTGAAACATCCTCGAGGCAGTTCTGACACCTTTTCAAGGAGGCATGAGCTTTAGGGAGGCTTCATGGACAAGTAGGAGTTTAAACAGAAGAGAGACAAGGAAAGATTATTTTAGGAAGTGGTGGGAGTAATTTTAGCATAAAGTTGGTAATGTCAGAGAAGTTTGTGATCGCTTTTTCTTTTTGAATTACTAGTGGTTTAACATTGCAGCTAGAATTAGTTAACAGCACTAGGTTGCAAGTGACAGACTCCCAACTCAGACCTAGCTTATTAACTAGTTTATTATTAACCAGTTTGTTAACTGGGATAATTGAAAAATATAGGATGAGGCCAGGTGTGGTGGCTCATGTGTGTAATCCCAGCACTTTGGGAGGCCAAGGCGAGTTCGAAAGCAGCCTGGCCAACATGGTGAAACCCTGTCTCTACAAAAAATACAAAAATTAACTGGGCGTGGTGGTGCATGCCTGTAGTCCCAGCTACTTGGTAGGCTGAGGCAGGAGAATCGCTTGAACCCTGGAGGCAGATGTTGCAGTGAGCCAAGATTGTGCCACTGCACTCCAGCTTGGGCGACAGAGTGAGGCTCTGTCTCAAACAAAACAAAACAAAAAGGTTAACCAAAAAAAAAAAAAAAAAAAAGAAAATATATATATATATATATATATATATATGGTGAAATTTCTGGCAGGAGTGGATCGAGGTGCTCAAATGATGTCATCAGGAATCTCTTTTTGTCCCTGTTTCTCACCTCTGCCTTCCCCTCTTTAGTTTACTTCTCAGCAAGCTCTCCTCATATGAGAACAAGGATTGCTGCTGGCAACCCCACCTTCTGTTCTACCAGTTCAGTAACTGCAGCAGAAAGATAGCTTTTCTTTCTCATTAGTGCCAACTAGACCCAGGGCTGCCTGCCTAGCCAGAGGAATGAGTGCCCTTGTTATACCCTTGTTAACCACTGGGATCGTCTCCAGAAATAGGGGAGTGGGTGGGGCTGTCAGTCTCAACTGAACCACGTGAACTGAGAGGAGAGCTTCAGAAGATAATCACAAGGCTGTTACCCAAAGAAGGGCCGGAACAACAGATGTCTTGAAGACACTGGCTTCAGTCAAAACCCATTTCCTCTCCCTGGCTTTACTGGTGACATTGTGTCTGTGATAGCTGTTAGCCCTTTACCTTGCTCTAGAAGTTGTAAAGTAGATTGTTTCTATTTTTAATATCTGGTTAATTAATCTATCTGGGAAACTTGTTTTCTTGCATGGATATATTAATATGGAGCTTTGTTAAACACAGCTCAAGTGTGCCGTTATAAATCTTTCAGTGATGATCAAATATATACCTTTAACTTATATGGTGATTTGATAATTGCATTTGGTCTTTCTCTTGAGATCTAAATATTGTTCATTTTGTTAATGAATGTTATCACATTGTGAGAGAAAAACTTAACCTGACTTTTTTTTTTTTTTTTTTTTTGAGACGGAGTCTCGTTCTGTCTCCCAGGCTGGAGTGCAGTGGCGCAATCTCAGCTCACTGCAACCTGCACCTCCTGGGTTCAAGCGATTCTCTTGTGTCAGCCTCCCGAGTAGCTGGGATTACAGGCACCCACCACAACACCTGGCTAATTTTTGTATTTTTAGTAGAGACGGGGTTACACCATGTTAGCCAGGCTGGTCTCAAACTCCTGACCTCAAGCAATTTGCCTGTCTTGGCCTCCCAAAGTGCTGGGATTACAGACATAAGCCACTGCGCCTGGCCTTAACCATGCCTGCTGCCTCTCCAACAAGCTCTAGATCCACACTTCCTACCAGCTGCCTACACCGCATACCTGGCACCCTGCCTTCCTAAGACTCGGCCTTGTTCATCATGGCACTTTTCCGTTCCTAAGCCCAGATATAGTTTCAGAATAATTTCTCTAACAGTTTGGTGTTCCTCCAACTTTTGAGAGGACTGTCAGAAGATGGAGGAAGAACTTGACCCAGGACCTCAGCAGTCCTTTCCTGGCATTGGTCCCAGTTATGCTTATAGAGCCATTCTTAAGCAAATCTCTTGAAAGGAGAAAGGGGTTACTTTTAGACCAATCTGACCTACCTCTGAATCTCGGGACTGGTCTCCCAAATATTTGTTATGTAGGGGTAGGTTCCTTTATGGAAGAAGAATAGATAAGTGATGCTGGGTAGGCAGCTGGCTGTAATTGTCATGTTGAATAAGCACACCTTGTGGGATGTGTAGCCAATCCCTTTATTCTTTATCTTCCACTGGCTCTTTGTATTGTCTTGCACCCCTGCCCCTGGATGAAAATTCAGGTGGGCCTGATATTTCTGTGGTCACTTCACACTACAGAACAGAATGTGAATTCAGCAATTAGAGTCTTCAGTCCTAAAGCATAACAGAACTTAAAGCCTAAGTTCCTTCTCCCAGTACAGGCCTGCTGCAGGGAGAAAGCCTGCAGTGGAGGAAGGGAGGGTGGCCACAGTGGGCATCTTCTCACTTTTCATCACTTGATGATTCTCTTTCTGCTCTGTAACCTGTTTCTGATCCCTCCTGTGTTGGAGCACATGAAAGAAAGGAAGGAAATGAGGACAGGAAACTTCTTCCTGAATGAGTGCAGGAGCTCTCTGGGATGTTGTGCAGGTGTTAGAGCTTATTCTTTCTTTCTTTCTTTCTTTTTTTTGAGACGGAGTCTCGCTGTCGCCCAGGTTGGAGTGCAGTGGCGCGATCTCGGCTCACTGCAGGCTCCGCCCCCCGGGGTTCACGCCATTCTCCTGCCTCAGCCTCCCGAGTAGCTGGGACTACAGGCTCCCGCCACCTCACCCGGCTAATTTTTTGTATTTTTAGTAGAGACGGGGTTTCACCGTGTTAGCCAGGATGGTCTTGATCTCCTGACCTCGTGATCCGCCCGCCTCGGCCTCCCAAAGTGCTGGGATTACAGGCGTGAGCCACCGCGCCCGGCCAGAGCTTATTCTTTCTTGAGTGTTTTCAAGGGGCATCCTTCAGAGACCACAGCCACCGCCGTGCTCAGGAGTGGTCACCTGCTTTTCCCCTGATGAGACCAAATGCCTCTTCATTCCGTTTGGTTGCTTATTCCTTCCATAGATCCTAAGAATCTGATAATAATGGGAGCTTCTCATTTCAGCCTCTTTTGCCCAGTGAGTAGGCCCAGGGTGACCTTCTGCTGGTTCTTTGTTGTATGTGGCCCACGTCCTTTGCTCAGACTAGGGGAGGGTGGGCTGATTCCAGCGGAGTGACAACTTCTCTCTTGTCCTCAGAGCAATTAGCCAGCCAGCACTTTATATTTTTCAGGTGTTACACAGACATGGTACCCACCCAACTTCATGGACCCATAGTGAGTTCTCTTGGTAATTTTGTTGAGCCCTTTTCTTGGGCGTAAGGAAGTGGGAAACAGACTTCCACTGCTCCCCCTTGAATGAGGTGGAGCAGGCGTCACAGAATGCCAGCTACCTCTGAAAACCTCCTCTGATCGCCACCTCCTGGACCTTTCTACCATGATTTGGATGAGTCTGCAACTGTTCCTTAAGAAACTTTGCATCTTGGCCCAACACTTCACTTTGGAATGTGGTATCTTGTATTTTGCTGCCTCAGAAGAAACTTATTTTTACATGCACAGCTTCTCAATTTGGTTACCAGTTAATTGAGCTTGCCTGGGAGATGAAACTTATTTGCTATTTCTGTGCTCAGCATCCTGGTCACAAAGATGGAATCTTCCTTATCTTCAAATCCCTGTGCCCTGGCAGAGTGCCTGCCTCATTCATTCAGTGACTACTTAATTTTTGAGCACTGTACCAGGCCCCTGGGGATCCAGCAGTGAACAAAGCAGACTTGGCTCCTGCTGACAAGGAGCTTATATTCTGGTGGTGCAGTCAGACATTAACTGCCACTTCATTACTATTGTGAGAAATGCTGTAAAGAAATAGAGCATCGTTGTGGAAGAGACCAGCAGTGAGAATCAGTTTGGTCTGGTGGCAGGGGATCAGGAGATGCTTGCTTTTTTTTTTTTTTTTTTTTTTGAGACGGAGTCTCACTCTGCCGCCCAGTCTGGAGTGCAGTGGCCACTATCTTGGCTCACTGCAACCTCCACCTCCTGGGTTCAAGTGATTCTCCTGCCTCGGCCTCCTGAGTAGCTGGGATTACAGGCTTGCACTGCCACGCCCAGCAACTTTTTAAATTTTTAATAGAGATGGGGTTTCACTGGTTGGCCAGGCTGGTCTTGAACTCCTGACCTCAGGTGATCCACCCACCTCGGCCTCCCAAAGTGCTGGGATTACAGGTGTGAGCCACTGTGCCCAGCTGGGAGATGCTTTCTTGCTTGATGCTGTTTGAGTTCAACCGTAGAGGGTAAGAATTGCTGAGGCTGAGGACAGAGGAGGTCAAGTCAGCTCTAGGACAGTGGTTCTTAGCTAGGTGTGATTTTGCCAAATGTCTAGAAACATTTTTGGTTGATACAGCTGGGGCATGGCATGGGGTTGATGCTACTGGCATTTAGTGGGTAGAAGCCAGGGATCCTGCCAAACATCCTATAGTGCACAGGACAGCCCCTACAACAAAGAATCATCCAGCCCAAAATGTCGATAGTGCTGAAGTTGAGAAATCCGGAATTAGAAGGGGCAAGAATGGCTGCAGGGCAGTTAGTCTACAGGACTGGCCTGGGACTAGGTCAGTGGAAGGACATAGGAAGAGAAATGGACAGATTCAAGAGGCTTAAGAGGCAAAATCCTCCAGTCCTTATGTTCCATTATGTGCTAGGCACTCCACCAACATCTTGGGATACAAAAGTAAGCGAGATAGACAAGTTCATTTGCTCTCGCAGACCCTACTTGTAGTTCTTAAGTGAATATTTGTTGAATGAATACTTATAAGCATCAAAATTTATTTTTGTTGCTGATTGTGACTGAACTTAGGAAGAGTAGTTTAAGTGAGGTGCCTAATGTATGTAAGACATCTTGCGTAGAGGCTGGTCCTAGGCGTTCAGCTAATTAAGTGCCAACTGTCCCATCTCAGGATTGTTTTCCATGTGGCCAGAGTGCTCATGAAGAAAGGACAGGAGACCACCCTGTGAGCTTATGCCTCTTAATCTTTCCTTAAATACAGAACAGGAGAACTCACAGTGATTTCTTGACCTTGGTGTGCTGTGTTATGATTGCTATGAAATCAGAGGGAGCAAGTCCTTTATTTAATATAGCTTGTACTGTATACTAATATATGTAGGCTTCCTATAGTTCCTTCTAAAATATAACAGGTGTAACTATAATAGATTATATATATTCATGATATATCTTTTTAAAATTTCTGCTGTTCTTTAGATTGTTCTCATCTTGCGATACAGATGCAGAATCTTCAGCAGTTGATTAGTCAGCCTATGTGTGATTCGTATGCATACTAAATTACACAGGAAAAAGTGATCTTTCAGAAAGACCAGGTCAGGTCACACTCATTCAGGGAGTGAAACTCATTCTATGATCAGACTAAAAACCATATTGCCCACTTTAAGATTACTTCTCAAAATTGCTTCATTTTTTTAGGATTCTAGTTTTTCTTTTTCCTTTGATAAACCTTTTTCCCCCCCTTCATTTTCTCACTTCATTTCTGTCTCTCATTAATTCCCAATTAGATAAAGCTTCTAAAGCAAATTTTCAGAAGTTGTTCATGTGACAGGCTTATGGAGGTGTTCACTTTGGGCCAGTGTATTAGTCCATTTTCATACTGCTGTGAAGACATACGCGAGACTGGGTAGTTTATAAAGAAAAAGAGGTTTAGGCCAGACATGGTGGCTCATGCCTGTAATCCCAGCACTTTGGGAGGCCGGGGCAGGTGGATCACCTCAGGTCAGGAGTTCAAGACGAGCCTGGCGAACATGGTGAAACCCTGTCTCTACCAAAAATACAAAAATTTGCCAAGTGTGGTGGCGGGCACCTGTAATCCCAGATACTTGGGAGGCTGAGGCAGGAGAATTGCTTGAACCTGGGAGGTGGAGGTTGCAGTAAGCCAAGATCGTGTCATTGCACTCCAGCCTGGGCGACAAGAGCGAGACTCTGTCTCAAAAAAAAAAAAGGAAAAAGAGTTTTAATGTACTTGCAGTTCCACATGGCTGGGGATGCCTTACAATCATGGTGAAAGGGGAAAGAGGAGCAAAGGCACATCTTACATGGCAGCAGGCAAGAGAGCATGTGCAGAGGAACTGCCCTTTATAAAACCATCAGATCTTGTGAGACTTACTCACTATCACAGGAACAGCATGGGAAAAGCCTACTCCCATGATTCGGTTACCTCCCATCAGGTCCCTCCCATGACACATGGGGATTATGGGAGCTACAATTCAAAATGAGATTTGGGTGGGGACACAGGCAAACTATATTAGCCAGGTTGTCTACTGTTGACTAAAGACACAAAGGGCTGGGCACGGTGGCTCAGGCCTATAATCCCAACACTTTGGGAGTCTGAGGTGGGTGGATCACCTGAAGTCAGGAGTTTGAGACCAGCCTGGCAACATGGTGAAACCTCATCTCTACTAAAAATACAAAAATTAGTCGGGTGTGGTGTCAGGTGCCCGTAATCCCAGCTACTTGGGAGGCTGAGGCAGGAGAATCACTTGAATCTGGGAGATGGAGGTTGTGGTGAGCCGAGATCGTGCTACTGGACTCCAGCCTGGGCAACAGAGTAAGACTCTGTCTCCAAAAAAAAAAAAAAAAAAGACACAAATATATTTAAGTTGCTTTCTGCTCTGGAGGAACTCATAGTCCAGGCAGGGAGGTGGACAGGCAAGTAGGCAAACTTGAAATGTGTTGTGATGAATGCAGTGCCAAGCACACTTTCTCAGATGGTGTGATACCTGAGCTTGGTCTGGAAGGAGATGGCTGAGTAAAGGAAGGGGAGTGTTTTTGTTTGTTTTGTTTCTTAAGGAAAAGATGCCATTGGTGTAAAGGTATGGATATGAGACATTATTAACTTCTAAGAACAAAAGTAGTTCTAAAGGGCTGCAGCATCTTTGGAGTGACAGGGGAATGAAGCCGAAGAGGCAGGCAGGGGCCAGTTTAGGACTTGCCTGCTGGGTGGTACTAAGGAATGTGAATTCATCCTGAAGAAAATGGGGACCATCAAAGGATTTTAAGGAAGAGAGTGATGAAATAAAATCTGTGCTTAGAACAGTTGCTCTGGAGGTAATGTGGAAGATGAATTGCAGGTGGGGGAAAACGGGCAACAGGAGACGGGGTGAAAATCCCACATCAAGTATAATGCTTCAGAATCCACAAGCTTTTTTGATATTTTTATTTTTTGAGACAGGATCTCGCTATGTTCCCCAGACTGGTCTTGAACTCCTGGGCTCAAGTGATCCTCCCACCTCAGCCTCCCCATAGCTGGGATTGTAGGCATGTGTCACCTTGGCTAGCTATTTAAAAAATTAATTACTTTAATTTTTAATTATTATGGCTATATAATAGTTATGCACATTTATGGAGTACATGTGATATTTTTATACATGCATACAATCTGTAATGATCAGGCTGGGTGCAATGGCTCACACCTGAATCCCAGCACTTTGAGAGGCTTAGGTGGGTGGGTTGCTTGAACTCAGGTGTTCAAGACCAGCCTGGGCAACATGACAAAACCCCATCTCTACAAAAAAATACAAAACTTAGCTAGGTGTGGTAGCACGTGCCTGTAGTCCCAGCTACTCTGGAGGCTGAGGTAGGAGGATCACTGGAGCCCAGGAGATTGAGGCTACATTGAGCCATGATTGTGCCACTGCTCCACCCTGGGTGACAGAGTGAGACCCTGTCTCAAAAAAAAAAAAAAAAAAAAAAGTGGAATGATAAAATCTGGGTAATGGGGATATCCATCATCTCAACCATGTATCATTTCTTTGTGTTGGGAACATTCTAGATCTTCACTTTTAGCTATTTTGAAATATACAATAAATTATTGTTAATTACAGTTGCCCTCTTGTGCTGTCGAACACCAGGACTATCTAACTATTTTTGTACCTATTAGCCAATCACTCTTCATCCCCACTGCCCCCACTACCCTTTCCATCCTCTGGCAACCACCATTCTATTCTCTACCTCCATGAGATCAGTTTTTTAGCTCCCACATATGAGTGAGAAATGTGAATGCAATTTGTTTTTCTGTGCCTGGCTTATTTTACTTCACATCATGTCCTCTGGTTCCATCCATGCGCTGCAAATTACAGGATTTTATTCTTATTTATGGCTGAATAATATCCCATTGTGTGTATAAACCATTTTCTTTATCCATTCATCCATTGATGGACACTTAGCTTGCCTCCAAATCTTGGCCATTGTGAATAGTGCTGAAATAAACATGGGAGTGTAGATAGCTCTTCATTATACGGATTTCCTTTCTTTTGGGTTTATACCCAGTAGTGGGATTGCTAGATCATATAGTCGTTCTATTTTTAGTTTTTTGAGGAATCTTCAAAGTGTTTTCCATAGTGGCTATACTAATTTACATTCCCACTAACAGAGTACAAGCATTGCCTTTTTGCCAAGTCCTTGCTAGCATTTCTTATTTTCTGTCTTTTTGATAATAGCCACTTTGACTAAGGTGAGATGTCTCACTGTGGTTTTAATTACATTTCCCTGATAACTTGTAATGTTGAGCATTTTTAAATATACCTATGGCCACTTACATGTGTCTTCTTTTGAGAAATGTCTATTCTGATATTTTGCCAATATTAAAATCAGATTATTTGGGTTTTTTTATGCCATTGAGTTGTTTGAGTTCCTTATATATTCTGATTATTAAACCCTTGTCAAATGAATAGTTTACAAATAATTTTTCTCATTCTGTAGGTAGTCTCTTCATTTTGTTGATTGTTTCCTTTGCTGTGCAGAAGCTTTTTAGATTGATGTAATCCCATTTGTCCATTTATCTTTGGCTGTGTATTCTCTTTAGGTCTTACTCCGTAAGTCTCTGCCCAGATGATTTTCCTGAATTTCCCCAGTTATTTTCTTCTAGTAGTTTCAAGTTTCAGGTCTTAGATTTAAGTCTTTAATCCATTTTGATTGAGTTTTGTATGTGGTGAGAGGTAGGGGTCCAGTTTCATTCTTCTGCATATGGAAATCCTTTTTCCCAGCACCATGTATTAAAGAGACTGTCCTTTCCCCATCGTATGTTCTTGGCACTTTTGTCAGAAATTAGTTGGCTGTAAATCTGTGGATTTATTTCTGAATTCTCTATTCTCTTCCATTGATCTTTGTGACTGTTTTATACCAGCACCATGCCGTTTTAGTTTCTATAGCTCTGTGGTATATTTTGAAGTCAGGTAGTGTGATGCCTCAAGCTTAGTTCTTTTTGCAGTCTTTCAGGATTGCTTTGCCTATTTGGGAGCAGAATCAGTGAGCACTGAATATTGATTTTTATAATTGTACAAAGACCTGAAAGTAAAGTGTCTTTGTTTTTAGAGAGAGGCTTTTTTTTTTTTTTTGGAACAGGGTCTTGCTATGTTGTCCAGGCTGGAGTGCAATGGCTATTCACAGACATGATCATAGCAGACTGCAGCCTCAAATTCCTGGGCATAAGCAATGCTCTGACATCAGCCCCCTGAGTAGCTGGGACTATGGGTGTACACCACCATGCCCAGCTAACATTGTTTATTGCTGCCTTATTGTTTGGCTTTGGACAAGTCTCTTTATTTCTTTATAATATAGAAGGTACATCAGAATTCTTCAAAATCACTTACAGTCTAGCATTTAACAGTGAGCTGTTATGGGCCGGGCATGGTGGCTCATGCCTGTAATCCCAGCACTTTGGGAGGCCAAGGTGGGAGACCAGCCTAGGCAACATGGTGAAACCCCATCTCTACAAAATCCAAAATTAGCCAGCATAGTGGCATGCCCCTGTAGTCACAACTACTTGGGAGGCTGAGGTGGGAGGACTGCTTGAGCCTGGGAGGCAAAAGTTGCAGTGAGCCTGAGATCATGCCACTGCATTCCAGCCTGGTCAATGAAATGAGACCCTGTCTCAATAAAAAATAAAAATAAGTAAGCTATGATGCTGCCAGCAGTTTTCAAAGTATAGTTTGGGGACTCCTGGGACCCCAAGATATTTTTCAGTTATCCTTAAGTTCAAACCTAGTTTCGTAATAATATTAGGACATTATTTGCCTTTTACTCACATTCTCTCATGAGAGCACAGTGGAGTTTTCTCGAGGCCTACAGGACATGTGACATTGCAACAGACTGATGTAGAACAGATATTGTCTTCTATTAAATAGACATTAAAGAGATTTTTAAAAATTACAAAGTACCGTTTCTCACTTTTTTTATTTTTGAAAATATAGTTATTATTTATGAGAAATATGTTAATCTGTAATGGCTTTATTTATTTTTAAATGAGTATTTATTTATTTATGAGATGGAGTCTTGCTCTGTTGCCCAGGCTGGAGTGCAGTGACATGGTCCCGGCTCACTAGAACCTCCGCCTCCCAGGTTCAAGCAATTCTCCTGGCTCAGCCTCACGAGTAGCTGGGATTACAGGCACCTGCCACCACACCCGGCTAATTTTTGTATTTTCAGTAGAGACAGGGTTTCACCATGTTGGCCAGGCTGGTCTCGAACCTCTGACCTCAAGTGATCTGCCTGCCTCGGCTTCCAAAGTGCGGGAATTAACAGACGTGAGCCACTGCGTCCAGCCTAAATGAGCACCTAAATTTTTCCTCAGTTTTAATTTTAATACAGTAGATATGAATAAACATAATCCACATACATTTTTCAAAGCTGTTTGGAGTTCTCAATAATTTTTTTTTTTCAAGACAGGGTTTTAGTCTCGTTGCCCAGGCTGGAGTGCAATGGCTCAATGTCAGCTCACTGCAGCCTCTGCCTCCTGTGTTCAAGTGATTCTCCTGCCCGAGCCTCACCGGTAGCTGGGACTACAGGCTCATGCCACCATACCTGGCTAATTTTTGTAGTTTTTGTAGAGATGGTGTTTCATCATGTTGCCCAGCTGGTCTTGAACTCTTTTTTTTTTTTTGAGATGGAGTCTCGCTCTGTTGCCCAGACTGGAGTGCAGTGGTGCGATCTCGGCTCACTGCAACCTCCGCCTCCCGGGTTCAAGCGATTCTTCTGCCTCAGCCTCCCAAGTAGCTGGGACTACAGGTGCATGCCACCACACCTGGCTAATTTTTGTGTTTTTAGTAGAGACGGGGTTTCACCATATTGGCCAGGCTGGTCTCAAACTCCTGACCTTGTGATCTGCCCGTCTCAACCTCCCAAAGTGCTGGGATTACAGGCGTGAGCCACCATGCCCGGCCTGAACTCTTGAGCTCAAGTGATCCTCCTGCCTTGGCCTCCCAAAGTGCTGAGTTTACAGGTGTTAGCTACCATACCCAGCCAGTCCTCAATAATTTTTAGAGGTTAAGGGGGTCCTGAGACCAAAAAGTTTGAGAACTGCTGTTCCTAGTATTTAACAAGAAACATACGTTAGAAAAAAGAAATATATTGTATCTCTATCACGCAAATACAAATATAAGCCACTGTCATCTCTTAACACTCTTGCTCCATTATAATCCATTCTCCAGACTGCAACCAGAGTACATTTTTAAAAATGTGAATCAGATTATATCATGTTCATTGCACATAATAGAAAATCTGGACTCCTTTCAATGTTTTATATATGTCCCTAAATGTAGCACCCTACCCACTTCTCTGAAGAGCCTGTATCAGGTTACCAGTGTGTATCATGTAACTATTTCTACAAAAATGTCTTGTAACAAACTATCCCCAAATTTGCTGGCTTAAAATGGAGCAGCAAACTCCACCTGTTTTTTGTGTGGGCTGTAATTTAATAATGGCTTTTACGTTTTCAAGTGGTTTTTAAAAATTAATGTTTCACAACAACATGAAAATTATATGAAATTCATACTCTAGTTTCCCTTCGGATTGCATAAATCTTTTGCCTTTTACTAAGATTTCCATGGGGCTGGGTGTGGTGGCTCATGCCTGTAATCCCAGCAATTTGGGAGGCTGAGGCGGGAGGATCACTTGAGTCCAGGAGTTCAAGACCAGCCTGGGCAACATAGTGAAACCCCATCTCTACCAAAAAAGAAACCAAAAAAAAAAAAAACACACACAAAAAACACTTAGCTGGGCATGGTGGCACATGTTTGTAGTCCCAGCTACTCAGAGGCTGAGGTGGGAGGATTGCTTAAGTCTGGGAGGTTGACACTGCAGTAAGCCAAGATTGTGCTACTGTGCTCCTGCCTGAGCAACATAGTAAGACCCCATCTCTACAATCAAAAATAAATAAATATTTTCATGGAGAGGAACAACTCTGACTTTTTGTTTTATTTTTGAGACAGGGTCTTACTCTGTCACCCAGGTTGGAGTTCAGTGGCATGAACACAGCTCACTGCAGCCTCAGCCTCCTGGTCTCAAGATCCTCCTGCCTCAGCCTCCTTAGTAGCTGAGACCACAGGTGTGTGCCACCAAGCCCAGCTGATTTTTACATTTTTTTGTAGAGATGGGGGGGTTCTCACCATGTTGCCCAAGCTGGTCTTGAACTCGTGGACTCAAGCAGTCCTCCCACCTCAGCTTCCGAAAGTGCTGGGATTACATGTATGAGCCACTGTGCCCAGCCCAACTTTGAGGTTTTTGCTAATTTTTTGAGGCCTTGCTTTGGCAAGGTGATATGGTTTGGATTTGTGTCCCTGACCAAATCTCATGTTGAATTGTCATCCTCCGTGTTGGAGAAGAGGCATGGTGGGAAGTGATTGGATCATAGTGGGGGACTTCCCCCTTGCTCTTCTCGTGTTAGTGAGTGAGTTCTCAGATCTGGTTGTTTATTTTAATTTAATTTTGTTTTGAGACAGGGTCTCACTCTGTCGCCCAGGCCAGAGGGCAATGGTGTAATGTCAGATCACTGCAACCTCTCTCTGCCTTCTGGGTTCAAATAGTTCTTCTGCCTCAGCCTCCCAAGTAGCTAGAATTACAGGCACATGCCACCACGCCCAGCATTTTTTTTAGTAGAGATGGGGTTTCATCATGTTGGCCAGGCTGGTCTCGAACTCCTGGCCTCAAGTGATCTGCCCACCTCGGCCTCCCAAAGTGCTGGGATTACAGGTGTGAGCCACCACGCCCTGCCTGAGATCTGGTTGTTTAAAAGTGTGTAGCACCGGCCGGACGCAGCGGCTCAGCCTGTAATCCCAGCACTTTGGGAGGCCGAGGCAGTTAGATCACCTGAGGTCGGGAGTTCGAGGCCAGCCTGGCCAACATGGTGAAACCCCATCTCTACTAAAAATACAAAAATTAGTTGGGTGTGGTGGCAGGCACCTGTAATCCCAGCTCCTTGGGAAGCTGAGGCAAGAGAATCACTTGAACCCGGGAGGCAGAGGTTGCAGTGAGCTGAGATCTCACCACTGCACTCCAGCCTGGGTGACACAGTGAGACTCCATCTCAAAAAAAAAAAAAAAAAAGTGTGTAGCACCCTCCTCCTTTGCTCTCTTCCTCCTTCTCCGGCCACGTAAGAGGATGTGCCAATTTCACCTTCGCCTTCTGCCATGATTGTAAGTTTTCTGAGGTCTCCCAGAAACGCTTCCTGTACATCCTGCAGAACTGTGAGTCAGTTAAACCTCTTTTATTTATAAATTACTCAGTCTTAGGTAGTTCTTTATAGCAATGCGAGAACAGACTAATCCACAGAGATAGAGTAAAAAAGAAAAAAAAAAAAAGAAAAAATTATGTGAAATTTAAATGTCAGTTTCTGTAATTTGAGTTTCATTGGAACACAGCCATGTCCATTTATTTACATGCTGTCCGTGGCTATTTTCACATTACAGTGGCAGAATTAAATAGCTGAGACAGAAACTATATGGCCTGCAAAGTCTAAGATGTTACTATTTCGTCTTTTACGGAGAAAGATTTCCAGTCCTTGATTTACAGTGGCAATTACTTGCTCTCTGGATGTGCAGGTCATTGGTTAACTGATTGGGGTTGGACTTGGTTGGCTCTGCTCCACGGGTCTCTCATCCTCCAGGGACCAGCCAGCGAACCTGGTTGTGTTCTTCTCAAGGCAAAGGTAGAGGCTGAGAGATCCTCTAGATACTCGCAAACCCTTCTGAGGTGTAGGCTCAGAACTGCTGCAGTCACCGTCTTTTTGTTCTTTGAAGGCATTCAACTTTTCTTGCCTTAGGAGCTTTGTACTGGCTGTTCCATGAGCAGGAGAGCACTCCCCCCAGATCATCTGGTGACAGGCTTTCTTGTCAACATAGGTCTCAGCTGTAACACTTCACTTGGGCCTTCCCCACCACCTGTCCCAAAGCAGCCTCTTTCCCCAAGTCCTTCTTTATCACATTCCCCTATTTTTCCTTTTTTTTTTTTAAATAATACTTTTAGTGTCAGTCTGAAATTGTATGTTGATATATATGATTTCTTACCTCTCTCCTTTAAAATGTAGGCTCTGTGGGAGCAGGGGCCTTTCTGTCTTATTCACCACTGTATTTTCGGCCCCTGGAAGCCTGGCACCTGGAAGTAAGCTGAGCACAGAAATATTTTTTTCTACTGTCTAAATATGGAAAGGTCACCCATGGTGAGCAGTTGCTAAATTTGACCTTAAAAGAAAGAATGTGGATTTAGTTTATATATATGTGTGTGTGTGTGTGTGTGTGTGTGTGTGTGTGTGTATGTGTGTGTATATATATATATATATATATATATATGAAATTGGAGTAGACTTTATATTTTAGAGCAGTTTAGGTTTACAGAAAAATTATATGGAAGGTACAGGAAATTCCTGTATACTCCCTCTCCCCTAAATAGTTCTCCATACATTTTTAATAGGCTTGTTTTATTTACTTATTATTATTTTTAGAGACCGGGTCTTGCTCTGTTGCCCAGGCTGGAGTGTAGTTGTACAGTCAGCTCACTGCAGCCTTGAACTCGTGGCCTGAAGAGATCTTCCTTCCCTCAGCCTCCCAAGTAGCTGGGTGTACAGGCACACACTACACCTTTTTTTGTAGAGACTGGGTCTCACTATATTGAACTCCTGGTCTGAAGGGATTCTCCTGCATTGGCCTCCCAAAGCAGTGGGATTACAGGTGTGAATCACCATACCTGGCCTGTTTCCCCTAAAAACACCTTGGGTCAGTGTGGTACATTTGTTATAGTTGGCAAATCAATATTGATAGATTTTTTATTAACTAATGTACATAGATTACACTAGGATTCATTCTTTGTTTTATACAGTTCTGTGGGTTTTGACAAACGCATAATGTCCTGTGTCTACCACTACAGTATTGTACAGAATAGTTTCACTGCCCTGCAGTTGTTCTTGCTCTGTGCTTCACCTATTCATTCCCATCTTCTCCTTCCTCCCCACTGGCAACCACTGATCTTTTTGCTGTGTCTGTAGTTGGGCCTTTTCCAGAATGTCATTTCTTGGAATCACATAATATGTAACCTTTTCAGTTTGCTTCTTTCCTTTAGTAATATTCATTTAAGTTTCCTCTATGTCTCTTCATGACTTGATGGCTCTTTTCTTTGTAGCACTGAATAATATTCCATTGTCTGGTGCCATTCACCTTTTGAAAGACATCTTGATTGCTTCCAGTTTGGGGCAATTATGAATAAAGCTGCTATATACGTTTATGTGCAGGTTTTTATATGGACACAATTTTTCAACTCAGGTAAATACTTAGGAGCATGACTGTGATAAGCCTATGTTTAGCTGTGTGAGACACTGACAAACTGTCTTCCAAAGTGGCTGCACCATTTGAATTCCCACCAGCAATCAATGAGAATTCCTGTTGCTTCACATCTTTCCCGGCTTGGTGTTGTCAGTGTTTTGGATTTTAGCCATTCCATTAGGTGTGCAGTGGTATCTTATTGCTGTTTTAATTTGTTATTCCCTAATGACATGTGATGTTGAGCATCATTTTATATACTTGTTTACCATCTGTATGTTTTCTTTGGTTGGGTATCTTCAGATTTTTTTACCCAGTTTTTAATTGGGTTGTTTGTTTCCTTATTGTTGAATTTTAAGAGTTCTTTGTATATTTTGGATACCAGTTCCTTATCAGATATGTGTCTTACAAATATTTTTTCTCAGTCAATAGTTATCTTTTTATTCTTTTAACAGTGTCTCCCAGAGCAGAGCAGAAGTTTTTTTGAGACCGAGTTTCGCTTTTGTTGCCCAGGCTGAAGTGCAATGATGCAATCTTGGCTTACCGTAGCCTCCGCCTCCCGGGTTCAGGCAATTCTCCTGCCTTGGCCTCCCAAGTAGCTGGGATTACAGGCATGCACCACCACGCCCAGCTAATTTTGTATTTTTAGTAGAAAGATGGGGTTTCTCCATGTTGGCCAGGCTGGTCTCGAACTCCCGACCTCAGGTGATCCACTCGCCTCAGCCTCCCAAAGTGCTGGGATTACAGGCATGAGCCACCACACCTGGCCAGAAGTTTTTAATTAGTACAACTGATCAGTCTTTTTCTCACCTATGGATTGTTACTTTTGGTGTTGTATCCAAAAAGTTACCATCAAATCCAAGGTCACCTAGATTTTCTTTCTTTTTTTTTGGAGACGGAGTCTTGCTCTGTCATCCAGGCTGGAGTGCAGTGGCGTGAACACGACTCACTATAGCCTCCACCTCCTGAGTTCAAGTGATCCTCTCACCTCAGCTTCCTGAGTAGCTGGGTCCACAGGTGCATGCCGCTATGCCCAGCTTTTTTTTTTTTTTTTTTTTAATTGCCCGGGCTGGTCTTGAACTCCTGGGCTCGAGCAGTCCTCCCACCTTGGCCTCCTAAAGTGATGGGATTACAGGCATAAGCCACCATGCCCAGCCATGTAACTTTAGAGTCAGTTTGTCTATATCCCCAAAATAACTTGCTGAAATTTTAGTTGAGTTTGCATTGAATCTGTAGATGAAGTTGGGAAGAACTGACATCTTAACAATATTGAGCCTTCCTGTCTGTGAACATGGAATTTCATTTGGATCTTCTTTGATTGTTTCCATTGGCTTTCTGTAGTTTTCTTCACAAAGATTTCATACATATTCATACATATTTTGTTAGAGTTATGCCTACGCATTTCTTATTTTTCTTTTTTAGCAGGGGGTGCTAACCTAAATTGTATTGTGTATTTTAGTTTCAAATTCCAATTGTTCATTGTTGTTATATAGGAGAGCACTTGACTTTTGACTTTTGTATGTTAACTTTGTTTTTATTTGTTTGTTTTTTGAGAGAGTCTTACCGTTGCACAGGCTGGAGTACAGTGGTGCTATTGTGCCTCAGTCCACTGAGTAGCTGGGACTACAAGTGTGCGCCGCCACACCTGGCTAATTTTTGTATTTTTGGTAGAGGTGGAGTTTCACCGTGTTGGCCAGGCTGGTCTCGAACTCTTGTCCTCAGGTGATCCACCAGTCTGGGCCTCCAGAAGTGCTGGGATTACAGGTGTGAGCCACTGTGCTGGCCTTGTATGTTAACTTTGTATCCTGCAGTCTTACTATATTTGCTTATTTGTTTCAGATTTTGTTGTTGTTGTTGATTCTTTGGGATTTTCTACATAGACAGTCATGTCATCGGTGAACAAAGACAGTTTTTTTTTTCTTCTATTCAAACCAAGATAGTTTTATTTCATCCTTCTCAATCTGTTTACCTTTTATTTCCTTTTTTTGTCTTACTGCATCAGCTAGGACTTCAGGTACAATTTTGAATAAGAATGGTGATGGGAGGAGGAGTCCACACTTGTCTTGTTCCTGGTTTTAGGAGGAAAGCATGTAGTTTCTCATCACTAAGTATGATATTAGGTGAAACTGTTTTTGTGGATGCTCTATCAAACTGAGGAAGTTCTCCTGTATTCCTAGTTTGCTGAACATTTTTATCATAAATTAATGTTGGATTGTCAAATGCTTTTTCTGCATCTATTGGTATCGTCATACAATTTTTCTTCTTTAGCTTGTTGATGTGAAGGATTTTATGAATTGATTTTTGGTTGTTAAACCAGGCTTGTATACCTGGGATGAATCCCAGTTGGTTGTGGTAAATAATTCTTTTTATATATTGTTGGATTTGATTTGATAATATTTTACTGAGGGTTTTCGCATCTGTGTTCATGAGAGATAGTGGTTTATAAGTTTCCTTTCTTGTAATGTCTTTGCCTTGTTTTGGTATTAGGGTAGTTTTGGCCTCATAGAATGAATTAGGAAATGTTCTCTCTGCTTCCATTTTCTGAAAGAGATTGTAGAGAAGTGGTATCATTTTTTTTTTCCTTAAGTGTTTGGTAAAATTCACCAGTGAAGCCATCTGGGTCTGGGGCTTTCTATTTTGGAAGGTTATTAATTATTGATTCAAATTTTTTTATAGATATAGCCCTATTCAGATGACCTCTCTCGTTTTTTGAGTTTTTGGATCATGTGTTTCAAGGAGTTGGTCCATTTCATCCAAATTATAAAGTCTGTGGAGACAGAGTTGTTCATAATGCTCCTTAATTTTTTAGGGGGGAAGGTATTGTAGTGATTTACTTTTCTTTTAAATTATTGTGGTTAAACATATATAACATAAAATTTGCCATTTTAGCTATTTTTAATTATATAACTCAGTGGCATTAGTTACATATACAAAGTTGTGCAATCATCACCACTGACTATTTCCCAAACTTTTTCATCGCCCCAAACAGGAACTTTGTAACCATTAAATTCCTCAGTCATCTCTTCCTTTAGCTCCTGGTTGCCTCTAATCTACTTTCTGTTTCTATGGATTTGCCTGTTCTAGATATTTTATATAATGGAATCATACAATATTTGTGTTTTTGTTTCTTGTTGTTATTTTGGCAGTTTTGGCTTGTTTGTCTGTGTTTACATGGGGAAAGAAAAATTGTAGCAGCCTGTTCCACCATTTTGCTGATGTCTAGCTCCAGACTAATAGTTTTGATTGTTGCTTTTTTTATATAATGTTTTATCAAACACTTTATCCCTTGACTACTTTGTAATGCTCCACAAAGGAAGAAACTTTGTTTTGGTCATTGCTATGTCCTCAGAATCTAGAATGATGCCACATAATATTTATTGACTGAGAAAATTAAGTTACTATGTTTTAAACGATTGTTTGAAAATGTGATTTTTTAATAGCTTTATCATATTTATATGAATGTACCATAATTACTCAATTTCCTGTTTAATTTTTAAATCATGTTTAATGATCTAAACATTAGATATTTCGTTTTTATCGGTAATAATGGTGATTATCGTACAGAAGCCTTTGGGTGGATCTATGATAATTTCCTCGGCATATGTTTCTTGTAGTGGAATTAACCAGATCAAAAGGCATGAACATTTATTTGTTTGTTTCTTTGGTACACACTGCCAATTGCTCCTCAAGAAAGGAGCAATTTTTTTAAATGGCCTAGCAGCTATTTTTTAAAAAAATAACATTCTTGACCTGGCTCAGGCCTGAATCCCAGCATTTTGGGAGGCAGAAGCAGGCAGATCGCATGAGCCCAGGAGTTTGAGACTAACCTGGGCAATGTGGTGAAACCCCATCTTGACAAAAAAATCCAAAAATTAGCCAGACGTAGTGATGTGCACCTGTAGTCGCAGCTACGCAGGAGGCTGAGATGGGAGGATTGCCTGAGCCCTAGGCTCAGTACATCAAGGCTGCAGTGAACCTTGATGACGCCACTGCACTCCAGCCTGGGTGACAAAGCAAGACCCTGTCTCAAAACAAAAACAAAAACATTCTTTTCACCTTTTATGACTTTTTAGCATTTCAAATTCATTTTTTAAAAGTCCTCTTCTTGGTGTATTTTAAAAATATTTTTAGGTAACAGTGTGAAATAAAATTCACTTGTTAGTGGAGGTAAATACATTAAGTTTCACAAACAGATATTGTGCAAAACTTCATTTCAGTAAACTTTTTTATGACAATTTTGCAAAAATAAAATTTGAAAATCTTAATTTGACTAGTTTGGCTTCTGGTTTACTAATTATACTAAAAGTATATACCAAGTTAAACCATTTTTTGTTCATATGTTGGTAATTTTTTTTTCACATGATATATTTTAATTATTTGCATCATATTTGTCTCCCCAGTAGTCTGTGAGCCCCTTGTGGGTTGTAATAAGTTCAGTGTTGTATCATAATTTTAATACCTTATACATCCTATAGTACTTTGTAGTTGTCAGAATATTTTATCAGCTCACTTGAATTTTCTAACAACCCCTTAGGGGATAAGATAGTATTATTTAAATTTTACAGTTGAAATTTAGGGTTAAGTTGACTTGTCTAAAATCACAAAACTGGAGCTTAGGTCCAGTTGTTCTGACTTGCCACCTTGTGTATTTTTGTGACAGTCTTTAAGGTTTGAATAGCTGCAGCACTAAACAAACTTAGTGCCGTGACCAAAATCTGTATTTCTATTTGGCCCATTATGGTGACCACTAACTGCATGTGGCTACTGAGTGCTTGAAATGTGGCTAGGTGATTAAGGTAGTGAATTTCTTATATTACTTAGTTTACGTTTTAAATAATGACTTGTGGCCACATACCATATTGGACAGTGCAGGTCTACCCTCATAGGTAGAATAACTATTTGCCAGGACATTATAACAAGAACTCAAACATTGGCTGCAGAGTAGGGCACTGGATTCAAAGTTCTTCCTGTAGAATTCGGTGATTCTGAAAACTCTGAGCAATAAAACAAACAACATAGATATATTCAGAAAGTCGGTTTGAATACTTTTTGAAAGTATTTTTGGTAGTTCGTTGGTTCTTTTTTTTTTTCTCTTTCTCTCTTTTCCTTTTAGCCAAGTGTGATTGCTAAGGGTTCTTTTTGTTTTCTTTTAGATATGACTTTTATATAGTAGAGTGCATTGTCAAAGCACAAAGCAATACTTTTTTTGTTTTGTTTTTTTGAGACAGTCTCACTCTGTCACCCAGGCTGTAGTGCAGTGATGCTGATCTTGGTTCACCGCAACCTCCGGCTCCTGGGCTCAAGCAATTCTCCTGCCAGTGAGTGCTACCAGGCTTGGCTAACTTTAAAAATTTTTTTTTTTTAAATAGAGACAAGGTCTTACTATATTGCCCAGACTGGTCTTGAACTTCCAGGCTCAAGCGATCCTCCCACCTCGGCCTCCCAAAGTACTGGGATTACAGGCACGAGCCACCATGCCTAGACAGTATTCTTAATTCTGACTTCTAATACAATTTTCTTCCCTACTCCCCAACTGGCAAACAAATCTTTCTTTTTTCTCTACTCCTTTATTTCCATAAAAATCTCAGCTCTCTCTCCGTGGAAAAATATGTCATGATTATTCCTTTTGTCTAACAGTGTTTATTATATTTTAATCTGTACTCATTTAAAAGCTACACAGTAGTCCTACATCATTTCATGCAAATAAATGTTTAATCCTTAACAGGAATGTCAGCTCCTTGAGGACAGAGCCCTGATTTCCATTTTGTCTTCCTTAAAAAATCTGTTATGTTGTGTGTCTATTGCGGTAGAGAATCCAAAGAGGGTAGCCATGGTCTAGAAAAATGTCTGAGTTTAATTAGTGTTTGACTAAATAGTGGTCATCCATCTTCGGTTTGAATCATTTCCTTTAATTTATGTGAAGAGAAGAAATCATTCCTGTGTTAATAACCATTGAACTCCTAATTTTTTAAAGTTGTGCTTTATTGCATTAAGCCACTTTGCATCAGGAAAATGGGTGTCTTTAATCGAATGTGATTAGAAATGCTGCTGGCAATCAGCAGATTTTACTTCCTGGTTAATATCATAGGAGGAGGAGGTTTAGTAGAAAAGATAAAGCTTAAAATATCTTTAATATATCTTAGTCTTTCTTTTAGTGCCTCCATGCAAAACAAATTTTGTTTTCAGAAACTAAGAAGACTTTTTGTAATCTAGGAACATGGTACATTTATCTTTTCTTTTTCCCTTGTTGGAGGGAAGACAAGGTTAGAGGGACCTTGATTCTGAGGCAGCTTCTAAGGCCTCTTGGCATGTTAAAGTGCCAGTCTTTGGGGTATCACTTTCTGAGTCTACTTTCTGGACTTTTGAGACTTTTTTTTTTAAACTCAGCCTAATTCCCTGGAGATTCATTAAAGTTGATGAGAGATTCCATCTTTTTCAGCACTCTTTTCGAGTCCTGGCTTCTTACAGAAGTGGCATAGCCCAGGAGGTCTCCTCATGGTGTTATGTCCGGGAGTCTCCATCTGCCGTAACTGGAGATTAAGGATTTTAGTGGTTTTCTTTTTAGTATTGTCCTCAAGGGTGCTGGCAAGCTGATTTGCCAAATTAACTAGATCAGAGGTAGGCACAGTTTCCCATTCTGTTCGGGCCCTTTTGACCAGCTGGGAGAGTTCTTGAGAAAGGCTGTTCACTAACATGGAATAAAAGGCTACTTGAGTAGATTCAACATTTTCTTTAAATACAGCCTGGAGCCTACTGTAATAGTTGTACATTAGGTTCTTTCTTGGGCACAGGCCTGGAGGTTTTTCCAGTCTAAGGCTTTAGGAAGAGCCTCGAGAACAGACTTGTGGAGTGTTTTTTTTTCCTTCTATGCCTTTGACTCTATCCATAGTCTTTAGGGGTGTTTTTGTCTAAATCCCCCTCAGGATCATGGCAGTGAGCCTTGACCATCCAGTGTTGTGCCTGACCTTCACTGACAAGAATGTGAACCACCTACTGTGGGTCAGAAAAACCTGGCTGATAACCCTAAGTTACTATGTCCAATTAATCAGCAAATTGGTGAGGGTCCCCAGTAACCTCTGGAAGTTCCCTGGCAATGGCACGAAGTTCAGCCTTGCTCCAAAGAACAAAAGAAATTTGGGGTCTAGAGGAATTGTCAATAAGTTTAATTTTCATTTCTTTCTTTCTTCTTTCCTTTTTCTTTTTTTCTTTTCTTTTCTTTTTTTTTTTTTTTTTTAAGAGACAGGGTCTTGCTCTGTCATCCAGGCTTGAGTGTACTGGTACAATCATGGCTCACTTCAGCCTCCAACTCTTGGGCTAAAGTGATCCTCCCACCTTACCCTCTCAAGTAGCTGGGACTACAGGCATGCACCATGCCCGGCGAATTGATTTGTTTTTGTTTGTTTGGTTGTTCTGAGACAGGATCTCAGTTTGTTGCCCAGGCTGGCCATGAACTCCTGACTTCAAGCCATCCTCCAGCCTTGGCCTCCTGAGTAGCTGGACTCCAGGTGTGCGCCACCATGCCTGGCTAATTAAAAAAAATTTTTTCTTTTTTTTGAAGAGACAAGGTCTTACTATGTTGCCCCAGCTGGTCTCGAATGCCCGACTTCAATCGATCCTCCCTTCTTGGCCTTGCAAAGTGCTGGAATTACAGACATGAGCCACCACACTCAGGCTAGTTTAACCAAATTGTTTTATTTTTATTTTTTTCCTTCATACAGCCTCCTTTAACTTTAAAGGGACAGATTTTGGCGGGCCAGAGAAAGAGAGGAGAATAGAGAAGAAAGAAGGAAGGGGAAGTCTCATCTGTTCCAGAGAGGAAGGAGTTTGGGTCCTTAAGGCCTTGCTCTTTTTTAAATTTTTTTCCAGTTTTTTTTTTTTTTTTTTTTTTTTTTTTGAGACAGGGTCTCTTTCTGTCACCCAGGCTAGAGTGCAGTGGCACAGTAAATGCTCACTGCAACTTCCACCTCCTAGGCTCAAGCGATTCTGCCGCTTCAGCCTCCCAGGTAGCTGAGACTACAGGCACATCCCACCACACCCGGCTAATTTTTTGGAGTTGTAGAGACAGGGTTTTGCCGTGTTGCCTATGCTGGTCTCGAACTCCTGGGCTCAAGTGATCCACCCACCTCTGCCTCCCAAAGTGCTAGGATTAAAGGTATGAGCAACTATGCCTGGCCTTTTTTTTTTTTTTTTTTTTTTTTTTTTGAGACAGGGTCTCGTTCTGTCACCTAGGCTGGAGTGCAGTGATGCAATCATGGCTCACTGCAGCCTCCACCTCTTGGGCTCAAACAATACTCCAGACTCAGCCTCTGAGTAGCTGGGTCTACAGGTGTGTGCCACCATGCCTGGCCAATTTTTTATTTTTTGTAGAGATGAGGTCTCACTATGTTACCTAGGCTGGTCTTGAACTCCTGGCCTCAAGTGATTCTCCCACCTCAGCCTCCGAAAGTGCTGGCTTTACAGGCGTCAGCCACCTGGCCCTTGTTTTTTCTTAACTGTTTATCTTAATTAATTTTGAGATCGTGTCTTGTAGAGAGGCAATTTTAGGATCCTGAGTGTGCTTAGAAGCTTCAAGGTACCAATTAAAGTATGCCTCCCACTCAGATTTTTAATTATAGGGCTGCTGTCTTCTATTTGTTTTTTGTTTTCTTTTTATTTTGAGATGGAGTCTCACTCTGTCACCCAGGTTAGAGTGCAGTGGCGCGATCTCAGCTCACTGCAACTTCTGCCTCCCAGGTTCAAGCGATTCTCCTGCCTTAGCCTCCCTAGTAGCTGGGATTATGGGCAACTGCCACCACGCCTGGCTGATTTTTTTTTTTTTTTTTTTTTTTTGTATTTTTAGTAGTGATGGGGTTTCACCATGTTGGCTAGGCTGATCTTGAACTCCTGACCTCAAGTGATCCTCCCTCCACGACCTCCCAAAGTGCTGGGATTACAGGCATGAGCCATTGCACCTAGCCCTAATTTTGTTCTAAGACAAGTTTGCGGACCCAAAAGATCTCCAGGATGGCCATCCAAATTAGTTTTGATGTTCTCTATCCATTGATTTAAAATTGTTCGCAAGAGAAGACCATAATTTTTTTTTAATTAAAAAATTTTTTATAATAGGGAAAAAATAGAGACGAGGTCTCACTGTGTTGCTCAGGCTGGTCTTGAGCTCCTGGGCTCAGGCGATCCTCCCAATTCATCCTCCCAAAGTGCTAGGACTACAGGTGTGAGCCACCACACCTGGCCAAAGATAATTTTTGAACATGTAGCTAGCTGGCAGAGGTCCCAGGAGAGGGACTATGATTGCATGCTTTAGCATTTTAGGATCCCATTCTGCTTCTCATTAATCTCCCAAGAGCAAAATAAGAACCTTATAAGCCCTGTCAGGGAATGTTTGGGGTTTGGACCAGTGTCCAACAAACTCAAGTACACGTACAAGTGTATGGAAACAAGTCAGAACAAAACCAAAACCAAAAGTTCTCTCTATTGGGGTTCTCTTCTACAACGTTGGCAATTCTTTCCATAGAGTACCATGTGTAATGAGCATTAAAGATCTTTATGCCCCTCCTCTTCCCTCCCACCCCCACCCCAAATCTAGAGGCTGATTAGAGATGCTGTGTTTTGCGGCAGGTAGACCACTTCAGTGCCTTCAGTGTTGAACTCATGGGGTTCTGGGTGGCCATGGGCATTGTCCAATCAAAAGAACTTTAATAGAAGTACTTACTGGCAAGGTACTTCCTGACTTCAGAGACAATGCATCCAAGGAACCAGTCCAGTAAAAGAACTCTTGTTCAGGTTTTCTTGTTGTACAACCAAAACACTGACTGTTGGTGTTAATTTTTTTCCATCAAGCCTTGGGGGTTAGCAGCATTACAGGTAAGGAAAGCCCAACAGCATTTGCACAAAACAGTAGAGTCAGCCTGTCCCTTCCCTTCCTGCTTTAAATCCTGATGCTTGCTTCTCTTCCTTACTAATAAATGTTCTTTGTCACATTTTTCCCATGATTAAATTTCATCTGTATTAAAAACATGTTCAGGCAGATATCCTTTCTCATCGATGATTTTCTTTGGGAACTGATCTTCTGCCTTTTGGTCTGCAGGTGCATCTCCTGTTATCTTGACATTTTTAAGCCAAATCTCTTTTTAAAATGATCAAACCAGTCTTTGCTGGCATTACATTCTCCTGCTTTAGACCCTTATTGTCCTTTTGCTTTAAGTTGTTATCTAACAACTTTGCTTTTTCTTGCATTATGTTAGTCTGTAGGTATGTGTTTCTTATAGCAATTCTGGACCCACGTTAAAGCGCATTTTCAATACAAGATAAAGAGGCATTTAGCAAAAAATGCAGTTTTCTAGCTGGGAGTGACAGCTTCATAATTTTTCATTGCCTTTTTTTTTAAAAAACAATGATTCTTAGCTAAATTCTTTTGTCTTGAAATGGCCAGCAACCACCACTGCAGACCTCAATCTATGGTACGTGTCAAACCATTCAACTTTTTCTTGTAATGACATGACTTTCCTCTGCTTCTTGGGAGCACTTCCATCGGCACTAGTGGCACTTTCTAAGAGTCCCATGATGTTCTTCGCAGTTTACGGTATTGCACTAAATATGAAAAATACGTAAGAAACATGAGAGATCACTTTTTACCGCAACATGCAGTTTACTAGAGAGACAAACTGCTCACGTGGAGATAATTAGTGTCACTACAGATACTCGCAACATGTGAGCTCGCTGCAATAGTAACAGGAGATGGGTACAAAATTATTTTAGTACAGTATATACTACAGTTGATTTTATTCGGTTATGATTTATTGCTGCATTTTTATGTTTGTTTACCTCTCTCAATTGCAAACGGTACCATGTACAGTCTGTGTTTGTATAAGTTTTGATACATTTTAACTTTTTATAATATAATAGATTTGTGTAAGTTCTGGATAATGAAAACAGAAGTGGTAGGTGCAGCTTCCATGATGTCTCCTTAAAGGTGGGGCATGTCTTTCCCTTTCCTTTCTGCAGTTGGAATGAATTCTAAATGCCTGGGCCCCACAGCCCATCTGAATGTAGCAGGGCCACTTCTTAGGGGCAGTGGAATAGGATGCTGGAGGAAGCCTGGTCAGGAAGGAGGGCATGTAGAGTAGAAGGAAAGGACACACAGAAAGATTAGATAGAAGGGAATGAGCTGGCAAAGGAGATGGAAAAGGAGCCACCAGGGCGACAGGAGGGAAAACCAAGAAAACATTTCCACAAAGAGGAACTGGGCAACTGCTATGAATACTTGAGTAAGAGATGAGGAAAATGCCGTTGAGTTTGACAATGTGGGGGCCTTGGTAAGGCCACTAAAGTGGTGAAAACATAAGTGATACTGGAGTGAGCTGAAGGGTGAGTGGGAAAGCAGGAGATGACCTTGAAAGGGACAGAAAATGTGGGGTAGAGGGACTCACTGGAATGGATATGGAGTGAAGGGAAGGTGTTCCCAAGGTACGGGAACATGTTTGCGTGCCAATGGGAATAATCCTACTGAAAGGAAAAGAGAGGCAAGGTCTTGAGAACACACAAGTTGATGAGATCCAGAGCAAATAGAGATTGGATGTCTGCAAGGTGGGGGGACACTTCCTCTGTGGTAAGAGGAATGAAAAAGAAAATGGGATGTATGTGTGGGTAGGTTTATAGATTTAGGGTGCAAACATGAGGGAACTTCTATCTAAAGCTTTCCATTTTCTCCTGAAATGTTTAACAAGGTCGTTAGCTGAAACCTCACAGGTAATAAGGTCCTTATCCTCCCATATCTTGTCAGTCCCTTATGTTTCTTGGTTTTTTGGTTTTTTGAGATGAAGTCTCGCTCTGTTGCCCAGGCTGGAGTGCAGTGGCGCGATCTTGGCTCACTGCAACCTATGCCTCCCAGGTTCAAGCAATTCTCCTGTCTCACTTCCCGAGTAGCTGGGACTGCAGGCGCATGCCGCCATGCCCAGCTAATTTTTTGTATTTTAGTAGAGACGGGGTTTCACCGTGTTGCCCAGGCTGGTCTCGAACTCCTGAGCTCAGGGAATCCACCCTCCTCAGCCTCCCAAAGTGCTAGGATTACAGGCGTGAGCCACCGTGCCCGGCCTGTCCCTTCTGTTTCTGCTTGTGTCTGTAAATGCTCTGAGAAGAGTCTTTCCTAAACTTTAGACGGATTCTGTAACTGCCTTAAAATCCTTCAGTGCTTCCAAGGCACAGAAGGCACGTCACGCTTAGGGCCCAGCTTTCTTTCCTAGACCCATTTCTCAACAGTTATCTACCTGTCTTCTGGACAAAGCCAGCCACACAGTTGCCCTGAAACAATTTGCCCTTGCTGCTTCTCAGCCTACAAGCATGCTCTTCCAACTGGCTGGCCCTGTCCTTTTTTCCCTACCTGGTGAACTCATTCTTCAAGACCCATTTCAAATACCACATCCTTTTAAACCTCTTTGATTCCGCTACCCCATTCCAAGCATGGTGAGACACTAAGTCTTTTAGTTTGTCCTTTTCAGGAACTGTAGCTTATTCACCTGGATCTAACACGATGTATGTGGTAGGCAGTAAGTGAATACATGAATTTTGATTTCTTTACCCATTTCTCTAGCAATTCTAATGAAATTAAAATGAAATGAAAGTTATATACTCTTAGTCTTTGATGCGAAGAAAACGTTTCTTTTTCTTTGTTCTAGGTGGTTCTGGAATGGAGCCGAGATCAATACCATGTTTTGTTTGATTCCTATAGAGACAATATTGCTGGAAAGTCCTTTCAGAATCGGTAAGATCTATTTTGGAGAAATCTATTATTTGGACCTAAATCGTAAGTCATGAAATAGCCATCCTGTAAATATGACAGTTTAAGGGGTCTTTCTGAGTTATAGATATGGTTTAATTTACTCAGGAGTATGCCCATCTGATGTGTTCACTTTAGCAGCACATATACTAAAAAAAAGGAAAAAAAAACTGGAACGATACAGAGAAGATTAGTGTGGCCCCTGTGCAAGGGTGACACACCAATTCATGAAGTATTCCGTAAGATATTTTTTTAAAATAAGGAAAGAAAATATGTCCATCTGAAGAAAAGTGTGTTCACCACATTTTGTGGGTGAAAAATCTGATTCACAGAGAGTAATCCCACCTTGTAGTTTATTGGGTACCTTAAATTGCATGATTGCATTTTCTGTCTCCCCAGGTCTGTGAGGTAAAGGGAATTTCATCCCCCTGTAGGATGAGGAAACCAGGTGGCTACTACACAGCGGTTTCTGAGCCCTGGCCGGAATTCTGTTGACAGCGTCCTGTGAAATGGGACCACTCCCCAGTAAACCACTGGGGCTGAACCCCACTCCATTGGTCACTCTTGCTGCTTACCTATGAGGGAGGAGCAAATAGCCTCATACCTCATTAGTGTGGGTCTTTCCCTTGGAAGGCCAAGCTTCTTAGTGCCGCCATTCTGGAACGCAGTCTTCACCATTTCTTGTCTTTGGGGATTTTTTTTTTCCTCTTCACAAGACAGACCTCAGAATGGAAACAATTTTTTTCAACACCCTCCTTCCCTTTTTGCAGATAAAATGAATCACACAAGTCCTTTCTGGTTTTTGTTTCTGTCTTCTCACTATTTTTTTGGTTTATTTTAGAAAATGTAGTAATTTCATTATAAAAGGTGTTTATTTTATTTTATTTTATTTTTATTTTTATTTTTTTTTGGAGACAGAGTTGCACTCTTGCCCAGGCTGGAGCGCAGTGGCACGATTTCGGCTCACTGCAACCTCTGCCTCCTGGATTCAAGCGATTCTCCTGCCTCAGCCTCCCAAGTAGCTGGGATTACAGGCATGCACCACCACGCACAGCTAATTTTTGTATTTTTAGTAGAGACGGAATTTCGTCATGTTGTCCAGGCTGGTCTCAAACTCCTGACCTCAGGTGATCCACCCGCCTCGGCCTTCCAAAGTGCTGAGGTTACAGGCATGAATCACCGCTCTCGGCCTATTCTCATTTTAAAATGAATTAAGTATTTTTAAAATGTTTCAGTTTTATTTTCAAATATGGCAAATGTGGATAATTATAACCTTATAAACTAAAGCACTTTGGGGTCCATACTAATTTTTTAATTTTAAGGGACCAAACAGTAAAAGTTTGAGGACCATTCCTTAATATAGCAGTTCTGAAACTTTAGCTTGCAGTGGAGGGCTTAAGAAAATAACAGTTACTTCCCAGCCCAGAGTTTCTGCGTATAGGTTTCAGAGGGGTTCTGAGAATTTGCACTTCTACCAAACTTCCTGGTAATACCAAAGTTGCTGGTCTGGTGCCCCCACTGTGAAAACTACTGCATTAAAGGATTTTTAATGAAATATAATTTTCACTTTAACAAGTTAATTTCCCTAAGGAAAGTTCTAAATTGATTAACATTTTAAAATCAGATATTTATTGATTTGTGCCTTATGCTGTGCCACGTGCAGATGGTGCACAGATGCATAGATCCCTGCCCCGAAGAAGCTTCAAACGTTTTTAAAAATTTTTAAATTGATTTTAAAAATTAATTAATTATTTATTTTTAGAGATGAGGTCTTACTGTGTTGCCCAGGCTGGTCTCAAACTCCTGGACTCAAGCAATCCTCCCATCTTGACCTCCCAAAGTGCTGAGATTAAAGGGATGAGTCACCATGCCCAGCTGCTTTAAACTTTTAGAAAGAAAACTAGCTTATTAGAAAATGCAGATTTTGAGGTCAGCAGTTTTAATCAAACACTCTTGTTCTCTTTCTAAAGAAGTTTAGAAGGTTGCATTAAAATATAGTTTGATTTTTATGTAGGCATATATTCAAAATTTCCTCATTTTGATGATGACAAATAAATGGATCATATATAACATTTCACATGGTCTAATATATTTTAAGATACCATAACATTGATATATTTTCATTATTTTGCTAGTTTCTGTACAGATTTTTTATTTTTAAAATTTATTTATTTTAATAGAGATGGGGTCTTGCTGTATTGCCCAGGCTGGTCTCGAACTCCTGACTTCAAGCGATCCTCTTACCTCAGCCTCCCAAAGTGTTAAGATTACAGGTGTGAGCCACCATACCTGGCCAGTATAAATCTTTTTAAGGTTGTTTGCTCTGAATGAAAAAAATCCCATTCCATATGTCAGTAAAAGTGAATATATAAACTATTCACTGCTACTAATTGTGAGGCATTAAGTCAATCCGAGGCTCAATTTTGTCATCTGTAAAATGTGGATATTAGATTAAGAGCTATTGTATTAGATTAAGACTACAATCTCTTCCAACTCTTTGGTTCTAAAATACTATTGAAGGCCAGGCACGGTGGCTCACGCCTGTAATCCTAGCATTTTGGGAGGCCAAGGTGGGCACATCACATGAGGTCAGGAGTTCAAGACCAGCCTGGCCAACATAGTGAAACCCCGTCTCTACCAAAAATACAAAAATTAGCCAGGGCGGTGGTGGTTGCCTATAATCCCAGCTACTTGGGAGGCTGAGGCAGGGAGAATTGGTTGAACCTGGGAGGCATAGGTTGCAGTGAGCTGAGATGGCACCACTGCACTCCAGCCTGGGCGACAGAGCAAGACTCTATCTCTAAATAAGTAAATAAATAAATAAATAAATAAGTAAGACAAAATACTATTTAAGTTCTCTGTTTTCTCACCTACTTTATAGAATGTAGAACCAAGGGACTGTTAAGTGGCTTTAATATTCACTTAAACTAAACAGTGATTAAAATGAAAGTTATGTCAGTGTCATTGCTGCTTTGGTTCTGAGTTATGAGTGACTTAGTCTTAGTTTTCAGCTCCAAGATAATGCATTCCTTCTCATCTGTGAACCAAGATAGTGGTCTAGTGGTTAGAATGAAAGATTCAGAGTGTGACCATGTCTAATAGGAAAACAACTGACTCATTGACCTCGTGCAGATCACACAGTCTCCTTCCATTTGTCAGTTTTGCCAAAGTTAAATTGATCATGTAATACATGCAGTATATTATGTTTTAATCAGCTAAATAATATAATATAAATGATATATTAAAAATATTTAGTAGCAGGAAATATTTAGTTACAGGAAAGCTTAAGATGTAATTCTCCTCTCCTTTAACCTTTTCTTTTAAAAACACATCACTGAAGCAGTTTTTTAAAATTTATTTTTAGACTGAGCATAAATCACCTGGGAGGTTGGGAATGAGATGACCTTGGATAATTTACATGTGGGCAGTGTGAGGCAGATGGATTTTTTTTTAAATGAGAAAGACTGATATATATGATAAAGGAATGAACTAATAGTTAGGCAATAAATATGTATTAAACCCCACCCATGTAGGAGGAACTATTCTAGGCCCTAGGTATATAGTGGTGAACAAAATGAACTCATTGGCCTTATATAGAATTGGCATTTTAGTGGGGAAAAAAAGCGAAGTGTGTAACCTACATATAAATCAGTGGTTCCCAAAGTGCAATTTCTGGACCAGCAACATCAGCATTACCTGAGAGCTTGTGAGAAAAGGAAATTCTACAAACATTAGAATTTATTTATTGATAAATTCAGAAAAACCCTAGATAGGGAAACCTTTGCAAATCATTACAGTAGGGAGAGAGAGCCCGAAGGTGTAGGAAAGAGAGGAAATAATTAATGAAGCAGGGCACAGAATGCATGATAACATTTCTGCCCTAGAGATACTCCATCTAGTGGAAGATAGGGCTGCATGGAAAATAGCACAGCACAGTACAATCAGGATTCCTTACAGTTCAAAGTAGTGTGGAAGCTGCATATGAAGCTATAGATTCTCTTTGTGAGAGGTGAGGGAAGGGAGGGAATTGAGGAAGGAGGAGGTGGTTAAAGGAAGCATGAAAGAAAGAATGTTCTAGGCAGAAGGAAAAGCATATTCAAAGGTACAAAGTCCTGCAAGTTCGTTTCATCTTTGGACAAGGGTATACAATTGGATCATCCAGAACATAAGGTGCAGATTATGAAAGACTTTAGACCTTATTCTGCAGGCAGTGGTGAAACTTGACAAGACATTTGGTAAGTACTCAGCTATCACATATGCCAGAGAATAAGGTGATTCCTTATTTTCCAGATGAAGCTCTGGAACTCTGTTATCTCTTTGACCTTCATCTCAACTATTCTCTTCCATTTCCTCTCTCCCCTCTGCTCAGGGAACTCGCCTCTGGGTCCTTGAACAAGCAAGATAGGCGCCTGCCTCAGGGCATTTGCCTTTGGTGTTCCCTTTCTCTGGCACATTCTTCTCTCAGTTACCCACCTGGCTGGCTTCCTCACTTCCTTCATATCTTTGCTGAAATGTCACCTTCTTACTGAGGCCATCTCTGATCTCCCTATTTAAAACTGACCGCCCCGCCTCCCCATAGACACTCTTTCTATCCCCATTTGCTGCTTTACTTTCTCCACAACATTTAACATCATCTGACTTTATTTATTTGATTTACTTCCTGTCTTCTCCCTTCTGGAATGTAAGCTCCGTGAAGGCACAGATTTGGGCTTTGTTTTATTTACTGCTGAAACCCTAGCACCTAGAACAGTACCTAGCACATATTAAGCGCTCAATAAGAATTATTCAGTGAATGGAGAAACTCATCCAGTTATCTCCCCTACTTCTTGTAAGCTAAAGGTTGTTTCATTTCTGTTAATTTTTTTCTTTCCATAATTCAAAAGATTTAGCTACCAAATAGCATTTATTTTCCCACGAGATAATATGGTAGCAACTGAAAGTCTAGGCTGTGCCTGGGCTGTGAGGAGGACAAAAGGAGGGTATGCTTTGGTCCTTGGCCTAAAAATAAAACTGCAAAACCCATACAGTTTCTTGGAAAGTACTAAACTTGAAATAGCACTATCTAAAGAAAATTTGCCCAACCTGTGGGCCGTATGTGGCCAAGGACGGCTTTGAATGCGGCCCAACACAAATTTGTAAACTTCCTTAAAACATGATGAGATTTTTTTTTTTTTTGCGTGGTTTATTATTTTTTTTTTTTTGGCTCATCAACTATCTTTAGTGTTAGTGTATTTTATGTGTGGCCCAAGACAATTCTTCTCCCACTGTGGCCCAGGGAAGCCAAAAGATTGGACACTGCTGATCTAAAGTAGTATCAGTACCCAGATGTACACATGAACTCCTGTGTCATAAGTCAAAGTGGCATGCATCTGGGCAGGCCCCTGAAAGATGGGTAGGTTTTTGGTAGTGAGAGAAAAGGGAAGAGTGCTTTTGGCAGGGATAAAATCTGGGTAAAATCACTAAGGTGAGGCTTAAACAACATACTCAAGAATTAAAAGCCTGCCTGACTCTTTATTATGAGGACAAGATGATCAGGAAGAAATGGTGCAAGTTCAGGAAGGTCTTCTGTACTAGTGTCTCATATGTCAGCATATACTTATTGGTCACCTGTGTGCCAGGCACTCTTCTCATTGCACAGATACTTTAGAGAACAAAGCATGAAAGTTTTC
This sequence comes from Homo sapiens, assembly GCF_000001405.40. Classification (NCBI taxonomy): domain Eukaryota; kingdom Metazoa; phylum Chordata; class Mammalia; order Primates; family Hominidae; genus Homo; species Homo sapiens. Next base: position 101,790,992 of record NC_000012.12, on the reverse strand, counting down.
TGCTTTCTTGGAGCTTACATTCTAGGAGAGGGCCACACATAATTAACGGAATAGGTTACAAGTTAATTATTTAATATGTTACAAAAGTAGTAAGTGCTGTGAAAAAAAAAAGGAAAAGCAGAGGTGAGGCTGGGGAGGGTGCAGGCTTGCGGGGGAGCAAGGCACAAGAAGGCTACAGCATTAAGTAGGGTTAGGTCTTCATTGTGGGTTTTGATAACTTTTTTTGTAATTTGTTCTTTTTTTTTTTTTTTTAGAGACAAGGCCTTGATCTGTCTCCCAGGCTGGAGTGCAGTGGTACGATCATAGCTCACTGTAGTCCCACCTCAGCCTTTTGAGTAGCTGGGACTACAGATGCACACCACCATACCCAGCTAATTTTAAAAATTTTTTGTAGAGACAGGTTCTCACTATGTTGCCCAGGCTGGTCTCAAACTCCTGGGCTCAAGTGATCCTCCCACCTTGGCCTCCCAAAGTGCTGTGGTTATAGGCGTGAGCCACTGTGCAGAGCCTGTAATTTTGTTCTTTAAACTTCTAATTTATTTTCTATGTTTGACGGCATTTGCATCCCAGCTCCCTTCTTTGCTAAATTATGAGAACAGGCAGTTTAATGTAAACTGAACTTCCAAGACTACTCTACTTCACCCACGAACAATCTTTAAATCTAATATTAGCCTTCTTACAGAGTGGCTGTGTGCATCAGGTGATGCAAATTACCTAAGTGTCTAGCATAATACAACTCACAGAGGAGGTACTTGACAAATATTAGCCCCCCAGCTACAGTTTGAAAACATGCAGTTCTGTGATAATATGTCATGGTTGGATTACTTCTTCAGAGATTTTTTTCATAATCTCTGGGTTTAAACCCTGTGATATTCTTATTACCAAATATATTGGAAAAATGCATTTAAGCTGGAGGATTTGTTGGTTTGCCCTAGGCTTTGTCTGCCCATGCCGATTGACGTTGTTTACACCTGGGTGAATGGCACAGATCTTGAACTACTGAAGGAACTACAGCAGGTCAGAGAACAGATGGAGGAGGAGCAGAAAGCAATGAGGTAAAACTGATTTTTTTTTTCACATCAGATGGGTAATGTGGCGATGTAATAAGGTCTGAGGGTGGCACATCTCACATATGAGCATGAAAACCCAGTCATCATGCTAATGAACTACAAAAGGATCTGGTAAAACTGATTTTTAAAAAACAAAACAGGCCAGGCATGGTGGCTCACACCTGTAATCCCAGAACTTTGGGAGGTGGAGGTGGGAGGATCACTTGAGGCCAGGAGTTCAAGACCAGCCTGGGCAACATAGTGAGACTTCATCTCTACAAAAAATAAAAAGTTTGTTGGGCGTGATGGTGCACGCCTGCAATCCCAGCTAATTGGGAGGCTAAGGCGGGAGAATCATTTGAGCTCAGGAGGTTGAGGCTGCAGTGAGCCGTGATTGTATCACTGCCCTCCAACTTGGGTGACAGAGTGAGACCCTGTCTCAAAAAAGAAAAAGAAAAGAGAACAAAACAAAACACATAGTCCTGTGGGTACAAGTAAGCATGCATTAGAGAAGGGTAAGTTGATTTTCACAGTGCCATCCAAACAAACTTGCCCCTCAGTTCATGCCATTACGAGATCTTGGCAGTCATCCATCTGGCCTGTGTTTCTTGGTGCCCAAGGAGAACTCAGCCACTTTTGCCAGATACTGGCCTCACTTTGTTAGATGATGATTTTATGAATATGGTGCTCTAGTAACGGCTTGCTCTTCAAGGGACCTAAAGACAGAGGACCCCCTCCCCCAACCCGCTGGCTGCCTACTCACTCATTTTGAGCCCCAGGTGTGGTATCTTCTTGAAATAAGTGTTTATTATGAAAAATATCTCCACAGTAAGACAGATTCTTCCCTTGAAAAATATAATAGGCCCACAGACTTGTTTCCATTTGAAAACGGCAGTAAAAAGTATACTCCCTTTATGCCTTTTAGGAATAAATTACAGACTATGGAATTAGAAACTTTGGTACTTTTTATTTAATATATGAGATTGGTCATTTTATTTACTTTATCTGGGAAAGTTACAGCGGACTTCTGGATAGCCATAAGAGGTAGGAACCTGGCTGATGTAATTCCCCTTTGATTCGTTAGGAGTATTTCTTAGTACCTACTTGTTGACTTCTTTGTGAATGTCAAGAGTGCACCCCAGTGCAGGTCTTTGGCCACCTTATATTGGAGCAAATTCATTTTCTCTTTGTTAGAGGTTATATGACTTTCCCAGTGCATGAAAATGGCTGACAGCCTGGTACCATGTTTTACTAATAAAATATGAAAGTTTATGCTCTAAGCAAACCGTCTTGGTTACAGTGGGAGGTATAGTAGCCCATATGTATGTAATAAACTGTATTTGCTTTTTATTAGAGAAATCCTTGGGAAAAACACAACGGAACCTACTAAGAAGAGGTAAGCATTTTGATTTCCTCTCAAGAGTAAAAAGTGAAGGATTGAAGTGAAATTTCAGATTATCATTTGTTTTTATTGGGTACACAGGATTTTGTGTTTATTATCCATATAGTTTTTGACCCCAAATTAGGTACATCTATTAGACAGGAAATTTTGCAGTGCTGAGTGCATAGTTGACTGAGAATTCTGGTTATTTTGCTAACCAAAGCTTCACTGCACTGGGGAGGGTTAGAGTCCCAAGATTTCCTTCTCTTTAGTTCCCTCTTGGTGCATTGTTATCTTGGTCCACTTACACTGTATCTTCTACCCAGTATTTTCATTTATAAAATTTATGTCCATCATTTACTTATAGGTTCAATATATACATCCTTATCTTTAAAAGCTGTGAAGCTGTATATTTTATGTTTAAGAACCTGGGAAGGAGATTTAGCCCAACAACAAGAACCAAATACACCTATCTCGACTTGAGTCATTCCTGACTCTGATAGGTCCTTAAAACAAGACTGTCTCACTGACAAGCAATCTCTGTTAATTGTCACCTCCCCACTTAACCATCAGACTTTTAAAAACACTTATTGATAGAGAAGATCCTGAGAATTTCAAGATCCAGAAGTGCCTTTTTTTTTTTTTTTTTGAGACGGAGTTTTGCTCTTGTTGTCCAGGCTGGAGTGCAGTGGCGCGATCTCGGCTCACCGCAACCTCCGCCTCCCAGGTTCAAGCAATTCTCCTGCCTCAGCCTCCCGAGTAGCTAGGATTATAGGCATGCACCACCACGCCTGACTAATTTTGTATTTTTAGTAGAGACGGGGTTTCTCCATGTTGATCAGGCTGGTCTCAAACTCCCGACCTCAGGTGATCCGCCCGCCTCGGCCTCCCAAAGTACTGGATTACAGGCGTGAGTCACCGCATCCGGCCTCAGAAGTGCCTTCTAAGCTATCTTTTATGTTAATTATATAGCTTTATTTATAAATTATATTAACATTAATACTGTTTTTTAAATGGTTTTTAAATTATTTAAATAAAAGCAATGGTGCAACATGAAGAAAGATTGAGAGGAAAGTGAAAAGCAAAAACTCACAAAATTTTATAAATCTTATTTAACAACTGTTATTTTTATTCCCTTTTCATGCATATTTGAATAGTTGTAGTTTATAATCTGTGGGCAGTTTTGTATCCTTTTTAAACTTTATGTAATTATATGTATGTATCATGTTGATGCATTATCTTCATGCTTCATATCTTTCAGTTTTAATAGTTGTATAATATTCCATAAAGTGACTACTGTAATTTACTAAATGTTGGGCATTTCTGTATTTCACTATTGTCAATATTTCATGATACTTATATTTAGGTCTGTGGCATTTTCTGTGTGTGGGTTTGTTTTTCCTGTTTTGTTTCTCTTCCCTACTTGGACTGGACTAGATTCCTAAAAGTAAGATTACTGAGGACGAAGCTTATGTATGTTTTTATGGTTCTGAATAAGTATATATGTATACATATGTGTATTAGACAAGCATACATGTATATATTACCAACTTGCTTTCCCAAAAGATTTGGTGTCGTTTGGAGTGACACCAGCAGTATTTAAGAGAAGGAGATTTACTGCACTTGTGCTAATATTGAGTCATCATTTTTTGAGGGGTGCTAATTTAGTAAAGGTGATAGCTCATTGTTTTCTTTTACATGTCTTTATTAAGGAAGTTGAACAATTTTTTATACTGTTTAACTGGTTATAGGTCCTACTTTGTGAATTTTCTAGCCGTGTCCTTTGCCCATCCATTTGTTTATTCAGGTAATATGTTTATTGTAGATATTTCTTATAATCAGATAGAAATATCTCATATAAATTTATTTTAGAACCATGTCACAGTTGCTTTTGTTTACATCAGTGTAGTGTCACATCCAATGTATTTAGTTGTTTTCTAACTGGAATTGGTAACTTGTATCTGGTAACATGACACTCTATTAACCAGAATCTGCCTCCTTCCTAATCTGTCCAATAATGGGCTTTATTGGAATTATGAATAATCTTTAAAAAATGATAGTAATGAAGTGCTTAATTTCATGTGCATTTTGGAATTAGTAAATATTGGTGGGGATCTTATTAATGGGAGTTTGAAAGCTCTATCTTTGGAGTTGGGTTTAACAATTTTATATCATACTTGCTAACTTAATTTTTGTATCCATGAGATAAAAGTCTTCATTTGTTAAAATATTATCATTTTTTATGGGCTATAAAAAAATCTGAAAAATTTAGTAGTATGACAAGCTTCTCATTGCTGATTAAATTTCAAGAATGTAATTGTAAGCATGTTGGTGTTTCTTTCCAGTGAGAAGCAGTTAGAGTGTTTGCTAACACACTGCATTAAGGTGCCAATGCTTGTCCTGGACCCAGCCCTGCCAGCCAACATCACCCTGAAGGACCTGCCATCTCTTTATCCTTCTTTTCATTCTGCCAGTGACATTTTCAATGTTGCAAAACCAAAAAACCCTTCTACCAATGTCTCAGTTGTTGTTTTTGACAGTACTAAGGATGGTAAGATCTTTTTATGGATATTTTAAAATCATGTTATCATTGGATGTTTGAATAACAAAATTCTGAGTGGAATAGAAATGATTCATTCTTAAATGTCTGATAAACTTTTCTAAAAATGCACAAAGAGAAGCAAAACAGCTGCTATTGTATTTTGGCCTTAACCTCAAAAAGGGATTGCTGCATATATTTTACTCTGTGTAATACACATACCTTTCTGTGCTGTGATGAGGACTTTCAATCTGATATCACAATTACCTTGTTCTCTTGGCTCTGAATTATTCTAGAGGCAATTTTTCTACTATATAACTCCTCTACTAGGTAGCGTTCTGCAGTTTGGGCAGAACATACCTGGAGTATTGATTCTTTACATTCTGAAATATATGAACTGAATGTGTTTCCTCCAAAATTTGTATGTTGAAATCATAACACCCAGCATGATGGTATTGGGAGGTGGAGCCTTTGATGGGATTAGTACCCTTATAAAAGAGATCCCAGGCTGGGCATAGTGGCTCATGCCTGTAATCCTAGCAATTTTGGGAGACTAAGAAGGATTGCTTGAGCCTAAGGAGTTCAAGACCAGCCTGGGCAACATAGTGGGAACCTGTCTCTACCAAAAAACAACAACAGCAACCAAAAAAACACACAGCTGGACATGGTGGTATGTGCCTGTAGTCCTAGCTACTTGGGAGGCTAAGGCAGGAGGATCACTTGAGCCCAGGAATTCAAGGCTGAGCAGTACTCCAGCCTGGACAGTAGAACGAGGCCTTGCCTCAAAATAATAAATAATAGCAAAAGAGACTCCAGAGAGCTCCCTCTGCTCTCCACCATGTGACGTTATGAGAAGATGCCATCTGCAACCTAGAAGAGTACCCTCACCAAAACCCAAGCGTGCTGGCACTCTGATCTCAGACTTTGGCCACCAGAACTGTGAAAAACAGATTTCTGTTATTTATAAGACAACAGATGATTTGGGCAGATAATGGAATTAAAATGGTAATTCCTGGCATAAAACTGCACCCACATCCTTAGAGATCCCATTCTCCCACTTGACCAGTGTACTGCTGAGCCCATAACCTGCGTCTTCTGCTCTAGCCTCTTGTCTGTCTCATTCCTCCTCTGCATGGATTGTCTCTATTTGGAAGGTCCGTGGTTTTTATGTGTAAAATGAAAGCTGCCGTGTTCCCTTTCCAACACCAAGTCTAGTTCTCTAGCTCCCATTCTATCAGTGTCATACCTCCCAGCTTAAATCTTTGGAACCATCTTTGACTCCTTACTTTTTACATCTATAACTAATAATTAACTTCATCCTATGACTTGCTTTTTTTTTTTTTCCACATGATTCTTAGGTTCTTACCTTACTTATTTCCTCCACACCAGACTGAATTCCCTCACACAGACTCCAATAATCGGACTCCTGCTCTGTCTATGTAAAGTCCATCTCAGTCTGTCTGGCACACAGGTCTCACATAAATCTGAAAACCCTGATTTTATGGGTTCACTGCCTTTATGAAAAGAATAATATAGCAGTTCATGTTTGCTTTTCACATGGATACAAACTTCTCTTCCTGGTGTTTGGGATTCAGCTCTAATTGCCTTGATTTTGTCAGTTGATCCCCACATCCCTGCCCTCCCTGCATCACATTGCAGCTGTCAGTGTCTTCACACATGTGGTGCTAGGCCTTGTGTCCCACTGCCTGTCCCCTTCCCCTTCCCTCTCAGTACATCCCCTGCTTCGTCCAGCCCCACTTCAAGTCCTCTCTCCTTCATGAAGCTCCTGGACTAATATATTCACAATGATTTTATTTTTACTTTTCTGTATTTCTGTAATACTTATAATCTAACTCATGACTTTAGGTTTTGATTGCACAGGAGTTTATGGTTTTTCTCATGGAATTTTTTTATTGAACAGAAAACTTACCACTCACCAGTTTATATCCTGATCAGTGTCTAACAGTGCTCGCTCCCTGATACTTAACAAGTTATTTTTAGTTTGAGGTTGGGTGTGGTGGCTCACGCCTATAATCCCAGCACTTTGGGAGGCCAAGGTGGGCAGATTGCTTGAGCTCAGGAGTTCAAAACCAGACTTGGTAACATGGCAAAACCCTGTCTCTACAAAAAAAAAAACAAAAATTAGTCTGGCATGATGGCATGCACCTGTAATCCCAGCTACTTGGGAGGCTGAGATGGTAGGATCGCTTGAGCCTGGGAGGTTGAGGCTGCAGTGAGCTGAGATTGCACCACTGATCTCCAGCCTGGGCAAGAGTGAGACCCTGTCTGAAAAAAAAAAAAAAGTTATTTTTAGTATGAAAGGAAATGTTAACCTTTCCAAGTATAAATGTCTGCCCCTTCACTCTATAGATCCTGAACTGATTTGTACCTCAGCACTCACATATTCGAACTGCAGCCTGGAGCTGGGTCTACTCAGCAAAGTAGTTTTTCCAGTCAAGCTTATACTTTTTGATTTATAGCAAACAAATTTCCTCCAGTGGCAATTCATTTTACCTCTAGACTAAACTGACTTTTAAAAGGAACCACAAACTGCTTCCTTATAACTTTCTCACGTAGGTTAAAGCTGTGCCTCCTATGGTCACACAGAACTCACGTAATCCCTCTCCCTTGGGACATTTTATTTTCCTTTCTTTGGCTGTCTCTCAGGGACTTGTCAGTGTCCCAGTTTGCTCTTCTCAGATTACTTTTAAAATGTGTCAATGGGAAGTGAACATTCTATTTTAGTGTGGTTCTGTCTTGGCAGGGAGAGCAGGACTGTCTGTTTAATGAGTGCTTATTAAGTGCCTGCTGTGTGCCAGGTACTGTTCCCTGTACTGAAGATACAGCAGGGAACAGATGGGCAAAAATCTCTACCCTTACCTTGTGTTTACATCTTGGTGGAGGGAGTCAGAGAGTCAGACGGTAAACACGATAAATAAGTAGATTACATAGTTTATAGAAGATAATGCTTTAGAAAAAAACCAAGCAGGGGCAGCAGCAGAGGAAGTGTCGGCCAGGGCAGGGGGTTGCAATTCTAATTTGGATGGTAGGGACATTGCTCACTCAGAAGGTGACTTTTGAGTGGAAATGTGAAGAAGGTGAGGTAGCCAGCAATGCGAATATCTGGGGAAAGACTGATCTGGGTAAGTAGAATAGCCATTGCAAAGGCCCTGAGGCAGGAGTGTATCTGGCATGTTTGAAGAAAAGCCAGGAGGCTAGTGTGGCTGGAATGGAGTGAACAAGACAGAGGCAGGCAGTAGATGAACCTGAAGAAGTAAGCAGGGGACCAAATAGTGTAGGCCCTAGTAACCATAACAAGGACCTGGCTTTAACTTGGAGTAGGATGAGGAATCACCAGAGGGTTTTGAGTAGAAATGTAATGTGATCTGACTTACATTCCAGGCAGTCAATCTGGCTTCTTTGGTGGAAATAGACTGAGGAGGGGCAAAAGTTGTGATAATTCAGACAAGAGGGAAGGTTGCTTAGACCAGGGAGGTGCAGTGAAGATAAGAAGTGGTTGGATTCTGGACATTTTGAAGGTCAACCCAACAGGGTTTCCTAATGACTCGGTGTTAGAGAACATCATCACCTTTTTTATTCGACGTACTTTACTTCTGTTTAAAAGCACAAAAATGTGATGGAAATTCAGTGTGGCCACAGCACATTGTTGACTCATACTGAACTCACTGTTGAGTAAAACTTATCTTTTTAAAAAAAAAACTTATATATTCTAATGCTCAAATACCTATTTTAGTGTATGCTTGTGTAGTTGGTTTTGGTACCATATATAAAGGTTTTACTTCATAGGAGATTTTATTTTGCCAGATTTGACTCATTGCTCCAAATAGTCACAAATTTGGGAAATCCATAGTCTCTTATCCAGGACAATAGCTTCTCTGCCATCTTCCTATGAATCTACACATTTCACAAGCATGCCTTCTGTAACTTCCAAAACATTGATAGAGGGTTCAGCAAGACCGGACCTATGACTAATCTCCTAAACCTCCCTCTAGGTTGATTGCGGCTTTGTTACCTACACCTCTTTGGTAGAATTGGTTAAGTTCTAGCCCACCTGAGCATCGAGCCTGTATGTCTTTGTTATATCCATGAAGATGACATGAGATGCCCTTAGCTACTTTGCTGAGATTACAAATACATATACCAGGTCTGTTAGGTAGAATTCATCATATCAATGGAAAGAGAGAGAGAAAAGTTTATCTGATAAAGTTGTAATGAATTCATACTCTTAACAGCCAGTGCTTCCTTTAAAGATAAACAGTGTATTATGAAGGCTTTCTTTTCTCAGTGCTCACCAACTATATTGTTTTTTTTCAGTTTTTGAGACCAGGCCTCACTCTGTCACCCAGGCTAGAGTGCAGTGGCATGATCATGGCTCACCACAGCCCCAACTCCGGGGCTCAGATGATCCTCCCATCTCAGCCTCCTGAGTAGCTGGGACTATAGGTGCACACCACCACACTCGGCTAGTTTTTGTGTTTTTTGTTTGTTTGTTTGTTTTTTGTAGAGACAGGGTTTTGCCATGTTGCCCAGGCTGATATAGAACTTCTGGGCTCAAGTGATACTCCTGCCTCAGCCTCCCAAAGTGCTGGGATTACAGGCATGAGCTACTGTGCCCTGTAACTATAGTACACTTGAGACTCATGCCCAGGATTGACATCTCATCTCATCAGGCTATAATTTGGAGAACCTGCCTTCTTTGTTTATCTTGAAGATCAGAATTGGAGCTTTCTGACCTCTCTTTTGTTTTCCACAATCCCTGAATGTCAGCAGTGAGTTTGTTGATCTCACTTGTCCCCATCACTAACTCTCTCCCAGTTGGGCTGTGTCACCCCCAATCCCTACTGTGACTTATGATGCTCCATTCAGCAGCACCCAATGAACTGGGGATTCATTATGAGAAAACTGTGCCTCTTAAGGAACCACAAGATCCATAGTAGCCCCCTGCTGTTAACATACATGCCACTGCCTGGTGTTCAAGGGCCCCTTTGGTTACCCTTGTTTCCTAGTACTCACCACTCCCAAATATTTTACTCTAGTCAAACAATTCTTTCTTTTTCCCCCTGTCTTTGCATATACATCTGTGATTTCTATCATCCTATCATTTCTGTCTTCGCATTCTAGCTTAAATTTGACTGCTCCCATGAAGAATTCCCTTTATGTCAATCACCTTTGGTATTGTGAAATTTAACATTTCAACGTACACTGATTTACATTGTTCCCCTTTTGTTGAATGGGCTAATTTTGTCTCCTTCAGCTTCCTTTTTTTGGACCATATATTATGCTGCTTTAATAGCTCTCAGAATGTTTTCACAGTGTTCTGCCAGACACCATAGTTGAGTATTCATTAAAAATGTGCTTGTTTATTGTATTCTTGGTTGTAGTTGAAGATGCCCACTCTGGACTGCTTAAAGGAAATAGCAGACAGACAGTATGGAGGGGCTACTTGGTATGTTATTTTAAATTTAATTGCATTTTTACAATAGACTAGAATAAAAATATGAATAATAAAGCTGTTTTTCTTTGAGAATCTTTTTAATGTTTATTTTTTATCTAAGGGTAGCTTACTAATATTAATGACTGTTGATTCAAGTAATCCTAAAAATCATATTTTGAAGCTTGTGTTGTGATGCAATAGATCTTTACCAGTTTTCTCAGCTGTAGGTTTTCACCAGCCTCATGATGTGGAAAATGAGTTATGTTTTTCCCCTTATTTTAGACAACAGATAAAGAAGTCCCTGGATTAGTGCTAATGCAAGATTTGGCTTTCCTGAGTGGATTTCCACCAACATTCAAGGAAACAAATCAACTAAAAACAAAATTGCCAGAAAATCTTTCCTCTAAAGTCAAACTGGTAAGAACATAGAAAATAGAGCAATTAGCCTGGCACATTCTCATTTAATGTGTGATTCTTTTCTTGTGGTCCATTTTTTTCCCCCAAAGTTTAGCTGATAAACATAAGAAGCAAAGAGGGATTCTGTTCTGCCAGAAGAGCCTCACTCCTTACTTTTAATTTGGGCAAAAATCTAAGAGTCTTATTTGGTTTGCTTGTTTCCTGGATAGAGAAGGACTCATTTGTTTAACAGATGAGCTCCTACAATGTCTCCCATCCAAGTAGTAACCAGGCCCAACCCTGCTTAGCTTCCGAGATCAGACAAGATCGGGTGCGTTCAGGGTGGTATGGCCGTAGACGAGCTCCTACAATGTCTTAGGTGACATTACAGCTGCTGGGGATGCAGCAGTGGACAAAACAGACAAAGGCCCGGATGGAACTTAGGGTGTGAACAATGGAAGCATGGGAGGAGGAGATGAGGGGAAGTCATAAATGTCATCAATGCACACAGCCTGTTGTTTACCCAAAGCTTTCACTCATAAAGGTAGTGTGCTTCAGATACATGGAACATCTGCTAATGAGAACCATTCATTAGTAACTAATTGAGGGACAAATGTATTTAAAATTTATACTTATTAGCTCTTCAGGCTTGACCATTGATGCCACTTGTTAAGGTGGACTCTGGAGGCTGGCCTGGGACGTGCCTTTTCCTTAACATGTATTGTTTTCAGATCCTTTATCTGATTGACTTAGGACATAGTCCATGTGGGTGTTCTCTCTATTTGACCTTACGTCAAGATGCCTGCTATTCTGTCAGAGGTGTTTCAGGTTGTAAATCGTGAATGTCCCATCTCTTAGAGTAGAGAGCATAAAGTCCTTGTCTCAGAATTTGTGAGGCTCTAGTTTTCCTGATTTTATAAAGAAATGTTCTTTGAGTTCTGCCACTGGGTTTAGCTTACCTGATTCTTACTTCCTCCTGTTGTATGTCATTTAACAATTTTGAGGGTGAAAGGATGAAGATGGAGTAGTGGTGGGGGAGCTGTGATTAGAGGTGACTAGAGAGCAGTTTTTACTTAGTTCCTGTCTTAACCATGTTTTTATATGCACCCCCCAACCAAATTCCTTTTAACTTGTTTCTCCCTACCCCAGACCAAGTGTTTTACTGTTTTATGATACATTGTATTATCCTTGTAATACAATGGTAATGTGAATAACCACTTATGAATTTTTTACTTTTTTCATATTTTTCTTCATAGCTTTTTTTTTTTGGAGAGAGTCTTGCTCTGTCACCCAGGCTGGAGTGCAGTGGTGCGATCTGGGCACACTGCAACCTCTGCCTCCCGGGTTCAAATGATTCTCCTGCCTCAGCCTCCAAATAGCTGGGATTACAGGCATGCGCCACCATGCCTGGCTAATTTTTGTATTTTAAGTAGAGAGGGGGTTTCGCCGTGTTGACCAGGCTGGTCTCCAACTCCTGACCTCAGGTGATCCCCTCACCTTGGCCTCCCAAAGTGCTGGGATTACAGGCGTGAGCCACTGCTCCTTGCCCTTCATGACTTTCTTTATTGTACTTTGAAATACTGTAATGCCTGGCTATATTAGAGTTGAATTTGTTCTTAAATGCAGTTATTTTAGAATAGATAATACATCTCTCCTTCCTCTGAGTTATTTTTAGTACTGATTTGGACAGATAAAACCATAGATTAACTTTCATTTCAGCCAATGTTTATTTGACTTCTTGGCTTCCTGGTTATTAGTTCTAGAATTATAGACACATGTATATCTGTACTTTTGACCACCAGTTCAACTTGCTTATGTAGACAGAATGGCATTCTTGATTCTATTTATATAATTTCAATAAAATAAATGCTGAAAAGAAAGAAGGTTCATTCCACTTCTCCATACTCCACTCTGTTTGAATATCCCACATCACTTGGCCTGCTGCAGCTGCCCACCAGTGCGGACTGCTCTCATGCGTCTACTGGTGGATGGGTGTGTGCTGCCAGAGAATGCCAGTCCCGAGTCATGGTTGACAATTCAGCAAACTATTTTTGGGTGGCATGTGTGGTATAAGCAGGTCGAGGTGGAGTGGGGTAGCAATTTGAATTGAACAAGGAAAACCAGCAGGCTCCAGGTGTGGTGAGACTCCTTTCCACAGTTCAGTCTCCCAGTCAGAGATTTATTTGGATTTTCAGAGTTGTCTTTGTGGAGGCCAACACCTCTCAGAGCATCAAGCTAATCACACATAATGTTCTTTGAAGGTTGTTTTCATAATTCCAACACCTGTGATCAACTTCAGGGACTAGGACTTAAGATTTTTAGAGACTAGAGAGAAAATGAGAAAGAGGAAGAACAGACGCAGTGTCAGCATTTGAGTCCAGGCCTCGAGTGACTTGCTTTCCTTAGGCTTTGCTTCCTGATTACATTATGAGTACTCTGAGAATGAAGTTTCCTATCACTGCGTTCCCAACCAAACAAAACACCTTTTGTGTGTATGATGAGCTCCAAATAAGAGTTTATACAGAGTGCCATGAGAACATCTGGGCTTTAGGTGTACTTGGGGTCAAGGCAGGCTTTGCATAATAGAAGCATTTTAGCTGGGCCCTAAACAGAGCAGCCATTCTCCCAGCAGAGAAGGGAGCAGAAGAGACCATTCTATGTAGAGGGAACAGCCTGAGCAAGAGGGCTGGAGGCCTGAACATAAATGGTGTTTTCAGGGAACCAAGGCAATGGTTTCTAGCACAGGCAGGGATTTTGGTGAGGATGAGATTGTAAAGACAGGTTGAGGCCAGGTTGAGAAACGTCTCTGTTAAGAATACTAGATTTTTTCCTGTAGGCCGTGGAAGGACACAGTCTGATCTGCTTCTAAGGAACATACTAGGGAAAGGTGTGGTAGGAAAACCAGTTCAGCTGCTGCTGCCATAGCCCAGTAAGACGTTCCCATGCAAAAGTTGCTTGGCAGTGGGATGCCAACGATGGAAATGGTTCCAGAAGCATCTGAGAGAAACACTCAACATCACTTGGTGACTTACAAGCTATTCAGGAGGAGGAAGAGGAGAATGAAAGGGGAGGTGGACCTTTCTGGTGAAGATAGAAGTGATGGAATTAACCACACTCAGAGCTTCAGTGGCAGAAGCAAGTGTCTTTTGGAAGGAGACCCAGAGCTCAGTTTCGGATGTGTTGCATTAGGGGTGTACGTCGCATGTCAGAGGAGAGGGCTGTTAGACATTGGACTTCAAGACTTGAACTGTTGAACCACTTTGCCCTCGCAGGTTCCCCCAGGAGGCCTTTGCCATGGCCTGTGGCCCTGGAGCCACCTAGGGCTCAGCTCAGCTCTGCCCTACAGATTCTCACTAGGCCACGGGTATCTCAGGACAGGTACTGCCCTATTCACCTTTTTACCCTTAGTGATTACTTGGCACTTAGGGGGCTGCTTAAGGAATGAGCCATATGAGGCAATATCTTGGGATATATAGGGAAACATTTTCAGCAGTATGATTATTCACAGGAGTCACTCTAGGCACAGAAATGTGTCTTTGCACATTGTTGTATATACACAACTAGGCCTTTGTCATCCTGTTTAGAACAAAACCTGAAGTTTTTTGTTTTTGTTTTATTAACTGAGGCAGGAGTGTAGGACTTGAAAATAGTTTCATTTGTAAGATAATGGATTTGAATTCATAAAATCTTTTGACTGTAGTCTTATAAATCAGTCTTTTCTGTAAGAGACTTTCTAATTTGAAATACCTTGAGGTGGGTCCTTTAATAATCTGATTAATTACTCTCTAATTTATCTGTATAATTTTTGTGTATGACGGACACAGAATTCAGCTTTTGATAAATCAGATCATCAGTCCTTATTTTCAGATCCCTCTAAATCATTTTGTATCCATAGAACATTTTCATTCATGGTGGGTTTTTGCATTTATTTTTTGATTTTTGCTTTTGTTCACTTCTTTTTTAAACATATTTTAGAGCAAGTGGGAAATCTTCCCAAAGCTGTCAAGTGAATTCTCATGCTAAGTTTCCTTCAATTATAGTAGTTGTTGAGTGAGTGTGCAAAACGTGGAGGAGATGTAGACCCTGCCCTCAAGCATTTATAGTCACATTTTGGAAGCAGCGTGTGTGTATAGAGTTGGCAGTTGGAAACAGGAAAAGTCTGTGTGGGTCAGAGACATGGGGGAAGTTTTCAAAGAGAAAGAGGCTGCACTGGGTTCTTGAAGACTGAACAGGTGGTTTGTGCAGGCAGGATGGGAACAGCATATTGTCCTGCATGGACTCTGCCCCCCTCAAAGCTCTGGTCAGGGCCTAAGGTCACAGTAAATTGTCATAATTTTCTACTAATGCCCTTTCTTTTAGATAATTCTCTGAAACCACTATGTGCACTTGTTCTTTTAAAGCACGGTACCTTTTTCTTTTTTTGTTTTATTTCTAAAATAAAGATGAAACAACCAACTCTGAAACTGATTAAGTTTTAGAAAACCACCAGGACGTATTAAGATCTAGTAGCGGCCGGGCATAGTGGCTCACGCCTGTAATCCCAGCACTTTGAGAGGCCGAGGCGGGCAGATCATGAGGTCAGGAGATTGAGACCATCCTGGCCAACATGGTGAAATGAAACTCCATCTCTACTAAAAATACAAAAATTAGCTGGATGTGGTGGCGTGTGCCTGTAATCCCAGCTACTCGGGAGGCTAAGGCACGAGAATCACTTGAACCCAGCAGGCAGAGGTTGCAGCAAGCCGAGATGGTGCTACTGCACTCCAGCCTGGCGACAGAGTGAGACTCCGTCTCAAAAAAAAAAAAAGAAAAAAAAGATCTAATAGCTTTGAATTGTTGAATCACTTAAAGGCACTAATTTGGTTTTCAGTTGGTCTTAGCAGACGTGGGGTTTTTTTCCTAACAGATTTTTAATGATTTTAAATCAAATGAATCCAAAATGAAAGTAGATTACACCTTCTGAATTTGTAAGCACTTTAAAGTTGTTGGGAAAATAACTTCTAATAGGAAAGCCTTGTTATTTTGGATTTGCATGTTCTTCTAGACCAAATTTTCTCCACCTTTGCACCATTCACAGTTTAGACCTGTTGCCGCTATCCTTGGGGGACTGTCCTATGTATTGTAGGATGTTTAGCAGCATCCCAGGTCTCTGTCCTTCGGGAGTATTTGCAGATATGTGATTGTTTAGACAACTTGACGCAGCCTTTCTTTTTGGCATTGAAAAATGACCAGTTTGATATCATGATTTTTAACTAAGGCTTATCTTAAAATACTATTTTGTCTGCCTCAAAAGGATACCTTCTCTTTTGCACTCATTATTTTTGCTTGACTTAAAAACATGCATTCAAACTTACCTGTATTTGTTGGCTACTATTGTTTTTAAAGCCAATTTTTAAATATAGGCTACAATGCTGAGAACAGTAGAACGAACTGTTGAATATTCTCACTTATAATAAGCAATATCTTAAAGTGGCTCTATGTATTTTATATTAATATGCTCTAATCTTGCCTTGATAATCATTTATAGAATTTAAAAGTGAAGATTATTTACACTGCTTTTTCAATTCTTATATCTTGTGACTTGGTCAGTTATACTGAATTATACTGAATTTAATACTCCTGGGATTGTTTTATCATCCCTGTCCTATGTGATACACTGTACAAAATGTAAAATGTTAGATTTGCTTCCAATATATACTTACATATGTTCATATTATATCTAGAAGTTTGTGAAGTATCAAGCACTTGAAATCTGGTTTCCATATCTGTCATGCCATTGAAATTGGTCTCCATTGACCTACTAATTACACATTCCACTTAATTTTGTTTCTTGTCCCTTAATTTTGATGCTTGTTGTCTTTAGAAATATACCAGAATTAACATATTTTTCTGAATTAACATTTTTTTCTTGGGTTCTACAACACTGCTTCTCCTGACCATCATCTATATTGTCTTTCCTTGACTCAAATTGATCCACCAGTTGCTCAGTCGTTGTAGCCTACCCAGGCCCTGGCCTCAGCCACCATTTAGTTCTCCCTCTGTCTGTCTTCCCTTGCCTCATACTCCTACAAGTACCAGGTGTATCAGTCATGTTGTTCTAGATGATGCTGCTAGAACAAACATTCTGGAATCTCAATGGCTAAAAACAACAAAGCTTTATTTCTTAGTCATGCTACGTGTTGTTCACTGTGGGTCTGTAGGGAGTGGGTATAGAAGTTGTTCCCTTTTGCAGAAACTTATAATTTATGTAAATTTAAAATTTAAAATAAGATGCCATATATGGAGGCAGTTGCCCACAATTGCCCAAGCCACAAACTCCAGCCTTAGGCACAAACTACAGCTGCTCTTCCCACACTACCTTCTCTCTTCTGACAAAAGTAATGATGATGTCCAGGATTGGGGTGCCACCTAGTGGCTGTCAGAGGGTACTTCCCCACCCTTTTTACAGTGGCAGAAAATCTTTCTCATACATATAAATATTACCTTAACCTCATTAATCTTCATCTCTTTCCGAATTATTGTATAGTTACTATAGACAAACCTCTTCTTGCTCTTTTATGCATATATAATTAGAAACCAACCCTAGGCACTAAAAAGAATAGTTTTAGTGATATACCTTCTTATCAAACAAAGAGCCAACACAAGTTATGAAATTAAACTAGACACACCCCTTCTTCGAGGTTACGCCAAGCCAGTGCCTGGGCCTGAAACTGGCCTGCAGCCCCTCAGCTTCGCCCACTGCCTTCCGACCCTGGACCTTCGCAAAGTGAACGAGCTTCGGGACTTCGTGAAAATGTATAAGCAGGATCCGAGCATTCTGCATACCAAGGAAATGTGCTTTCTGAGGGAGCAGGTGGAGAGCATGGGGGGTGAAGTACCATGTGCTACTCAGAAAGCTATTATAAATCAGAAGAAAATATCAAGGAATTAAAAACAGGTAGTAAGAAGGTGGAGGAAAACATAAGCACAGACGAACTATCAAGTGAGGAAAGTGATCTAGAAATTGATAACGAAGCTGTGATTGAACCAGACACTGATTCCCCTCAAGAAATGGGAGATGGAGGTCAGGCCTGGTGGCTTACGCCTGTAATCCCAGCACTTTGGGAGGCCGAGGCGGGCAGATTGTATGTCAGGAGACCAGCCTGGCCAATGTGATGAAATCCTGCCTCTACTAAAAATACAAAAAATATTAGCTGGGCATGGTGGTGCTTGCCTGTAATCCCAGCTACTCGGGAGTCTGAGGCAGGAGAATCACTTGAACCCGGGAGATGGAGGTTGCAGTGAGCCGAGATCACATCACTGCACTCCAGCCTGCACGACAGAGTCAGACTCCGTCTCAAAAAATAGAAATAAAAATAAGTAAATAAATTGTTCTAGAATAGTGACTTTTTCTCTCCAGGGAGCCCTCAGAAATGCTTTGGGGGTGCTGTGAGAGGGAGGAAAGGGACAGGAAAGGCCAGAGGGTAGACAGGGACCCAGGCAGACTACTAATCCCCCTGTGTGGCCTGCCTCCCAGCACCCGGCACATATGCTGAGGCAAGTTGGTGACTCAGTGAGAACCAACTTAGTGAGTACTAAATATGTGCCAGGCACTCACTAAGTAAAAGAGGTGAAAGTGGTGAGTCAGGAAGACAGTTACATGCATCTGCAGGTGCTCACACATGCACCTGCACCTAATCTGTGAGAAGAGTTAATGGCCTACATCATAAGGGGAAAAGATATAAATGAAATTTCTAACTCTCACCTCTGGTGTTCTGGACTACATACGCTCAGGAAACTGCTTAGAAAATGAGCTAAGAATAGTCATGCAGCAAATAGAAGAGCTCAGAATAAGCTCATAATAAAATTTGTGTTTGCTTTGTTTTATAGATTGAGAAAGAAGACCGTAAGCTCTTTTAGAAGCACTAGTTCAGCAGAAGGATTTTACTGTCCTACATTTGTGGTTTTCAGGCCTCTCCCCTTTTCCTGAGTGATGAAAGCCTCTTCATAGGAAGTTGTGTGATACAGAGTCAGAACAGAAAACAGATAAAGAGTGGTGTGGACTTTCGTAGGGGTGGCAAAGCCTGTTTGTGGAACTTGATGTTTGTGATGTTCACGCTTAGATTTATGATTGCCCCAAAAGCTTTGCCCCAAAAGGTAGTTTTCCCATGGAAGCACTTCAGGCAGTCCTGCCGAAGGTGCTCCTCCCAGGCACGTGGCACAAAAGCTGTTCAGACACCCCACTAGCAGATGTACTTGTCACCAATTCCAGCAAGGTTAATTACATTGCAGATTTTTTGCCCAATATAAGCAGATTGGTAATATTCTAGAAGAAAAGTCACAGAACTGTTGGCCAGCAGGTGTACTTGCAAAGAAGTCAAAAATCATTTGAGCCAACATTGAAAAATTGGGGAGATTTCATACAACAGTTGGGGATTCTTGCCTCTCAGGAGATCTGGCAGCACTTGGTGCCATTGAGTGGTTGCAGCTCTCAGATGGCTCTGAGGTGTCCAGTTTGCCACTGCCTTTACCATTCCTTCTTGTTTTTAGACGCCTATTTTTTTAACATTCATTTGGGAAATGCATCTGGTCTGTGTAGGTCTTTTTGTTGTGTTTTGATATTGTCTTACCATTTCAAGATTAAAGATCAGGCCAGTTGCAGTGGCTCACGCCTGTAATCCCAGCACTTTGGGAGGCCAAGGCAGGTGGATCACCTGAGGTCAGGAGTTGGAGACCAGCGTGGCCAACATGGTGAAACCCTGTCTCTACTAAAAGTACAAAAGTTTGCCGGGCGTGATGATGCAGTCCTGTAGTCCCAGCTACTCAGGAGGCTGAGGCAGGAGAATCGCTTGAACCCGGGAGGCGGAGGTTGAGGTGAGCAGAGATCGTGCCACTGCGCTCCAGCCTGGCGACAGAGCGAGACTGTGTCTCAAAAAAAAAAAAAAAAGGAAAGATTAAAGAGCAGAGTGGGAATTTAAAGGTGCTTCATCCTTGAGATTCAGTCTTTTCATGTGTAATCCTCTTGTTATTTGATAGTTGCAGTTGTATTCAGAGGCCAGTGTAGCGCTTCTAAAACTGAATAACCCCAAGGATTTTCAAGAATTGAATAAGCAAACTAAGAAGAACATGACCATTGATGGAAAAGAACTGACCATAAGTCCTGCATATTTATTATGGGATCTGAGCGCCATCAGCCAGGTAAGGGATGCACAGAAGCTTTTACAGCCCAAATCAAAGGTTAAGATGTTAAAAATGTGTAAGTTACTATATTAGAAGAGGGAAGGGGACTTACAGAGAGGTGAGTTGATTGGAATTTTTCTAATTTTTCAGTCACTGCCATTGGTTTGGTATTAACTGAAGTCACCTAGAATCAGATCCAAGAACCTTCTTCATAAAGTGTGTTATAGAAATGCTGTCTCTTTGAATTTTGGGTTTAAAAATATATATACTGAATCTTTTGCATTTTTTGTAATGTTTAAAATTAGGACTCCATCTTTAAAAGTCTGCCAGAGCACCTTGAGAGCAGACGGGCAGAAGGAAAGGACAAAGAGGAGGAGGTATGACTTAAGGGGTATTTCACATCTTCATATGCCAAGTGTTTTTCTCAGTCTAAGCAGGATGAAGACATCTCTGCCAGTCGTTTTGAAGATAACGAAGAACTGAGGTACTCATTGCGATCTATCGAGAGGCATGCACCATGGGTTCGGAATATTTTCATTGTCACCAACGGGCAGATTCCATCCTGGCTGAACCTTGACAATCCTCGAGTGACAATAGTAACACACCAGGTACAGGACTTTCTAAAAATTACAAGACTGTGATTTCTAATTCTGCTCTTTTAGTGTGGTACAGGGATTTCCATAATTTCATTCCCTTTACCCTTCTACCTCCATTTCTTCCTTTCTCTAGCTCTTCATTGCCTTCCCTTCCTTCCTTTCAAAAACTAAACCAAACCCAAACAGCTCTCATTCACTCTCTTTTTTTGTTTGTTGTTGTTAAAAGGATGTTTTTCGAAATTTGAGCCACTTGCCTACCTTTAGTTCACCTGCTATTGAAAGTCACATTCATCGCATCGAAGGGCTGTCCCAGAAGTTTATTTACCTAAATGATGATGTCATGTTTGGGAAGGATGTCTGGCCAGATGATTTTTACAGTCACTCCAAAGGCCAGAAGGTGAGTGCCTAAGAGGAGGGGGGTTGTCTAGCGTGGAAGTCACTTAGCAAATCAGAAAATGAGTGCACATACTACTGTAGTCAAATATCAGGCCAGACATGGTGGCTCACACCTGTAATCCCAGTACTTTGGGAGGCGGAGGTGGGTGGATCACTTGACCACCTAGGGGTTTGAGACCAGCTTGGGAAGCATAGTGAGACCCCTGTCTTTACAAAAAGTAAAATAATTATCTGGGCCCGGTGGAATACTCATGTAGTCCCAGCTGCTTGGGTGTTGGGGGGCCGTGGGGGGAGTAGGGGGTCACTGGCCAAGATGGGAAGATTGCTTTAGCCTGAATGTTGAGGCTGCAGTGAGCTGTGATTGTGCCACTGCACCCCAGCTTGGGTGACAGAGTGAGAACCGGATCTTGAAAAATAAAAAAATATATATAGATATATGAGATCAAATAATCATTTTTGAGTGCTAAGCTCAGAAATCAGCAATTAAGAAGTAAGAACACTACAGTTAGAAATTTGCTTTCCTGCATTCTTAGACACCCAGGACCCACACTTTTTCCCAACCATCTCAATTTTCTACTACGATAGCAGAAAAAGCAAAATCACTGTGAAACAGACAATCATGGTTAGAATATCAGCAAAATGGCCAAAATAGAAAGTTAACTCAAGTTAGTGCTTAAAGCTATAGATGTAATTTCATTTAAGGTAGCCTGTTGCACTCTAACTTTGTGAGAGGTGGGATGGAGAAGTGGTTAAGAGTACAGACTTAGGGGCCAACTCTTCAGGATGACCTTGGGCAGTGGCTCTACCTCTGTGTTTTCTGGCATAGTGAGGAAAGTACAAATACCCTTGTAGCGTTGTTAGAAGGGTTCAGTGATAAGTTAGAGACTTATCACCGTAAACTTAGAAGTTATAAAACTCTGCAACTGTAAGTGCTAATAACACAAAACTACTTTGTCTGTAATTGTTTATGCTACCCAACCAGGCCCATTCTCCTGTTCCCCTATTGAGTTGTCTCCTCTGTATCAGACTGTAGGGCTCAAAGTTGAGCTTGTGGCTTAACAAGGGGACAAACAAGATCAATGACTGTGTGGTGCTTTTCCTGCTGACAGGTGTGCCTTGGTGCTGAGGAGTGTGAGCAAAGGAGGCTTAAATCAGATAGGATAGGGAAGAAAGCCCATCTGAATTGACATGTACTGAGAAGAACAAGTAAGAATTAGTTTAGGTTAAAAAAGACATTCCAATTAGAATATGCAAAGGCACAGAGATTTTTAAAGAGGAGTGTATTTTTTTTCAATGATTTTAAATTTGAAAAACCATGTACCCCATCACTAATTCTGAGAGCAGGTGAATGCACAGCTCAGAATGCTATGCCAGTTAATTTATCACAGGGCCTTAAGCTTGAAGAGAGAGGATATTGTCTCTCAGCCTTGAGACAAGATTATGCACAAATACACTAATGAGCTACTGATAGTTACAGAAAAGCAGTGACTGTGCATACTTCCCACCAGCTTTGACATGCTTTGGTACTTGCAGTCAAGTCTGGCATGGTGCTACTTTATTTCATAGTAGATTATCAAAGCATGTTATGAGAGACTAATCCATGAGTTGAATCCTTGTCTGCTTTCCTTGAGTAATGGAAAAAAAGTAAATACGCTCAGTAAGAACGGTCAACGCAGCAGGATCTAAACAATGACTGTAGGTACAGGCAAACTTAAAGCACTTGTGAGTGTGAACGCTGAGCCCTTTGAAAATTTTAATCTTTCTAGAGACTTAATTTCTTTTTATAAAGGGAATCTTAACTCAAGAATAAAATGTATCAGAAGCCAGAAGTCATTTTATTTTCTCTTTGGTTTTATCGTAGGTTTATTTGACATGGCCTGTGCCAAACTGTGCCGAGGGCTGCCCAGGTTCCTGGATTAAGGATGGCTATTGTGACAAGGCTTGTAATAATTCAGCCTGCGATTGGGATGGTGGGGATTGCTCTGGTAAGGATGTGTTAAACTGTAATTCGTTCATTTTTATGGAATATTTTCTTCTTAATCATTATTGAACATGTGCTATAGACTTAACCAAACATTCTTTATGTATTAATAAAGAATCAGTAATGCTGGGCATGGTGGCTCATGCTTATAATCCAGTGCTTTGCAAAGCTGAGCTGGGAGGAGTGCTTGAGGCCAGGAGTTCAAGACCAGCTTGGGCAACATAGTAAGACCCCATCTCTATCAAAAAAAATTAGCCAAGTGTGGTGGTGCAAACCTGTAGTCCTAGCTACTTGGGAGGCTAAGGCAAGAGGATCATTTGAGCCTAGGAGTTAGAGGCTGCTGTGAGCTGTGATTGCACCATTGTACTCTAACCTGGGCGGCAGAGTGACAGCCTCTCTCAAAACAAACAAATCAGTAATCAATGGACTCTTTGGAGGTGGTAATTAGTGCCCTCATGTGGCCCAGTTTATTCATTGTTGAGGGCATTGAACAAGAGAAAATACACTTGAAAATGTCTTCTTATTTAAAATATGAAAATCTGGAATACACTTATATAAATCCAAGAGCAAGAATCACTCTAACTGGTTCTTATAGGAGCTCACTGCTGGTAGCTTTCAGCAGCAGATTGTGATAGGTCACAGAATTACTAAAGAGTTGCAAAAGAAATAAGTATTTTCTCTCCTCAGCAGCTCTTCCCTCTCCCTCACATAGTTATATTTTGACTTGTTGATAATAGCAATTTGTTACATTTACTTACTACCTTTCAATTTATAAAGCATTAAATTTATAGAGCATTATTCATTATATTCACTTGAATTGTGTTTGTTACCTGAGAGAGAGAGAGAGTAAGTATGTACACAAATGTTATCATCCCCATTTCCATATGAAGAAATGGATTTGGAAATGTTTGAATATTGGAGAAAACAAAGCTTCAAGTTGTATTTCAGTCAGATATGTCAGATGCGCTTTAGCTGAGGAGAGAGAATACAGATGTGCAAAGTAGATCTGTGTAGACCAGAGAAGTCAGTCTCTACTGGAACATTAGCATTTGATAACAAGGGGTATCAAACATGTTACCCACGTTTGGACATGTTTTTGGCAGTTCTGATAGTCACAGTCTTTGGAATAATCTCTTCTTGTTTTCGTGCTCCTCCATTTCTGTCAGCACGTGCCCCTTGAGCAAATGTAAGCCCTGTACTTGTAGGTTGCACAGCTACAAAATGCCAGGGCCTGTTCATCACGCTTCTGTCAAGTGACTCCCTTTTACGTTTATTTTCTTCTTAAGGTATATGAGATCTTCTACTAAAGAATGAGGTGAACCTTTTCTGACTAAAACTTACACATCAACCTTGAAAACATCAATATGAAATAAGGAACTGTCTTTTTCGTTTTTTGTTTTTTGAGACGGAGTTTCACTCTTGTTGCCCAGGCTGGAGTGCAGTGGTGTAATCTTGGCTCAGTGCAACCTCCGCCTCCCGGGTTCAAGCAATTCTCCTGCCTCAGCCTCCCAAGTAGTTGGGATTACAGGCGCCCACCACCACGCCCAGCTAATTTTTGTGTTTTTAGCAGAGATGGGGTTTTACCATGTTGGCCAGGCTGGTCTCAAACTCCTGACCTCAGGTGATCCAGCCTCCTCTGCCTCCCAAAGTGTTGAGATTACAGGCGTCAGCCACCACACCCAGTCCAGAACTGTCTTTCAAAATTGTAATTACAGCAAGAATCCCTCTTCTTCCTCCGATCTACAGGAAACAGTGGAGGGAGTCGCTATATTGCAGGAGGTGGAGGTACTGGGAGTATTGGAGTTGGACAGCCCTGGCAGTTTGGTGGAGGAATAAACAGTGTCTCTTACTGTAATCAGGGATGTGCGAATTCCTGGCTCGCTGATAAGTTCTGTGACCAAGCATGCAATGTCTTGTCCTGTGGGTTTGATGCTGGCGACTGTGGGCAAGGTATGTTTACTGCCAAACAAATAAGAATGGGAGCATAAAACATCCTTGACAGGTAGAGAGAGTTTTGAATGGCTTTTGTTATTTAAAATAATGATTCTCTGTGTATCCCTTTACCAGCCTTGCATTCAAACTAGTTATGAAAGTAAGAGAACAACATAAATCACTGAAGAGGATCTTTTCCTGTTATTGTTGCAGTCTGGTGTTTTGTTTTGTTTTGTTTTGTTTGGACCAAGCAGATTTACCTTAGCTGAAAATATGTGGTGAAGTTTTAATTTGGAAACAAAAAAGGATATCAATAATTCATTAAATAAAGATGGTTCAAACACTGGATTTTGTTGATAGCGTATTAATGGAGTTTGTTTTGGCAGAAAGTTTTTTTCAAATGGATAAAAAGATGGAAATTGATTATTGTAATTTATTGTTAAGAACCATGCCATATCTCTATAGTGAGTCAGGATCACTATTTCATGGTAATTATTGTGACTGCCTCAGATAGTGAAATAAGCCCTATACCAGTAACTGTTGTATTAGGATATCTGATTATTTTGAAATTAAAGTCACTCTTAGAAAGTGAAAACTCAGTGCCTACTTCAGCAGCACATATACTAAAATTAGAACAGTTTAGGCATTAGCATGGCCCCTGCACAAGGACGACATGCAAATTCATGATGCATTCCCTATTATTTTTTTTAAAAGAAAGTGAAAACTCAGACTCAAAGAATTAAAGGAAAACAGAGGAAAAATGCCCAGTTAAAAAAAAAATCATGTTTCTGTTTTTTCCTCTAGATCATTTTCATGAATTGTATAAAGTGATCCTTCTCCCAAACCAGACTCACTATATTATTCCAAAAGGTGAATGCCTGCCTTATTTCAGCTTTGCAGAAGTAGCCAAAAGAGGAGTTGAAGGTGCCTATAGTGACAATCCAATAATTCGACATGCTTCTATTGCCAACAAGTGGAAAACCATCCACCTCATAATGCACAGTGGAATGAATGCCACCACAATACATTTTAATCTCACGTTTCAAAATACAAACGATGAAGAGTTCAAAATGCAGATAACAGTGGAGGTGGACACAAGGGAGGGACCAAAACTGAATTCTACAGCCCAGAAGGGTTACGAAAATTTAGTTAGTCCCATAACACTTCTTCCAGAGGCGGAAATCCTTTTTGAGGATATTCCCAAAGAAAAACGCTTCCCGAAGTTTAAGAGACATGATGTTAACTCAACAAGGAGAGCCCAGGAAGAGGTGAAAATTCCCCTGGTAAATATTTCACTCCTTCCAAAAGACGCCCAGTTGAGTCTCAATACCTTGGATTTGCAACTGGAACATGGAGACATCACTTTGAAAGGATACAATTTGTCCAAGTCAGCCTTGCTGAGATCATTTCTGATGAACTCACAGCATGCTAAAATAAAAAATCAAGCTATAATAACAGATGAAACAAATGACAGTTTGGTGGCTCCACAGGAAAAACAGGTTCATAAAAGCATCTTGCCAAACAGCTTAGGAGTGTCTGAAAGATTGCAGAGGTTGACTTTTCCTGCAGTGAGTGTAAAAGTGAATGGTCATGACCAGGGTCAGAATCCACCCCTGGACTTGGAGACCACAGCAAGATTTAGAGTGGAAACTCACACCCAAAAAACCATAGGCGGAAATGTGACAAAAGAAAAGCCCCCATCTCTGATTGTTCCACTGGAAAGCCAGATGACAAAAGAAAAGAAAATCACAGGGAAAGAAAAAGAGAACAGTAGAATGGAGGAAAATGCTGAAAATCACATAGGCGTTACTGAAGTGTTACTTGGAAGAAAGCTGCAGCATTACACAGATAGTTACTTGGGCTTTTTGCCATGGGAGAAAAAAAAGTATTTCCAAGATCTTCTCGACGTAAGTAACATCCAGCCTCATTCTTTCTCATGCTCAGGAAGAGTAAATAATCTCATGATAATATCATTATAGCTACCATTTATTCAGCACTTCCCTGTGCCGGCCATGGAACTAAATGCTTTTCTTACATGGTTTCATTTAATTTACCCAATAACCCTAATAATAAAAAATGTCATATGAAGGTATTTATTATTGCTGTCCCCATTTTGTAGTTTAGGAAACAGCCCAAGTGTGAATGAGTAAGGGATTTAGCCAGGGGCGTACTTGGAGGAAGGAGAGTGGGAAGTGGCATGTTGTCTTGTCTTGACATTTCAGATATGGTATTTTTCCAGCTTTACTGATGAAAAACCCTGAAGTTCAATTAAGTTCATTCGCTTCCCCAACATTATAACAGCAAATCAGTGTGAGCCAAGCCTCAAAGTTGGACTGCTCGTTGCCCTGTACCATGGCTTCACTGTGCTGTGGTGTCATCTGTACCTCTCCTCAGTGCTCTCACGGTGCTAACCACTGGGGAATGCAAGATGACGGGAACATAGCCACTGCTCATGTGGAAACTCAGGGACCAGTAGAGAAGACAAATTTGTGGGGAGAAAACTGTAGCAAAGAGATGTGTCTGTGTTGAGATATGGGCAAGAAGTTCAGAGGGAGGACTCCTTAGCTCTGCCTAGAAGTACTAGGGAAGGCATACAGAAGGAAGTGCCCTGTGGACTGACCTTCGAAGGGGTGGGAGTTGACAGACCAAAAAAAAAAATCATACAGTCTGGGCTGAATAGTGAAGGCACACAGCCACGAGTGGGTGTTAGGCTGGGAGAAAAGAGAGTGAAGGAGGAACTATGTCCTCAGCATTTTAGGAAGTATCTTGTGCCTTGCACATGAGGCATTTACAGATTGTCTAGTGAAGGACTGCAGTGTTCTTGACTATGTTTATTTCCTCAGTTTCCCCCATTTTCTTTCCTTTCCTTTCTTTTTTTTTTTTTTTTGAGATGGAGTTTCGCTCTTTTTCCCAAGCTGGAGTGCAATGGCGTGATCTCGGCTCACTGCAGTCTTTGCCTCCCAGGTTCAAGAGATTCTCCTGTCTCAGCCTCCTGAGTGGCTGGGATTACAGGCATGTGCCAGCATGCCTGGCCAATTTTTTGTATTTTTAGTGGAGACGGGGTTTCACCATGTTAGCCAGGCTGGTCTCGAACTCCTGACTTAAGGTGATCCGCCCGCCTCGGCCTCCCAAAGTGCTGGGATTACAGGCGTGAGCCACTGTGCCTGGCCTCTGGCCTCTTTCCTTTTTTTTTTTTTTTTTTTTTAAATTTACAAAAGCATTATAGGCTAGTAGTAAAAATTGCAAACAATTCAAAAATATACAGTAAATAAAGGAAAGTTCTTCCTTCTTCAGTCTCCTTCCCGGAGATAATTGCTGTTAATAGTTTGATGGGTATTCTTCCAGTATTTTTCTATAGCTATGCAAACATACCTATATGTATGTATAGTTATATATAGAGAAATATATGTATAGTGTAAATTTACATATATTTCCCTGCAGTTGCCTTTTGATGTAGTAGGATGTGGGCAAATGCCATTATTTATTTATTTATTTATACCCATGCCAGTGCCATTATTCTTTTTAATGGCTGCAGGTTAGTTATTTCCAATGTTTTGTGATTACAAATAGTGTTGCAGTGAATTCTCTTGTACATATATCTTACATTTCAGTGAGTTTTAGTTCTGCAGGTAGAATTACTAGCTTAGCAGGTATAAACTTTAAATATGTCTTTCTGAAATGTTGCACCACTTCATATTTCCACAAACAGTATACAACAGTGCTTGTTTCACTGCAGTCTAACCAACACCAGTTAATATCAGTCTCCTTACATTTTTATTTTTATCAGTTTGAGAAGCAAAAATATTTCTGTAAAGTGTTTGAATGCTTTGCCAATTTTCTTTGCCTATTTAGTTCTGCCACTGACTGGTTTTGATTTTATAATATTAAAACTATTATAAGATGAAACCAAATTTGTTTCTAGTCCTTGCGCTTAAAACTCAAGGACTTGCACATTTGATATCACCTGCAGAAATAGCTTGATATTGAAAGTACTATCAAATGTATATGTACATAAATTTTCTAAATGTTGCATTGAATTAGCTTTGACATCTCACAGTCAGTGACCAGTCCTTGAAGAATACCCTCCATATGTGACTGTTGTTATGTAGATCTCCATCGTACAGCTGTTGTTCTCAAACCAACATTGGTGATACTTGCACTGAAATCCAGTTGAGTCCTGCTAAGTCCAGTTTAGATCCTTAAAGTGACCCGTTAACATGTATTTCATTTGCTCCTAATGAAGAGTTCGTGACTAGTTATTACCACATTATATAAAATGTCTTGTAACAAAGTACACTTGTGCACTAAACATAATGCTGAGTTACATGTAGAATTCTCTTTTCAGGAAGAAGAGTCATTGAAGACACAATTGGCATACTTCACTGATAGCAAAAATACTGGGAGGCAACTAAAAGATACATTTGCAGATTCCCTCAGATATGTAAATAAAATTCTAAATAGCAAGTTTGGATTCACATCGCGGAAAGTCCCTGCTCACATGCCTCACATGATTGACCGGATTGTTATGCAAGAACTGCAAGATATGTAAGTCTTGCTCGTGTTTGAGTTGTTTGCTTGTGTTCAGAACTAAGGCTACTTGAAATGTGCATATTTACCATGCTAAATTTATAGCTCTAATATTTGATGACTAATATGTTAAAGGTATTATCTAAGTGAGAAAGAAAAAAGTCCATCTCTGCAAATGTTAGATACGGTACATACTTTGAATATCCAGAGTTTGTAATATGTTATATTTGGACAGGTTCCCTGAAGAATTTGACAAGACGTCATTTCACAAAGTGCGCCATTCTGAGGATATGCAGTTTGCCTTCTCTTATTTTTATTATCTCATGAGTGCAGTGCAGCCACTGAATATATCTCAAGTCTTTGATGAAGTTGATACAGATCAATCTGGTGTCTTGTCTGACAGAGAAATCCGAACACTGGCTACCAGAATTCACGAACTGCCGTTAAGTTTGCAGGTGTTGTATTGTCTTATTCTAAACTTTTTGATGTTTTAAATGAGAATTTAATTCTGGTCAGGCGCAGTGGCTCACACCTGTAATCCCAGCACTTTGGGATGCTGAGGCAGCTGAGCTCAGGAGTTCGAGACCAACCTGGGCAACACGGTGAAACCCCGTCTCTACTAAAAATACAAAAAATTAGCCGGATGTGGTGGCATGCGCCTGTCATTCCAGCTACTTGGGAGGCTGAGACAGGAGAAACGCTTCACCCTGGGAGGTGGAGGTTGCAGTGAGCCAAGATTGCGCCACTGCACTCCAGCCTGGGCAACAGAGTGAGACTCTGTCTCAAAAAAAAAAAAAAAAGAAAAGAAAATTTTAATTCTGACCATGTCTCTTTTTCCCCTACGTATTTTAATTTATTGCAAGTAAAAATAATTCTTAATATTTACTGTGGGTATTCATAGCTAGTCTGTTTTAGTGCTAGAATTATAACCAAATTTGGGGTTTGTATTTTATGAAATTACTTTTTGCAGGTTTTCAGTAGGGATTGATCTTGTATTGTCTGGAAAAGAGCCAGACCATACCTGCATATGAGATTCTTGTGGTATATTCATTCTAGGACTTCAGGTGTGGCTAGCTGGAGATCTCAGCTAGCCCCTCCTTCATGGCATCCTCTAGTCCCAGGAGTAGGAAACTCACTAATGGAGGTGCCCAGATGAATCTAGCTGCAGGGCATGATTTCTCCTGAGCCCTGGACCACCTTGTGTAAATGGGTATCTCAGAGGCCAGAATGTTCTTTGAGATGAAGATGAAATATTTTTGTTGGCATTGTCTCATTCTGCTCTTCTTAGAGTGCCTTTATCTTAAGAATCATATAGTCAGACTCTCTTTGAAGATAGCATTTAAACCATTTTTGGAAGCTTTCACTTAATTTTTATTTTTAAAACCACAGTCATTACTTACAATGCGCATAACAGATTTATCATCTTTTTCTTTGTTAGGATTTGACAGGTCTGGAACACATGCTAATAAATTGCTCAAAAATGCTTCCTGCTGATATCACGCAGCTAAATAATATTCCACCAACTCAGGAATCCTACTATGATCCCAACCTGGTAAGTGGAATGGGTTACTTTTATGTACAACAGAAAGTACATCCTTATCAAGTGTTACTTACAGCATTTCTGTATAGCACTTCAGAACTAGCAGCAGGCTCTATGGTTTTATATGTCTTTGTTGCAAAACAGTAGCACAGGTAATCCGAATCATTCATAGCTTGCTTTGGAATCTTACTGTTCACCCCATAGATGCGTAATTTGGATTTGTTGCTTATATTCCATAAGCGGATGTCCTGTTTACTAAGGGTGACAGAAAATAGCCCCAGAGTATTCTCATTGGCCAGAGAGAACAATCCTGAGGTTTAACCATCAAGGAAATATTCATCACATGGAATATCATCGTTCATCAAAGCTGAATTGCTTTAATGCTGGCACTTACTCCATTTTACCAGTAGGGGCAGTGGGTGATTAACACACGACTGCATTGGAATGTCATTTGGCTGAAATAATTGAAAGAGTATAGATTATAAGAGACATTTTAGTTTCAGAGAGGTTATAATGTGAAGAAAATCATAGAATTGATGAAATGAATATAATACAGCCATTAATCTGCTATTTTCTGTTAATTTTTTACTGATAAATGGAAAAATTCTTTTTTTTTTTTTTTAAGCTTTATTTTCAGGGCTCTTTTTCACAAAGTAATCTTTTTTTTTTTTTTTTTTTTGAGACGGAGTCTCGCTCTTTCACCCAGGCCGGAGTGCAGTGGCGCTATCTTGGCTCACTGCAAGCTCCGCCTTCCGGGTTCACGCCATTCTCCTGCCTCAGCCTCCTGAGTAGCTGGGACTACAGGCGCCCGCCACCACGCCCGGCTAATTTTTTGTATTTTTAGTAGAGACGGGGTTTCACCGTGTTAGCCAGGATGGTCTCAATCTCCTGACCTTGTGATACGCCTGCCTTAGCATCCCAAAGTGCCGGGATTACAGGCGTGAGCCACTGCACCCAGCGAAAAATTCTTATATAATAAAATTAGGTGGAGAAAATAATGGGTACTACCATATAGACAGTATGAGTTGAACTATAAAAATCCTCCAAGTACATATACAACACACATACCCCAAAAGACAACAGAAATGACAGTAGGTTAAATCACAGGTAGTTTTTAATATCCTTTTTGTACACTAGAGTTTTTCATATTTTCTACAATGAGTAGATTTTGCTTTCATAATCAGAATGAAGTGGTATTTTTAAAAAATTACGATCTTGCAAATCTTCAAGCCATGTATAAATAATGACTGCAGATAGGACACCTCCTCCCTCATGAGGAGACACAGTGTGACAAGTGGCAGCCATTGGTGAAAGAGGTCAGCATAGCAGCCATCAGAGCACATAGTATGAGTGTTGCCTATCACGTGTAGATTAGTTTAGCATATGGCATGGGTTAGTATATGGATATGTGCCACTTAAAAGCCAATTCTCTAAATGTGCTAAGACTTAACATTACCAAATTAATAAAGTTGAGATAAATAGAGGAGTAAGACCTGGTATCAGCCTTAAAGGAACTTGCTCTAGTGGGATTAGCAGATAGGAATCAGCAGGTCAAGAATGAGACTAGGGCTGGGCACGGTGGCACGTGCCTATAGTCTCAACACTTTGGGAGGCCAAGGTGGGCGGATCACCTGAGGTCAGGAATTCAAGACCAGCCTGGCCAACATGGTGAAACCCCTTCTATACTAAAAAATACAAAAATTGGCCGGGTGCGATGGCTCATGCCTTTAATCCCAGCACTTTGGGAGGCCAAGGCGGGCGGATCACTTGAGGTCAGGAGTTCGAGACCAGCCTAGCTAACATGGTGAAACCCTGTATCTACTAAAAATACAAAAATGAGTTGGGTGTGGTGGCGGGTTCCTGTAATCCCAGCTACTCGGGAAACTGAGACAGGAGAATCACTTGAACCCGAGAGGTGGAAGTTGCAGTAAGCTGAGATCGCGCCACTGCACTCCAGCCTGGGCGATAGAGTGAGACTCCGTCTCAAAAAAAAAAAAAAAAAAATGAGACTATGAGACTATTTGTGGGTCGGGAATTCACCAGACGCCTCACACAGAGCTGGTACGCAGTCAGGCTGATAACAGAAGAGCAGCTCGTCTGTGTACTTCAGCAGTTTATTTGGGGTTTTTGCCATGATCCAATAGGATAAAGTACTTCAGGTTTGGTTTGTGAAAAATGCATTATAAACTCTATTATATAAATGGTAGTAATTGTTTGCCAGTATGTTCTTAAAGATGAAAAAGATGTATATGTAGTCACAGTTGGTGTTTTTCTTACCTCCAGAGAGCATAGAATCAAAGTTAAAAATCAGAACTAAGATTAGGACTAAATTGCCCTAGTTTCAGCTCTGATGTGATATCTGATCTACTTATATTTTCTCATAGCCACCGGTCACTAAAAGTCTAGTAACAAACTGTAAACCAGTAACTGACAAAATCCACAAAGCATATAAGGACAAAAACAAATATAGGTAAGTAGTACACGCATACTCCCTTTGTTTAGTATAAGAGTAATCACAAAGGTCTGGCTTTTTTATAATTCTACAATATTTTGTCTATTAAGCACTGTTCTAAAATTTATATGAGATTGTTTGCTGTAGTAGTATTAAAAGTTTAAGTTATTTTGTGGATGTTGAGTCCACTACGGTTTTAAAAAATGTATTTTCTATTGAAGTTTTATTTTTTATATCCATGTAATTATTTAAACTCTTCAAATATGTTTTGATAATTAGGTTTGAAATCATGGGAGAAGAAGAAATCGCTTTTAAAATGATTCGTACCAACGTTTCTCATGTGGTTGGCCAGTTGGATGACATAAGAAAAAACCCTAGGTACTGATTTTTATATATAATTTTTAATTATGCAAATAAACCTGAATAAAAGGACTGGAAAGAAGGGAGTAGCTTATTTCTGTATGGAACAGACCAAAAGGCCTAACAGTGCAGGCAGTGTTGGAGCTGGTGGTTGAGTGAGAGATAGGAGTTGCAAGTTGAGATAGGGTCCCCCATGCAGAGGGATGAGCCTGAACTTCGAAGAACTGGGTTCTATTAATAACAAGCTGTTCAGAGAGACCCAGGGACAGATCGCATTGTGGGGAGGTGAGGCCAGGCAGCTGGGACATTCTAGAAATGCCTTTTTAGAATTATGGCATTTCTAAAAAGGTACTTCCAGAACAGTTGTTTAGATGGAATTCAAAGTAAAGTTCAGATTAGCTTTTGAGGAAAAAGGAATGCTACCGTAAATGTGAACCTTAATCCAGTATACTCCAGCCATCCTTTGGGGATGAATAAATTTTCAGGTTTACCTAAGTCTTAACAATTTCTTTACTAGCCCCTTAACTGTTACTTTAGCAGGTTTGATAAAATGTGCTAAAAATATGCATTTTTGAGTTTTTAACTTTAGTGGGAAGTAGATGTTTCATCAACTTCTTTGGAAAATAAAGACACTGGCATATAAACTATATTTTTTTGAGACAGGATCTCACTCTGTTGTCCAAGCTGGAATGCAGTAATGCAAACATGGCTCACTGTAGCCTCGACCTCGTGGGCTCAAGCAATCCTCCCACCTCAGCCTCCTGACTAGTGGAACCACAGACATGAGCTGCTGCACCCAGCTAAAATGGAGTATTTTTAATTTCTGGGTCTTTTAAATGCATTTGGAGGTCTTTAGTTTTACCTCACTGAAATTAGGATTTTAATTATAAATAATCAAAGATGTGAACCTTACAGACATTTTAAAGCCATTATATTTTTTCTATAAACCCTGTTCTCGTTTGGAGGAGAAAGAAATTGGAATTTTCAAAAAAAATAAAAATACCTTTAACACCTATTTAGTGTCTTTAGTAATCCAGTAAAATACTTGATTTTTTACAAAATGTTTCCCACAAGCCAAGCAAACCATAAGCTACAATAATAATTACCTAGCGTACAGCCCTCTTTGCATATGCTGTTCCCTCCACTTGAAGTGTACTGTTTAATTTCTTAAAATAACTTTAGCTTTTAAGAACCAATTTTGATGGGAGTACAGACTTCCCCCATTTTCTTGATGAGTTCTCTCCGTCATGTGTAGTAATAATGTGAGAATTTGCAGTTTTTAGTTGTAGCCTATACTTTTAGGTCTTTGTGCCAATTTGAAAGTTATTGGGTTAGAGTATTCATAGACATTTTCATGGTACTTAAAGGGACAGGGGTTTAGTAAAAAGACACATGGCAAGCCAGGCTTTTTCCACAGTTTGCCAGGCCCAGCTGCCTCTTGTGTACCTGAACAGATTTTATCATTAACCCTTGTTTATGTTGTTTTGTTTTATTTCGACGAAGGCTTATTTTAAGTCAGGCATGGAAAACTAGACTTCAGACTGACTTCAGCTTTAAGGACATGTTTATCCCGTTAACAGGGAGTCTGGGATAGACAATCTCCAGGCTTTGTTTTTCTCTGAATTTCTTAGCTCTGCTTGTGATGGCTTCATCATCAGGCCACAGACCATTAACACATTCTAGAACTTTAACATTGGTTAAATAATACCATCTAATAGCCTGTCTTCAGCATTTCCCCAGTTGCCTCCAAATGCCCTTCATAGCTGTTCTCTGCCTCTGTTTGTTTTTAATCCAAGATACACTCAAGGCTCATATATTAGGTTGACATAGCTCTTTAGTATCCTTTAATTTAAAGCAGTCTCCAGGTTTAGAGAAAGATGAATGAGCTTTCACATACCCCTCACTTGTCTTCTTCAGAAGTGTAGGCTACAACTAAAACTTCCTTCTTCAGAAGGAAGACAAGTGATTTATATTTATTTACTTCCATTTCTATTTGACCTTGTTTCATCTAAACACACCCACTCCACCACTGCTACCTGATTAATATTAAGTGAATCTCAAACATTGTATCATTTTAGCTCCACGTTTTTTGTATGTATCTCCAAAATATAAAGATTCTTAAAAATATAACCACAATACCATTATCACCCTAAAAAAATCAATAATGATTCCTTAATATGACCAACTACTTTGTCAATGTACACCTTTCACTCCTCTTAACTTTCATAAAGACTTATGTGTTTTTTTGGTTTTTAAGTTTGTTGGTTTGAAGTTAAATCTATGGGTTTTCCCTCCATCTCTCTTTTTTTAACCGTATAATTTTTTGCATGTGTATATGAATAAATCTGATTATAGATTCTATAGCTATCTTACACTTTGTCCCTCTCTGATTGAATCCTAGTTAACAAGTTTCTATGTCTCTTGTATTTCCCATAAATTGGTAGTTGGATCTGAAGGCTTTATCAGGTTTGTTTGATTTTTTTTTTTTTTAATTTTGGCGAATCTACTTCAAAAGTATTGGCCTACCTACAAGCCACTTTAATGGGCCCTTAGTTTAGTGACCTTTGCCTTGAAAGGAACTTGAAACAAGCAAGGAAGCACCACTGTAATCTGCTTTTTTGCCAGAACTGTAGCATCTTACAGCTTGGTTAGAGACATAGTAAGCAGAAATTATCAAATTCATATAATCTGTAGCTATAAGGCACTGTCTCTCTCTCTCAATTATTTACATGATTTTTCTTTGTAATATAACTATCATTTCAGAGAACTTGGTTTTGATTTTTTTTTTTTAATCTTTTTGAGACAGAGTCTCGCTTTATCACCCAGGCTGGAGTGCAGTGGTGCAATCTAAAGATTGCTGACTGCAACCTCTGCCTCCCGAGTTCAGCAATTCTAGTGCCTCAGCCTCTCGAGTAGCTGGGATTACAGGCATGCCACCACACCCGGCTAATTTTTTTGTATTTTTAGTAAAGACAGGGTTTCACCATGTTGGCTAGGCTGGTCTCAAATTTTTGACCTCAAGTAATCAGCCTACCTTGATCTCCCAAAGTGCTGGGATTACAGGCATGAGCCACCATGCATGGCCTTCAGAGAACTTGGTTTTAGGTACTTACGGATTGTCTTTCTTTTTTTTCCTCACTGCAGCCTCTCCCTCCCAGGTTCAAGCGATTCTCCTACCTCAGCTTCCTGAAGAGCTGGGACCACAGGCACGTGCCACCACATCTGGCTAATTTTCATATTTGTAGTAGAGATAGGTTTCGCCATGTTGGTCAAGCTGGTCTCAAACTCCTGACCTCAGGTGATCTGCCCACCTCTGCCTCCCAAAGTGCTGGGATTACAGGTGTGAGCCGCCATGCCTGGCCACTGATTGTCTTTGCTAGCTGCCAACAAAATATTCTAGTCAGTTAACTACATTTATTGAACAATTAATTCAGGACACTCTAAAAGGAAGTCATTAAATTAATTTACTCCCATAGCTAAAAGGCCATCTACCCTAGTTCTCTTGTTTTATACGTGAGGAATATCTAAAGAAAAATTTTATAGAATATCATTCCCCCAGAGAATCATATCAGCAAATATACCAACTTGGGACATAAGTCCATTTAAAATATATTTGGAATCCACATCCTTGTTTTGTTAGGTCAGGATTATCCATATGTAACTAATAACCCTGGCTCTCTGTTATTTCAGGAAGTTTGTTTGCCTGAATGACAACATTGACCACAATCATAAAGATGCTCAGACAGTGAAGGCTGTTCTCAGGGACTTCTATGAATCCATGTTCCCCATACCTTCCCAATTTGAACTGCCAAGAGAGTATCGAAACCGTTTCCTTCATATGCATGAGCTGCAGGAATGGTAAATTCTCATGTTTTATATATGCATGTGTGTGGGTGAGTGTATACATGCATATGTATCTATATGTTAGTGATGAAATGTTTTTTTTATGAAATTTCTCTTTTTATTTTTTTTTTTTGAGACGGAGTTTTGTTCTTGTTGCCCAAGCTGGAGTGCAATGGCGCAACCTCAGCTCACTGCAACCTCCGCCTCCTGGGTACAATGATTCTTCTGCCTCAGCCTCCTGAGTAGCTGGGATTACAGGCATATGCCACGAAGCCCAGCTAATTTTTTGTATTTTTAGTAGAAACAGAGTTTCACCATGTTAGCCAGGCTGGTCTAGAACTCCTGACCTCAGGTGATCCGCCCGCCTCAGCCTCCCAAAGTGCTGGGATTACAGGTGTGAGCCACCATGCTCGGCCAAAATTTCTTTAACGTGTTATTTGCTCTTTAATTTCTTTGTAAAATGTATAGTTATAATTTTTATTGCGTTTAATATTTGAAAGACATTTATTTGCATTTTAAGGGATTTGAAAAAATGTGTAACTGGGTTCTTTCAGTCTAGTTGGAACTTCATTTATTCAACTGTTTGTTGACCAATGTGTAAGTGAAGGGATTGTTTAGTATAAAATGAGAGGTACATGAGGTCGGTATGTGCTGAGCTGATAGTGAAAGACTTTGGGGAAAATGAATTAAACTAAGTCCTGAAGGCAGAATCTCAGAAGTGGTGAGAAGGGAACAATGAGCAAAAGCTTGGAGGTGGGAATGATCAGGGCAATTTGGGGGCTAGCCCAGCTTAGTTGGAGAATTCATACTGAAATAGTGGAGTGTAAACCTGGAAAGGTATTAGGAGCCATTTCATTCAGTACTTCAACAACCAGACTATCTGGTTAGCCTTTATAACCAACCAGGAAACTTTATAATGAGTAAAGGATTAGGTTAAGCAGTTTGTTTTGTTTTGTTTTGTTTTGAGACAGTCTTGCTCTGTCACCCAGGCTGGAGTGCAGTGGCATGATGTCTACTCACTGCAACCTCCACCTCCTGGGTTCAAGCGATTCTCATGCCTCAGCCTCCCGAGTAGCTGGAATTACAGGCATATGCCACCATGCCCAGCTAATTTTTGTTATTTTTAGTAGAGACAGGGTTTTGCCAGGTTGGCCAGGCTGGTCTCAAACTCCTTGGCTCAAGCGATCCTCCCGCCTCAGGCTCCCAAAGTACTGGGATTACAGGCCTGAGCCACCGTATCCGGCCCTAATTTTCATTCTTATATTTGTTAAATCAGCTAATTTATTGAGTATCTACTGTGGGAATAATCACTAGCAATATTGCGTGTTTAAGTAACAATACCTTACTAAGGCCTTTTTTTTTTTTTTAACTTAACTGTAACATGGTACTTGACTAAGAGCTTTTCATGCACATTCTCATTTAACTATTCTAACAACTCTGTAGTAGGTCCATTTTATCCTCAGCACAGCAACAGGAAGTAACTTGCATAAGGCATCTCAGCTCCTGAATGGGGGAGCCCGCGTATGAACCTGGACAGCCCATTCCCCAGATTCTGGCCTACAACACCTACTAAGTGTGCTTCATCATCATCACTGCCGTCAGAGTAGCTACCCTTTTTCTTGAGAACCTGTTGTACGCCAAACACTGTACTGGGCAAGATATTTACTCTCTACAATTAAAAGTATTGTTATTGCCATGTTGCAGATGAGAACATAGTAATGTGAGTTGAGTAACTTGCTCCAGCTGAAGTAGCTGGCAAGTGGCTGATCCAGCCTGACTCCCAGTCCTCTGCACATTCCACTATATTCCAAAGCTGCTTTATAAGTTTTCTTCATCTTTCATTCTACTGCCATTGCCAACATTTAATTATAAAGATAATTTTATCTTTCAGTTTAGGAAGATTTTTGACCCTTTGCTTGCCTCTCTGTGCCAGGTGCTAGGAATACTAAGATGAAAGGCATGTGGTACCAGGCCTTGAGATGCTCACAGTCTATCCAGGGAGACAGATACCAGGCAAATTGTGATACAGTATATTGAGGGCGGCAATAAGAGTTCAGTGCAGCTGGTGTACGTAGGAAGGACCAGCTGATTCTGTTACAGGAAGGTGACATTTGGACTTGATTTTGAATTATGAAAATGACACTTCCATGTAAGAAAGAGCATTCCTGGTAGAAGAAATGGCATGTGCAAAGGCACAGAGGTGTAAGAGAGTCCTGTGTCGAGAAAAAAGATTGTGAAAGGCTGTATTTGAATTAGACTTTTTTCTTTTGAGAATGGACCCCCAGGAGAGATTTTTTTTTTAGATGTTTGTCATGATCAGACTTCATGATTTGAGATGATAACTAGTATTAGTGGGGAGGTTGGAGTGGTGAAGAAGTTACTTAGAGTGGGGCAGGGTTGCCTGGGAACTGGAGGCAGGGAGACAAGTATATAAGCATTTCACTAGTCCTAGAAACAGTCAGTCAGGTGTGAACCAAGGATACAGCCTAGGCAATAAAGAAAAAGCAATAGACGAACTGGGAGACACTTTAAAAGGGAAATTGGCAGACCCTGGCACTAGAACTCCTCGGTATCTTGGAGTTGGGCAAATGAGACAATTAGGATGAATATTGCTGCTATCTTTATGTTTTTATTTTCATAAGGAGAAGTTATTACTGAATCATGGGTCTTGTCTCCCAGAAATGGCAAGGAATGGCTTCTCACCGTTTTCACTTTCCCTTAACTCAGAGGAAAAAGATCTTTAGGTGGTTCTAAGTGTTAACTCCCCAAATTCAATTTGTGACTAAATTTACCCTCAAGGGTCCATTTGAATAAGAAAGAAGTGGGCTTAAAAGTAATTTGAGAGGACCTTGATTTCTGTGCTGTACAAATGGTGTGAATCAGGTGTGGGTGCTCTTGCAGTCATTCCCCTGCCCTGGAGGTTGCTTGCTCCTCATCCTGCTTAGTTCTGCATTGTCTCTCACTGCACTGACACTAGACATTAGTTGACAGAGCTGGTTATGATCCTATTAACAGAAGTGGGAAATACAGGGGGAAGAGCTGTGTGTGGGCGAGTGCCGTTTTGGATGTGTGACTTGAGGTAGAGACGCCCAAACAGTGGAAAATGAGAATCTGTAACTCAGCACAGAGGCCAGAGTTTGGTAGTTACTAGCATATCTTCCAAACCTATGGTAAGCATTTTTATTTAATCTTCGTAACCAATTGTTCATTATTTCCAAATTACAGATGAGGAAATGGCTGTACTGCCTCTTTTTATCCTCAGTATTCTCTTGGCTCCAGGTCCAGTTGATTCTACCTCAGGAATGTCTCTTCTGTTGCTTATTTCTTTTCATTGTCACTGCTTCCTTTCATGCCTGGACTAAAACTAAACTGCCTGCCTTCCTTGTTTGTCCATCCTTCAAATGGCCAACATGTTTACCCTGATTATGTCACACATACCCCCACCTGTCTGTTTCATCCACTTTCCCACTAGAGTGTTCTGTCCAGACCCCACGGTGTGGTTTTGCAAAGCAGCTGCAGTTCATACCCTCTCGCCTTCACCTGGCTTAGTTCCCCCCATGCTGCCGCATGGATTCACTCCACTCAGTCCTGTAGGGCCCAGCTGGCCACCGTGCCACTCTACTGCTCCTTCTCTTTCTCATCCATATGCTTCCTGTCCCCTTCAAGGCTTACAGGAAATGCCACCATCTCTGTGGCACTGTCCTCATTTCTCTAAGTTTTTCACATGACTTTGCTTTTGATAATGCATATTTCTGTGTCTTATGTGATGGCAAGTCATCAGTCAGCATGTCAGCAACGCCTCAGTTTTCTAAACACTTAAAAGCAGGGACTTCATCTTGTTCATCTCTCCATATACGCAGGAAGTATTTATCAAGAAACTGAGTGAATAAATAAGTATGAGTGAATAAAAATGAATGAAAGAGTGGTTTTGTTTAAGTGCCAGAAGTAATTTTCTTTTGAAGTCCTCTCTCCTGCCTGGATAACTTCACTAATTCAAGTATAATATTTACTATGACATAATAAAAAATCTGAACTCGTGTTGGAAATGTATATTGTGTGAGCATTTTAGAATTGCAAGACAATGTTTTTGTGTTTCCCAACATTGTTTTTATAGAACTAGTATATAAATAATGCTTAACTAATGGTAGTGAAACCATATACAGAAGTACATAGTTGCTTTCTTCTCTCTGCACAGGAGGGCTTATCGAGACAAATTGAAGTTTTGGACCCATTGTGTACTAGCAACATTGATTATGTTTACTATATTCTCATTTTTTGCTGAGCAGGTAAGTTTTATATATTTTATGTGGGTATTAAATGGTATTTCTTGGTATACTAGCATCTGAATGTTTTAGAAAATGATACACATTTACAATCAAAATTTTAACTTCTCTTATTGTCTTATAGCTCATATGTGAATATGTTAAATATGTTTCACAATATTCAGGCAGCAAATATAACAGTCTTTTATTCATTTCTCTTCTAAATCCATTACCAGTATTCTTTTTATCTGGAACTCAACAGATTAACTTGTAGATATCAGGCTAAAACCAAGTAGCTCTAAGTATTTATAACCAAAAAACCATCTAGAATCCTTATCTAATGTTAATTTTCTATGGGTCTCCAATTTTCTTCCTCTCTTTCACGCTTCCTTGAGTGAGCACAGTGTCTTCAGACATCCCACGGTTCCGTTGTGTTGTCCCACTCACACCAGTAGCTCCCATTTATCTTTCTTTCAATCGCTAGGAGTTCTCCCTCCTCTCTCCTCCTTCCTCCTCTCCTTGTCAGCCCCTCTACACCTGGGCTTTCCTCTGCATGCATGTACACACGCAGCCTCCTTGAGGTGAGTGTCCAGAAGTCGGAGGGAGATTTGTGAGGTAAAGAGAAAGGGATAAGAGAGTCCTCATTAGGCTATTCACATATCAAATACTCTGAAGAAAAAGGATTGAAGGAGGGGAATGGGCATCTTTACCAACCTGACTTGGGTGTGGCAAGTGACTTGGCCTCTGCCTCCAATCAAGGTGACTATTGAGTGGAGCTTTTCTAGCTGTCACTCAAATGAAACGTACACCAAGTTGACTTATACCAAGAAGGACAAGCACCTAAGTACTGAGAGCTTCAGGATAAATGAATGGGCTTCTTGCTGTAAATGGAAGGAAATTCAGGAAACAGAGACTGGGCAGGTGAACAGGACAGCAACTTAACCTTCATCTGCTTTCCAGGGATTGTACATCTTGTTCTTGATGTCTGTTACCATTGTTCCTGGCAGGTAAAAGTCTTATGAAAAATCTCAGAAAGGCTGTACCTGCTTTTAGAACAGGGTCCAGTGAGAAACCTTTGAGTCTGCTGTGCTGACCTAGGATGGGGAAGGAAAGGAGCCCTGACTCAAAGGAGCAGCCATTAATGGAAAGGAAGAGGAGTGTCAGTCTTTCCTCTATCTATACCAGTAGAGAATAGGGAACTAGAGAGGCAGTCTTTCCTCTATCTATACCAGTCTATCTATACCAGTAGAGAATAGGGAACTAGAGAGGCAGGAAGAGGGAAGGGAAGGGCAGGTTAAATCCCAACACTCTGCTCTCTACTGGAGTCAAACTCCTTCCTCCTGCCATACCTGCCACCTTCACAAACAAAGCAGCCAATGCTGCCTCTTCCTCCCCTCCCAAATTCCAGCTCATCATTCAAACCGTGGTGTCTTATGTTTGGGCAAAGCCCTGCCTCCTCCTACAGATGAAGGAATAAGCCATCATATCAACCCAGAGACAGTGTCTTATGGCTAA
The DNA here is from genome assembly GCF_000001405.40 of Homo sapiens. Lineage (NCBI taxonomy): Eukaryota > Metazoa > Chordata > Mammalia > Primates > Hominidae > Homo > Homo sapiens. The sequence continues at coordinate 101,747,609 of NC_000012.12, read as the reverse complement.
ATAGAGCCAGTTTCCTTCAATAGAAAGACTTGACAAATGGACATCTTGAAAATAAATATGCTTTGGTAATAGCTGTGTAAAAATCTGTAGTTGTAGGTCTTAGAAAAATGAAGCATGGGCCGAAATAATTTTAATCCTCTTGGGTCTCTTTGTGGGCACATATCTAGGCATACTGTCCCTACAAAGCTAAACAAAACTAATATTTGTTTTTGTTTTGGAAGAGGAATGATGGAGATTTGTTTGTTGTCTTTTTAATGTATAAGATTGTGGAAATGATTAAGGTCATATGGCTCTTAGAAAGTTTGATGCACTTATATTCTTTCATCAACGTGAGAATTAAAATGTATTTTCTGTCTTTCATCATTTAGTTAATTGCACTTAAGCGGAAGATATTTCCCAGAAGGAGGATACACAAAGAAGCTAGTCCCAATCGAATCAGAGTATAGAAGATCTTCATTTGAAAACCATCTACCTCAGCATTTACTGAGCATTTTAAAACTCAGCTTCACAGAGATGTCTTTGTGATGTGATGCTTAGCAGTTTGGCCCGAAGAAGGAAAATATCCAGTACCATGCTGTTTTGTGGCATGAATATAGCCCACTGACCAGGAATTATTTAACCAACCCACTGAAAACTTGTGTGTTGAGCAGCTCTGAACTGATTTTACTTTTAAAGAATTTGCTCATGGACCTGTCATCCTTTTTATAAAAAGGCTCACTGACAAGAGACAGCTGTTAATTTCCCACAGCAATCATTGCAGACTAACTTTATTAGGAGAAGCCTATGCCAGCTGGGAGTGATTGCTAAGAGGCTCCAGTCTTTGCATTCCAAAGCCTTTTGCTAAAGTTTTGCACTTTTTTTTTTTCATTTCCCATTTTTAAGTAGTTACTAAGTTAACTAGTTATTCTTGCTTCTGAGTATAACGAATTGGGATGTCTAAACCTATTTTTATAGATGTTATTTAAATAATGCAGCAATATCACCTCTTATTGACAATACCTAAATTATGAGTTTTATTAATATTTAAGACTGTAAATGGTCTTAAACCACTAACTACTGAAGAGCTCAATGATTGACATCTGAAATGCTTTGTAATTATTGACTTCAGCCCCTAAGAATGCTATGATTTCACGTGCAGGTCTAATTTCAAAGGGCTAGAGTTAGTACTACTTACCAGATGTAATTATGTTTTGGAAATGTACATATTCAAACAGAAGTGCCTCATTTTAGAAATGAGTAGTGCTGATGGCACTGGCACATTACAGTGGTGTCTTGTTTAATACTCATTGGTATATTCCAGTAGCTATCTCTCTCAGTTGGTTTTTGATAGAACAGAGGCCAGCAAACTTTCTTTGTAAAAGGCTGGTTAGTAAATTATTGCAGGCCACCTGTGTCTTTGTCATACATTCTTCTTGCTGTTGTTTAGTTTGTTTTTTTTCAAACAACCCTCTAAAAATGTAAAAACCATGTTTAGCTTGCAGCTGTACAAAAACTGCCCACCAGCCAGATGTGACCCTCAGGCCATCATTTGCCAATCACTGAGAATTAGTTTTTGTTGTTGTTGTTGTTGTTGTTTTTGAGACAGAGTCTCTCTCTGTTGCCCAGGCTGGAGTGCAGTGGCGCAATCTCAGCTCACTGCAACCTCCGCCTCCCGGGTTCAAGCAGTTCTGTCTCAGCCTTCTGAGTAGCTGGGACTACAGGTGCATGCCACCACACCCTGCTAATTTTTGTATTTTTAGTAGAGACGGGGGTTCCACCATATTGGTCAGGCTTATCTTGAACTCCTGACCTCAGGTGATCCACCTGCCTCTGCCTCCCAAAGTGCTGAGATTACAGGCATAAGCCAGTGCACCCAGCCGAGAATTAGTATTTTTATGTATGGTTAAACCTTGGCGTCTAGCCATATTTTATGTCATAATACAATGGATTTGTGAAGAGCAGATTCCATGAGTAACTCTGACAGGTATTTTAGATCATGATCTCAACAATATTCTTCCAAAATGGCATACATCTTTTGTACAAAGAACTTGAAATGTAAATACTGTGTTTGTGCTGTAAGAGTTGTGTATTTCAAAAACTGAAATCTCATAAAAAGTTAAATTTTTGTCTGACACTTTGATTTTTAAATCTTTGAGGATTGAGTTTACTGTTACTCAGATTCAGCAGTCACTTGAGTGCCTTTACTGTGTATCAGGTTCTGTGCTGAACATTACTAAAATTAAGTGGAAAGTAAGGAAAGATTAGTATTATACAGAAGAATGTTGCTTTATGGGGGGAAAATAGTTTCTAAATGGAATTTATCATATGGTAAAATTTAGGATATCTGGGTATCATTATAAAAGCTGAGATTTATTCTAGAAAAGTTAGAGAAATGAACATTTGTCTGTAATGACGATTTCTGTGGTTAGATGAATATAGTCCATACCTAATTAGGAGCTTGATAATGGGATGGATAATACAATCATAGGCTATTCATAGACTCATTCTAATGATTCTGTGATTCAGTAGAATCATTAGAACAGAGGAACCTCAGAAGTTGATGAGCAGTCAGATGGTCAGAACCATTTGTTCAAATCCTATAGAAAAGGTCACTCTGTGTTTTAGTTTTTTTGTGCTGCTGTAACAAAATACCTCAGACTGGGTAATTTACAAAGAACAGAAATTCATTTTCTTACAGTTCTGGAGGCCGAGAGTCCAAGATCAAGGGGCTAGCAGGTTTAGTTGTCTGGTGAGGGCTGCTTTCTGCTTTTAAGATGGCTTCTTGAATGCCGTGTCCTCACAGAGCAGAAGGGCAAGAAGGCACAAACTGCCTCTGTCAAGCCCTTTAATAAAGACATCTAATTGAATTGATGAGGGCTCTGTTCCCATGACTTATCACCCTCTGAAAGCCCCACCTCATAATACTTTTAAATTGCCAGTTAAGTTTCAACATGAATTTTGGACAGATAAAAATTCTGTGATACAAAAGAAGGAAGGCTGCTTCTCCTGCCTGATTCTCAAGGTGTTCCCTCCAGCTCCCAGGCCCTTCGGGCAGAGTTTCAAAACAACTGTCTGGACGAACCCTTGCTTTTTATCGGCAAGGACACCAAGGCCACGGGGATGACATGACTTGCTCAAGGTCTTACAACCAGTTAGAGGAAGAGGTAGGGTGGGAACCCGGGTTGTCCCTCTTTCCTGTCCCCACCAGCCCATGCTGCCTCCCCAGGACTGTGGCACATGTGGGTGAAGAGCACACTCTGCAGTCAGACTACGGGAGTTCAAGTCCTGGATCCTGGACACTGCTTGCCGTGATTTAGCTTTCTCTGCCAAAATGTGGGAGGCAATACTGGTAGCTACCACAGAGGCTTATGGTGATAATTAGAGGAAATGACATGTGCAACACACGCAGCCCAGTGCCTGGCAAATAGTCCTGCCTGCTAAATGTCAGTGGTGATGATGGTAATGATGAAAATTCGTGTTAAAGACTGTTGTCCAGGCCAGAGGTGAGGCTCCTAGTCTAGTCATTAGGGTGAGATGATTATATTGCTCTTAGCTAAAAAAGTGACACATTTTCTAATTACAAAGGATTTTTTTAACCTACCTTATGTCTTCAAAAGTGTTTTTTGTTTGTTTGTTTCTTTTGAGACGATCTCACTCTGTTGCCCCAGGCTGGAGAGCAGTGGCGTGATCTCAGCTGACTGCAGCGTCAACCTCACAGGCTCAAGCAGTCCTCTCACCTCAGCTTCCTGAGCAGCTGTGACCACAGATGTGCTCCACCACACCTGACTAATTTTGTTTATATTTTTGTAGAGACAGGGTCTTACTGTTATCCAGGCTGTCTTGAACTCCTGGGCTCAAGCAATACTCCTGCTTCGACCTTCCACGGTGCTGGGATTACAGGTGTGAGCCACTGTGCCTGGCAAAAGTGTTCATTTTGAAAATTATTTCTACATATACCAAGAAGTATACAAATAATAACAGATTAAGCATTTAAACTAAAGGGTAATCACTACTTACGTCAAAACATCTAAGGAAGAAACAGCACCAGTCCCACACAAATTCTTCCAGAGAGCAGAAAAAAGCAAAATACAGTATCATCCAACTCATCCCTTGAAACACAACCCCAACAGTAAAACTTGGCTCAGATACCACAAGACAAAAACCATGGGCAGTCTACTGCAAAAGAATCCCAAACAAAATACTAACAGGCCAAATTCAGTTATTCCCAGAAGAACAACACTTCACAGTCAAGTGGGGCCTACTCCAGGAATGCAAATTTGGCCCAACACTTGAAAATCAATTCACCACATCAGCAGGACCAAAAGAAACTGGATGATAATCTCAACAGATCTTTCTTTAAAAAAGATCATAAAAAATTTTAAAAAGACCAATAGATGAATTCTCATCTGCTCAACAGTTATCAAGACTTTGCCACATTTATTCATGCTCCGTTTTTCTTTGTGATATGTTTTAAGGGAAATCCCAGGCTTCCTTGTGACAGGAGTACAGAGCCATGGTGGTTAAAGGGATGTGAAGGGGGCTTCTTGTCAGTCTAATTGCTTTTCTCCTCTCACTTGCCCTAATAACAGCTATATCTTACTGTACACAATCTATGTGCTAAATGCTTTATGTTCATAATCTCATTTCATCCACACCATATCCCCACTTATCAGTGAGGGAACTGGGGCCTAACTAGGTTTAGTGCCTCACCTCAGGTCTATTAAGTTAAGAGACAGCTTTTCCACCCAAGTCTCTACAAAATTAATTTTTAGCCACTAAATAAACTTGGATTGCAAGGGACAAATCTAACTCAAGCTTCTTAAGGAAAAACAAAGAGGGGTACAGGAGGAAGATACTCTTCCTGAACCATTGCTCAGCACTGTCTATCTGTGCTTCTCTATGCACATCAGCTTTTCTCTCCTTGGTGAGGACATGGCAGTTCCTGGCTCACATACTCCAGAGAGGCAGGAAGTTTCCTCTCTGGCTTCAATATAGAAAATCCTGGTGGGAGATGAGTTACTGTGATTGGCTCATTCTGGGCTCTGTGCCCACCTCTGTAGCCAGAGGGATGGAGATTTTTACCCAAGGAAGGAGGGGAGGGATGCTGGGCTTACAAAACATCACCTTCCAGCTTCACAGATTAGAGATGGTGCAGGTGGAAGACCAAGTTCCTGGATTAGGTACTCAAGGTGAAGGCAAGCTGCCATACTTGAAAGCAATTGGAAAAATCAAATCTGTTGATAGAGAGTACAGTGAACCTTGTAAATTTTTCATTACTGAAAGGATTTAAAAAAATGTAAAGCATTAGTACAGTACCTGCCACATAATAAATGCGCCATAAATGGTGGCTTTTATGATTCACAATTGGTGCCAGTTGGAATCCTGATTTTCCTCTCTTGCCAGCCTCATTCTTGGCCTCATTGTGTCAGCCACGTTGCATTTTCCCAAATGTGCTGTGCACTTTTATGCCTCCATACCCTTAAAGATGCTGTTCTTATTACCTACTGAGTAGTTTATCTATGGAGACATTTCTATGAGTTTTTAAAAATTATTATAAATAGAGATGGGGTCTCACCATTTTGTCCAGACTGGTCTCAAACTCCTGGGCTCAAACGATCCTCCTACCTCAGCCTCCAAAAGTGCCGAGATTACAGGCATGAGCCACTGCTCCTGGCCTCTAAGATTTCGACTATATTACCTGAGTTCTTTGAGACTGAGTAAGGAAACAAGGGATGTAATATTTAGGTTTTCAAACAATAATGACAAGATTCTACACCATTGGTTACTAAAGAAAATGGGAAAATGTTTTGTTAGGAATCCAGATGATTGGAATAAATGGGTGATGATCTATATGGGGAAGTATTAACAATGTGGTCATCTAAGAATGAATGCTGAGACAGGTCATGAAATATTGGTGTGTGGGTTAAAAATCATCTATAAATTACCTGCTGAAGCACATGGTGAAATCTCCAGACATGCTCTTTACAGCAGTGAAATGCCAAGGTGCTGGAGATAATCTTGGGAAATTTTTATTACGAATAAAGAAGAAAAATGACAGATGCTCTTCTGTAAGGGTCACTGTAGGAAAAACAACTGAATATGATGATGTAGTGAATGGAACTACTTAATAAGAACAGCATCTATAAGGGTATGGAGGCATAAGAGTGCACAGCACATTTGGGAAAACGCAATGTGGCTGATGCAGTATGAGGCCAAGAATGAGGCTGGCAAGAGAGGAAAAGCAGGATTCCAATTGGGACCAATTGTCAATCATAAAAGCCACCATTTATGGCACATTTATTATGTGGCAGGTACTGTACTAACGCTTTACAAACTTTTTTGAATCCTTTCAGTAATGAAAAATTTACAAGGTTCACTGTATCCTGTATCAACAGGTTTGATGTAGTGAATGGAATTACAGGAACAAGTCTGGGAGTCGTCATCCGTCATTCCTTACCCAATACACTGGTGTATTTAAACGAGCCAGTGGAATGCTGAGCATCATAAGGAAGAGGATTCAAAGCAAAACAGTAAACAGGAGGGTTCCTTTGAATCTCTTACTTGAACTAGGCAGTTGAAAAGTGATTGGCGTCAATAAGATCCTGAAGCCTTTGCCAAATATTAAAGAAGTAAAATATAGGCCAGGCAAGTTGGCTCATGCCTGTAATCCCAGCACTTTGGAAGGCCGAGGTGAGAGGATCATTTGAGCCTAGGAGTTTGAGAACAGCCTGGGCAACATAGTGAGACCCCATCTCGGCAAACTTTTTTTTTTTTTTTTTCTTAATTAGCCAGGCATGGTGGCACGTGCATGAGTCCCAGCTACGCAGGAGGCAGAGACAGGGGGATCATTTGGGCCCAGGAAATCAAGGCTGCAGTGAGCCGTGATCATGCCATGCCACTGCACTTCAGCCTTGGCAAGAGAGCAAAACCCTGTCTCAAAAAAAAAAAAAAAAAAAAAGTAAAATGTATGATTTCAAATAGAAAAAGGATTGCAGAGCTGTGAGCAAACTAAGGCAGGTACAAAGGTTGAAATATATTTTAAAATTATTTGGGGGAAAATACATATAAGCACAGAAAAAAGGATGAAAGGCAATAATACCCCCAATTTTAAACTGTATATTATTTCTGGGTAGTGGGATTATAGGTGAGTTTCATTTCCTTCATAAATTGTATCTTCAAAAATTGTTTTGCAATTGATAGGTGATTTCCAGTTACACCAAATAATTGTTTTACAATTATACTCCCACCCACTGAATGGGTTCCCTTTGTTACATAGATTCATCATCACTCCGTGTAGTCATATTTTGTAGTTTTGCCATTCTAGTGGACTGTCAGAACACTACATAGACTATGGGACAATTTTTTGTAATGCCAAACGCGAACGAAACTAAGCCGTGTTGTTTAACGACACATTTTCATGTGGTAATAAAACTTAGAAAATAAGGAAGGGTGAATGATTTACATAAATTTAGGATAATTTTCTTATATCCCTGAATGGGGAAGGGTGGGGTCCTGGTGAGGATCGGATGGAAAGGCCTGCCTGAGGAGATTCAGTGAATGTTGGTAAAGCCCTACTTCATAAATTAGGTGGTATGTTCATCATGTTTCATAATTTACATATTATTCCGCAATTTTCTTTTTTTTTTTCTTGACATGGAGTCTCACTCTGTTGCCCAGGCTGGAGTACAATGGCATGGTCTTGCTCACTGCAACCTCTGCCTCCCGGGTTCAAGCGATTCTCCTGCCTCAGCTTCCCAAGTAGCTGGGATTACAGGCGCCCGCCACCACGTCCGGCTAATTTTTGTATTTTTAGTAGAGATGGGTTTCGCCATGTTGGACAGGCTGGTCTGGAACTCCTGACCTCAAGTGATCCGTCTGCCTCGGCCTCCCAAAGTGCTGGGATTACAGGTGTGAGCCACTGCGCCTAGCTGCAATTTTCGATTATAAACATTTAAAACTTAAAAACTGGAAGGCACCAGGCCTCAAGTGTACTCGCAACCCGCTCCGGCGGCCAAAGCACCCTGGGCCAGCTATTTGGGCGCGCAATCGCCCCATGGGGGCGGAGCCTCGCCACCCAGTTCACGCCTGCGCTCTGCGTCCAGCCAATCAGCGACGTGTCCGGATGAGGCGGGACTGGCTTTTCTCCTGTGCGAATCCCAGCTTGCCTCAGAAGCGTCGCGGAGAAGGGGCCACCTCAGGTGAAGCGCGCTTGTGGAGGAGTTGTGGAGGACGCCTGTCGACGACCAGTAACTGGTCCTCGGCCATTGCGGTGTGTTTCAGGTGTGAGCAGGGGAGGCGTCTGTCTATCGCAGGTGTCCAGGCCAGAGGCTGCCCTTGACCAGTGAGGTAAATCTTACCTCCTGGCGTCGCCTGGGGCCTCTGACGAGAAAACGGAGGCCGCGAACCTGAGGACAGGGCCTTGAGCAGGATAGGGCCTAGTGGAAAGCGGGCGGGCTGGGCTGGGGCTGGGCCCCATCGCTACACCCTGGGACCACTTACAGGAGGGACGCGGCGGGGCCGGGCAGGGCCCTACCTCGCTCCGCGCGTCTCCCTCCTGCCCGCTCCACGCCGAGGGCGCCTTTCGTGGTTCCTCGATGTATTTGTTGTCGAAATCTTCTGCCTGTGTTCATTTTCCGAGACCTAAATTGCGGGACGTTTTTATTATTTGTCTTGATTATTATGAGCTTATTTCTGGCATCCTCATGTCGTGTCCCGCCAGCAACTATAATTTCCCCGCGTGACTGAGCGCCCTGCTAGAGTTGCCCAGATTTAGCCAGAATCTGGCAGAGGCGGCCCCAAAATTTGGAACTCCCAGGCCTCAGGGGCCACCTCTCCAGCACTGCGCGCTTGGAGTCGGGGTGGACACTGTCATTCTCTCTCATCGATTGATTGATTGAGACGAAGTCTCACTCTGTCGCCCAGGCTGGAGTGCAGTGGGGCCATCTCAGCTCACTGCAACCTCCGCCTCCCGGGTTGAAGCGATTCTTCTGCCTCAGCCTCCTGAGTAACTGAGATCATAGGCACCCGCCACCGCGCCCGGCTAATTTTGTATTTTTAGTAGAGACGGGGTTTCACCATGTTGGCCAGGCTGGTCTCAAACTCCTGACCTCAGGTGATCCACCCACCTCGGCCTCCCAAAGTGATGGGATTACAGGCATGAGCCACAGCGCCCGGCCATTTCTGTTGTTGTTTTTTTTTTTTGAGACGAAGTTTCACTCTTGTCACCCAGGCTGGAGTGCAGTGGCTGCGATCTTGGCTCACTGTGACCTCTGTCTCCCGGGTTCAAGCGATTCTCCTGCCTCAGCCTCCTGAGCAGCTGGGACTACAGGCACGTGCCACCACGCCCGGTTAATTTTGTTTTTTTTTTTCAGTAGAGACGGGGTTTCATCATGTTGGCCAGGCTGGTCTTGAACTCCTGACCTCAGGTGATCTGCCTGCCTCAACCTTCCAAAGTGCTGGGATTTCAGGCGTGAGCTACCGTGCTTGGCCTATTTATTTTATTATTTTTTAACAAATGTCATTATCTTCTTAACTTTTGGCCCCCCAAATAAATGAGGAAACTGTTAAAATTGTATTCAACAATCCTTGTTCGATATCTCCTTTGATATTTAAACTTTTACCAGTGTATTAAAATGATGTCTTTGCATTCAGAAGGTTAAAGAAATTTGTTTTTTAAAGTCAGGAAGCATCTAAATATGGTGTCCTCCGGAAAAAAGTATTCCAGGAAATCTGGGAAGCCGTCTGTGGAAGATCAGTTTACGAGAGCCTATGACTTTGAGACTGAAGATAAGAAAGATCTGAGTGGATCAGAGGAAGATGTTATTGAAGGTGCAGTACATCTCATGTTGGGCAGTGATGTCCTTCAGTTCATTTGTTTTGAACCCATTGAGACTATCGTACAACTTAGTTTGTAAAGCATTTTCAGGTATGGTCTTCCCTCCCCCGGTATTTGTGGTTACAGAACCTGCTGACACGGATGGCCAGCTGTACTTGTGTTTCTCATTTGATCCTTATATTGCAGTATCGGAGTTACAGAAGCTTATTCGGCAACTCTTGCTTTTGCAGTTATTTCCAAAATATCTGATATATAGTATGTGGCTTACTGTGACATTAACCCAGGGAGACTTGAAAAATTATTCCTATAAAATGGTCCTGAATCCTGATTTAATTTCACCTAACCTGCAGAGAATATTGCATTTTTATGTCTGCTTTGAAACTGTATGTTGGCAAAAAGCCTAAAAATCCCCAAATGAAGATGTTTCATTAAAATTTACCAAAATAACCTATTCAGTTTCAAAAGCTTTTTTTTTTTTTTTTTAATTGTCAATACAGGGAAGACTGCAGTCATTGAGAAACGTAGGAAGAAAAGGTCTTCTGCAGGAGTAGTTGAAGATATGGGGTAACGTGTTCAAAATAATTTTTGTTTCTTAGATAAAGCACTTCAAGAAAAGTTGCTAACAAATAATATATGTAAAATACTTGGCATCTGGTATTTCTTCCAAAACAAGCATGGTATGTTGTGGATCTTCTAAAGTGTTTAAAATGTAATTTCTTTCCAGGGGTGAAGTGCAGAATATGCTGGAAGGAGTTGGAGGTAGGTTTTAGGAGATACTTGTATTTAAAGAAAATTGTTTTAAGCCATATAATTTGTATAATAACAAATGTTAATAATGGACTATAAGACTGTTATTTAATGCCTTGTTCTCACATAGAAGATTCTGCATAAGTATTTGTGATTTAGCATCACAGATTTTCATAGTTAATCTTTTCCATGATGTTAAGAGTGAATGGTATTTTATACATATGTGAATTTAATGGACTATGGAATTTTAGAAGAAAAATGCACAGGAAAAGTCTTTACCCTTCTTTGTATTCACAGACTAAGTGATACACACACACACACACACACACACACACACACATATACATACATACATATATTTGTATATAAGTTTTTCATTTTTTCAGTTTAGTTATTTTCTGACTTCCTATGCTATTTTCTTTAGGGAGGACAGTGTAAATTAAGCCTCTAAAATAACTCTTTTTACATTAATAAACTATGTAGTTGATACTAAAGACAATTTTGCTAGATAGAGTTTTATAATTAGGTTCAAAAATTCTCAAGTTTTAAATAATATATTAAGTATCAATAATATGAGCTTTGTTAGAGATTAGTTATCTTAAAAAAGAGTTAATATTTAGCTCCTCTAAATGGATTGTTCATACAGTCAACTCTTTTTTGAAACCTTTGCTCTGTCCGGTGGTGAAACAGTGCTTGTTTTATAAATTTATTATAGATAATACTGAAAGTATAAAATATTTATGTAATAGTGCAGCTACAGCATGATTACTGAAAGATACCTATTTATGGTAGATCCATAAGATAAAGGCTTATGTTTAGCAAAGCATTATTTGAAGTAGTAAACATTTTATGAAATGCAGTTCTTATGGGTAAAAATGCCCAATAAAGAGCTCCACAAAAGCATTTAAAACTGATCTTATTCACCTATTTCTCATTGAAAAATAAAGTGATCTTAATTTATCTAGAAATTTACTTAAACTAAGATTTTTTTCTGTCCTTGGTCTTTGTCTCTTAGTAAAAAATGTATTTAAAAGTATCATTGATGGCCAGGCACAGGGGCTCACACCTGTAATTCCAGCACTTTGGAAGGCCAAGGCAGGAGGATTGCTTGAGGCCAGGAGTTCAAGACCAGCTTGGTCAACATAGTGAGACCCCCGTGTCTTTAAAAAAAAAAAAATATATATATATATATATATAAAATTGATTATATTAAAAATAGTTTTCTTCTTTAACTATTTTTATCCTTTTTGGATTCTTTCTAATAGAGTACTTTTACATATTTTCTATAATGAGTTCTAACAATAATTCATTGAAATGTGTCCTTTTAATTGGGGTGTATTTTATAAATTTAGATAAATTTAGCCTTTTTAAAAATTTTTTTTTATTTTTGAGACGGAGTCTCACTCTGTCCCCAGGCTGGAGTGCAGTGGTGCAATCTCAGCTCACTGCAACCTCTGCCTCCCGGGTTCAAGCGATTCTCCTGCCTCAGTCTGCCAAGTAGTTGTGACTACAGGTGTGCGCCACCACGCCCAGCTAATTTTTGTATTTTTAGTAGAGACAGGCTTTCACCACGTTGGTCAGGATGGTCTCGATCTTTTGACCTTGTGATCTGCCTGCCTCAGACTCCCAAAGTGCTGGGATTACAGGTGTGAGCCACCGCGTCTGGCCTACATTTAGCCTTTATTAACAGTGTTTTCTCATGGGGAAATTTAAAGTCTGTCCTTGACACATTGTTTTGTTTATTAGCTCTTTTTTATTGTTCCTAAGTTAAAAAATTATCTCCAGTTAGGAAAATCAGAATTTGGGTGCTAGTAGCTGAGAGTTTTCTCAGAAAAAAAAAGTAAGCAAACAATTCTGCATTTTGAAATTATGCCTATTTCTAAATTTAAGTTTAAATGTCTTTCCAATATTGTTGAACCAACCTTACCCATATTTACTTGAATATGTGGGAACAAAATACTTTTTTCAACATTAAATTTTAATGAATTTTTATTTTCAATCTAGTTGACATTAACAAGGCTCTTCTTGCCAAGAGAAAGAGACTAGAAATGTATACCAAGGCTTCTCTCAAAACTAGTAACCAGAAAATTGAACATGTTTGGAAAACACAACAAGATCAAAGGTAAGGTGGTTGCTTTTTTTTTAGAGCCACATTTCTTAGTATTTACTGGTATAAATTACTTATGAAAAATACTATTCTAGGATCGGCACGGTGGCTCATGCCAGTAATCCCAGCACTTTGGGAGGCCAAGGCAGGCAGATCACTTGAGGTCAGGAGTTAGAGACCAGCCTGGCCAACATGGTGAAACTCCATCTCTACTAAAAATACAAAAATTAACCAGGCGTGCTCGCTTGAACCTAGGAGGCAGAGGTTACAGTGAGCCAAGGTCGTGACACTGCACTCTAGCCTGGGCAACAGAGTGAGACTCTGTCAAAAAAAACAAGAAAAGAAAAATACTATTCTAGTTACTGGGGTTTCTAGTGAAAATGTATTTGGCTTGATTTTTCTCTAAGTATGATAGTCCTGTAGCCCTATAACCTCACTCCTTCATAGAATTGACATTATTTCCTAAAAAATCAATAAAGATCACTTTTTTCCTTTTAGGTAACAAGTGAGGTTATAAAAGTAATTTCGTTTTTTGTTGTTGTTTTATGAGATGGGGGTCTCATTATGTTGCCCAGGCTGGTCTTGAACTCCTAGGCTCAAGCGATCCTCTCACCTCAGCCTCCCAAGTGCTGGGATTATAGGCATGAACCACCATGCCCAGCCTAAAAGTAATTTATGTTCATTCTAGAAATACACTAGTTGAATAAAAGGTAAATGTCATAAAAACCGTTAGTCTTATGATGGTGAATTATGTTCAACAATGTAGAAGAACACCAATCTTGTATCGTATATAATTTGTATGTTTTAGCTGACTTAACTCTTCTTTTGTATAAAATCTTTTGTTAAGCCAAAATAGGGAAAAAAATTAAGCGAACTATTTCTATTTAGAAATCTTATAGGATAAATACAATCACCTTATTTAATGTATTTGTTATATCAGAATCTATATTCAATAGGAAAAAAATGAAAAATAAACTGCTTAGAGATCAGATGAATTTCTTTTTGAAAATTTATATATACAATAAAACTTCCTTAGTTTTCAAGAGCTAAAGCTTGTGACAGGGCTTTTCTTCTATTAGTTTGTTAGAAAAAAAATACTTCTGGAATCAGTGTAAATCATAATTTTACTTTTTGGTTTCCCATCAGAAGACTTAAGCTGCAGGTATTTCCTTTTCTTATATAGTATAACTGTGTCAACTCAGTTTTGTTTTAAATTCTTTTTATATTGGTATGAAATATGACAATAATTCATCATTATGTTTTACAGGCAGAAGCTTAACCAAGAATATTCTCAGCAGTTTCTGACTTTGTTTCAGCAGTGGGATTTAGATATGCAGAAAGCTGAGGAACAAGAAGAAAAAATACTTGTTGGTATCATGATTAGGTTTATAATCAACCAAGTCTCAAGTAGGAATGGACAACCTAGCCTTTTATTGTGACCAGTGGAACTGAGCCAGGTTTCATTAACCATTGCTGGCCATGTGTTTTAAACCTACTGAACTGTAAACCACAGACGTATAGGCACATACCATACTCATAAAAGGCATTTATATTGTTTGGGGTTCCTGCATTTCCAAGTGACAGAAATTTGTCAAAGTACAAAAGAAGGATCATTGGTTTATGTAAAAGAAGTCGGGGCAGTTTAGCTTCAGGCATAGCCAGATGGGAACAGGGAGGGGGTTGCTCATGTAGTGTCATCTGGGTTCTGTCATCAGTACTTAGTAAGGTGTCTTGATGTAGTAAGCAAGATAGTTTTTACAGTCCTAGGCTTATTACAAGTTTAGTAACCCCAGTGGACTGAGAAAATCTTTCTCAATAGCTCTGGCAAAAAATTCCTCTGGGAAAATATGACTGATGGGAGTTTGGATCATTTGCCCATTCTTGAACCAATCATTGTATAGTTAGCCCTCTGTATATAAGGGTTCCGCATCTGTGTATTCAACCAATCGTGGATGAAAAATATTTGGAAAAGGCTGGGCGTGGTGGTGGTTCATGCCTGTAATCCCAGCACTTTGGGAGGCCGAGGCGGGTGGATCACCTGAGGTTGGGAGTTTGAGACCAGCCTGACCAATATGGTGAAAACCCATCTCTACTAGAAATACAAAAATTAGCCGGGCTGTGATGGCGTGTGCCTATAATCCAAGTTACTCAGGAGGCTGAGGCGGGAGAATCACTTGAACCTGGGAGGCGGAGGCTGCAGTGAGCCGAGATTGTGCCACTGCACTCCAGCCTGGGTGACAGAGGGAGACCCTTTCTTGAAAAAAAAAAAAAAAGAAAAAAGAAAAAATGCAAATTGGAAAAATAATCCAGTGTTACAACTATACAGCATTTACATTGTGTTAGGTATTATAAGAGATCTAGAAATGATTTAAAGTATGTGGAAGGATGTGCATTGGTTATATGCAAATATGATGCCATTTTGTAACAGGAACTCGAGCATCTGCACATTTTGGTCTCCTGAGGGGTTGGGTGTCCTGGAACTGGTCCCCCCAGGATACCTAAGGATGTCTGTAGTCAGAACATTGTTGACTTTTAATGGCCAGACTTGTGTTACCTGCAAGTGAGGATATTGGGGGTAGGGATGACAGTGTAAAATAGATAGGATGGATTTGTGGCACTGATAGATTATTGAGCTGTAGTACTAAAAAGAGTAAGTTAGAATGGTAAAGAAGTAGTGGTTAAATACTAGGATAGACAGAGAAACAGTATGTATAATGGTTAGAGCCTGGATGCCAGCAACAATACTGTTTTGGATCAAATTCTTGTTTGAGCAATTGTAGCTGTGAAACCATGGACAGATTATGCCTCAGTTTACTCATCTATGAAAGGGGAATGCTGAGTATCTATCTCTTAGAAAGTTTACCATTACTAATACTGTGTAGTGGTTAGAATTATTAGTAATGACAAAATCTAGGGTGGGAGTATGTAAGTCAATGGCTAAAGTAGGGTAGAGGCCAAAATCATTGAGAAACAGGTCACGAAACGGAAAACCATTATTATTGGAAGGATCATCTGTGTGGACATTGAAATCACCAAGAATTAAGACATGACTTGATTATTGTTAAAATTTCCCATTCAGCAACTGGTAGAATTAATATATTGTTACATATTAGTGGTGAACATAAATTATCTAAATGTGGTCATAATAGTTGTTAAAATTTTAAAAGCATTGATTTTTAACACTTTCTTTTAAGTTTAATGTAGAATTATTTTTTCTAAATTTAAAATTTTACCCAAATTGTTATTACACAGTTTTTTTTCTTTTATATTTGTAGAATATGTTTCGACAGCAACAAAAGATTCTTCAACAATCTAGAATTGTTCAGAGCCAGAGATTGAAAACAATTAAACAGTTATATGAGCAGTTCATAAAGGTTTGTTGTATGTGGTAACACAATACATCGTTATAAAACATAATATATTTATGGAAGTAGAAGATAATTCTTTCTAAGTTTATGGGAAAAAACATTTTAGACTTTAACTACTTTTCCATTTTGAATTCATTGTTTCTGATTTAAGTGATAAATATATTTTTACTTGAGGATTCAAATGGTTTTGTTGGGATTATTCAAGACAGGAAATGGTAAATTGGGAATTTTACTTAGAAATATACTTATCATGCATAAAATCCATACTTTAATAACACTTCAGTCATAGTTCTCTGTTTAAGTGAAAATAGACTCTATAATAATCATTTTTAGGTTGTATTTTACTTGTTTTTTTATCCCCAGTGTTTGTTAAATAGAAAGTACCCAAATTATTGAATTCTCTTGTTTTCAAATGTATTATAGAAGTATTTTATGGCACATTTGCTTTTAGAATTATTACAGTGACCAAAAATGAATTTATATCCAACATAAAATAACAGATATAATAGACATCTGAGGATTAAAAGTCTGTGGATTGATAATTATCTACTGACACATACATATTAGCAAATTGTAGTCTGTACCCCTCTTGTTCAGGCAGAAATATACTTTTTAGTAACTATTCATAGAAGCTCAATGGAATCTTGCATATACTTTTTTTCAGTGGTGGTTCCTTTAGATAGTCTTGTGCAAATACATGTTAAAATAACATTAAAGGAATTGGGATGCTCTAAGTAAACTAGCAAAATTGTTTTAAAATAAATATTTCAGAATAACTTTAATATATATGGCCGAGCACAGTGGCTGACACTTTGGGATGCCAAGGCGAGATCACTCGAGCCCAGGGTTTCAAGACCAGCCTGAGCAACATGACAAAACCCCATCTCTATTAAGAACAAACAAACAAACAAAAATAGCTGGGCATGGTGGCACTCACCTGTAGTCCCAGCTACTGGGAAGGCTGAGGTGGGAGGATCACTTGAGCCCTGGAGGCAAAGGTTGCAGTGAGCTGAAATCGTACTACTGTACTCCAGCCTGGGCGACAGCGAGACCCTGCCTCAAAAAAAAAAAAAAAAAAAAAATTATACACACACATGTTATTTTAAAAAGTATTTCCAAGTGGAAAACTTGTTGTCTTGTTCCAATGCTCTGAGAACCATTTGGTAGTTGGTGTGAAGTTTTGATAAAGTACTAGATAAAGATTTCTTCTAAATGTTATCACTAAATGTTACTATTTAGGATAGGAACTATAGTATAACCTTTGACTCTTCCATCTCCTTTCTCTGTCACATCCAGTTATTACTAGGCCCTGTAATTTTTACTTCTGCAGTGGTTCTTTCTTTTAATGCCCACTGCTACTACCCTAGTTTAGGACCTCATTATTATTTGCTTGTACCATTAAAATTCTTAACTGATGTCTCTGTTCTCCAATCTATCCCTCCTAGATCTGCCATATTATCTTTTAAAAATATATCTCTTCCCTCTTGAAAAACTGTCAGTAGCCTCCTGTTCTAAATTCTTAGGTATTGAAGATCCCCCTATGACATGACCCTCTTTTTAAGCTTCATTTACTACATTTGTTCATTACCCCACCCCTCCACATAACTGCTTTCTCTCAGCTCACTATGTACTTCCATGCTTCTGCTTATGCCCTTCCCCTAGAATATATTTAACTCCTTTTTCTTTATCTATTGAAATCTTAGTATTTTGCCCACTAAATTGGAATTAATCCCCATTTTCCACTATATCACCACAGCAAGTTGTGCTTCCATTCCTATTATAAAATTTTTGTTTTGTTCCTATGTTTTTTTCTCATTGCCATCAGGAAGCAATCATGTATTATTGTTTTTTAATTTCTCTACAGCACTTAATACACACCTTTTACATAGTAGGCACCAGATTAACTGTTTGTTGAATGAATAATAAAGACGTAAGACATAATTTTTATTTTTCATAATGTGAAAGAGGTTGTACTATAGATTATTTTATTCCCTCTAGTGAATTCATGGCACACTATTAGTCATAAGTAGATTATTGCTTGATATTTGGAAAGCTTAATAGAAATGGTTTTTACTGATGTGGGACTTCCAGTCTTTTTTATCTTGACCTTAACAGTTCAGGAAACCCATTGTGGGCAAAGTATACTACATTGTACTTCCTATAACATTTTATTCATGTCTTATATTTTTTCTTTTTTAGTAGGTATTTTGGTATTCATGTATTACTTAGAATATTTTTATTTCAAATAGATGAGCATTTGAATATTCAAAAATTACTACTTTTGAAAATTAATTGTACAAGTTTAGAACCTGAGATGAAAAGTGGTCCTTTGTAACTTAACTTGTCTTTTGTGTTTTTAGAGTATGGAAGAGTTGGAGAAGAATCATGATAATCTACTTACTGGTGCACAAAATGAATTTAAAAAAGAAATGGCTATGTTGCAAAAAAAAATTATGATGGAAACTGTAAGTGATCATATTGAAATTGAAAAAATAAGGATTAATATAAGCAATGAAATATTTTATTTGCTGAAATAGGTATAACACTTAAATAAAAATTAAACAAATGTTTAATATCTCCTTCCATGAAACAGCAGCAGCAAGAGATAGCAAGTGTTCGGAAGTCTCTTCAATCCATGTTATTCTGATGACTCTTTGAAGAAAGAACTTGAACCTAAGTAATATGATACAATTATAACGTTAGCTAAGAAGCATATTGTAAGTCTTTAGAATAGTTTAATTGTAACATCTTTAATCATAAACCTGTTTCATTGTAAGACCTCCCTTTCTGTTAAGTCAAATCTAAATAGTTATGAGTTAGTTAGCAACTATTCCTAAAGAATATGTATTAAGCTTTCAGCTCTTTAGTAATGATAGTGAATTTTTCTCTCTAACACTGTCAATTAAATAAAGACGATTTAATTTTAGGTTTGGCTTCATTGTATCTCTATCAATCCCAAAAGGTAGAAAACCAAGTATAGAAGGTTATGTTCTTTAAGGAAAAAACGGAATACAAAATCTATTTTACATGTACATCCTTTTCTATATACTTAAGTTGTACAACCGATTCTAATGACAATAAGATGCATTTAAATTTGTGTTCTGGAATAAATTGCTAAAATCATTAACCTCTGAACATTAAATCACTAGCAATAGAACAATATATAAATAACAGTTTTAAGACATGGATTTGTGAATATGTCATTGCCACAAAGACATAATGTCACTTCATTGGGCTTGGTCTGCAATTAAATTAAGAGCACATCATTAACATACCTAATTTCTTATGGTTTATATATATCACATCTGCGTTTATTTATTTTTTGAGATGGAGTCTCACTCTGTCACCCCAGCTGGAGTGCAGTGGAGTAATCTCAGCTCACTGCAACCTCCGCCTCCCAGGTTCAAGCGATTTTCCTGCCTCAGCTTCCCAAGTAGCTGGGACTACAGGCACTTGCCACCACGCCCAGCTTATTTTTGTATTTTTAGTAGAGACGGGGTTTCGCCATGTTGGCCAGGCTGGTCTCGAACTCCTGACTTCAAATGATCTGCCCGCCTCGGCCTCCCAAAGTGCTGGGATTACAGGTGTGAGCCACCATGCCTGGCCTCCTGCTTTTCTATGTTTTAAATTCTAATTTTTGCCTGTATAACTCACCCTTATCTTAGTTATAATAAGGTTTTCCAAGTTTTAAAAAAACAGGTGCCTACAGATAAACTTTTTCTAATTGTGACAACCTACTTGTACAGGAAGAAATTAGTCTTCCACCATTAACGAATATTTGACATTATTTCCTAAATTTTTGAACTTTGTAAAGGATTTTCCTTTTAAGCCAAAGTATATATTATTAGAATATAAATCATAAGTACTATTCATCCTTGTAAGAAAGTCCTTATTTGGGAAGTTTTACCAATAGTTAGTTAGAGGCAAAATAAGTACTCCAGTGTTTTCTGTGTACTTAATTCCCATAAGTATGTTTTTTTGCTTTTAAGGAATATCATCTTTCACTGTTTTCTTCAATATACCTTTTTCTTGCCTAAAACAGATGTAGTACACAAATTACTCCTTTTTTTTTTTTTTGATTACTTCATCATATGACATATGGTCTGTTGAACTATTATATAAAATTAAAAATAAATAGGGTCAGATGGGAATCTGAAGATTTGGATCCCCAGAGATCTTTGTGATAGTTCTAGTAGTATTCATAATGAGTAATCTAAATACATTTCAATTAGAGTGGAAAGATAAGTATCAGTACCTAATGTACTTAGTGGTTGAATAACTTTTACTTATTTTATCCCTTATCACCTCAAATGAGTCAGTGTGTACTTAAAGTAAACTTTTGTATTCTAAAAGGAAGATTTTTTTTACCAAGTAAGTTTTTCTAAGTTACTAATTTTCTTACATGTCAACTGACTCTTAGCTACTGTTTTCATTTTTCATGAAAGGGAATATTTAACATCCACTTTTCAGTGACAGTGAAATTTTAACTCAAAATATCAAGGAACAAGTTACCTTCAGTATAAAGATTCGTATGTTTTTCTGAACTGGTACAACAAATTCCTTTTATTAAATACAAATTTTATTTAAAAAATTCCTGTAGCCCTTTTAAATTCTAGTATACTAAAAGCAAGTATTTTATAACATACTAATATGCCTCTTGAAAAATGATTAGTATAAAAAATTTCTTAGAACATAACTTGATTCAATAATTACATTATAAGCCATGCACTTAAGCAGTATTGAATCACTTTTCAGTTTTTAGCAGTCAAAGTAAGCACCCTCAAGATGGCTAAAATCCTTTATGTTCTGAATATTTATGTAATCCTTTGGCAGTGAAAACCCTGTGTCTGATAAGTCTCAGAGACAAACTGCTACTTAGAATTACAGGGGTTCACTGTTGTCCTCAGGATTGACATTTCTTTAGTCTTGTTTCTAATTAATATGTAGACAATTCTGAGAACATCTGTGATAAAAAATGATGATACAATGGGGGCTTCATAACTGAAATAAGACACAATGAAATCTACAGGGTTTATGTTTTATATTCAAATATAACCTTATTGATGGTATACTAGCCTCCTGCACAGGGGGATTTCCTTCACTCATAGATTCCCCTAACTTCATCTCCTCTTTTCCTTGGGCTATTAGTCAGTCAATATGCTTGTGAACCTGTTCAGGTGCTTGATGACATGCAGTCTTGAATATATTTAGATGAAGGTGTCTTGAAATTTGCAGGCACAAAGCACTAAAGTATATCACCATATCAAATGAAGAAATCACCTTTAGAAGCAAAAAAGAAAATATAAAATCGATTATGATCTATCTTTTCTCAAGTAGCACTATTCTGTTTCTCCCCCAAATATCAAACCTTAACCTAAAATTCTTCACCAAAAATACTACATTTTAAAGCACTTTAATACATTTCAAATTTGGACCTCACTGTAGTCCTCTGGAAAATGCAGGTTATTTCACAGTTATAGACACTGAGGCTCAGAGGTAAAAAAGACGACTAAAATACAGAAACTAGAAAGTAACAGAACCCAACTCTCCTGACTCCACATTGTTTCAACTTCCTGCTGTGCCACGAAGCTGCAAATTTCCTTCTAGAAGAAGTTATCAGTCATCTTATAATGAATTAATTCCATCATATACATTTCTGTTTCTTTGAGGTTAGTTGTAAGAAGGTAAAAGGTCTAGAAAAGATACCATACTTGAAGCATATACAGAATTGTGTTTACAAATTTAAAGATGGCCTCTATTTAGAAACTTTGCCCAGAGTCTACAGTCAAATGCTTCTCTTCAGAAAATGAAACCCAGGAGAAAAAGGAGACTCATAGCTCTGCCCTTGGAGAGGGAATTCTCACCCATGAGGGGAAAATCTCTATCATTTATGTTAAAAGCTTACTTGAAAAGTACCACATTGTGTGTGTGGCTTTTTTTTTTTTTTTTTGTCATCCACATAGTGTTTTAAATAAAAATTGAATTTGACTTCCTCAGTTTACCAGTCTCCATCACAGGTGTAAACCAGGCCAATTACTCGTTACGACAGATGATTGATTTTTTTAACACCTGGTATTTTAATTCAGCAATTCCACTTGGTAATACATACCTAAGTTCACTAAAAGAAAACTTACATTGAGTTTTTAGATATTTTGATTAATTATCCCCTATTTTTTAAACTGGATTGTTTGGGAGCCCTAAAAATATTTATAGTGGATACCAAATTAAAGGACATTATTCTGATTTTTAAACATTTTTTTTTTTAATTTTGCCTGAAAACGTTCATTGTCCACCTCAAAGAATTAAGTATATCTCACTGCCACCATAGGAAGAATGAAGACTTCTGAATGGACTATGAATGAATATTACGTTATTAAGTTACTCCAGAAAAAGCATACTACACAACCTAGTAAGGGACCATTAGATGTACTCCTGTAATCCATGCACAGAATAGATACAGATTTTTTTAAATATCCAACTCTAACAAATACGGTGAGATTATTTGAATTATCAAAAGATTCACTGCAGGGTTTTGGGGGGTTTTGTTTTGGTGTACTTCGGTATATTTATATATCACTATGAATTTGGTGACAACCAGTGGGTCCAGAGATAGAAATACAAGAAAACTATTCAAAGCCACCATTAATTGGAGACCAACCATAAAGATATGTCTCAATAGAAAAAAAATGTAATAATGCTCCATTTATCCAACTTTGTAATTGAAGTGTTACCAATATTGATTTTCTTTTCCTTAGATGGCTAACGTGTCTCTCTCAAGCACTATATTCTGTATTTTATAATCATTTTGAATAGAAATTATGTCATCCACGTCGTTTCCTTAAGCAGGATATAATCAAAGCGAATTTAATTTAATTGA
Organism: Homo sapiens; assembly: GCF_000001405.40. Lineage (NCBI taxonomy): Eukaryota > Metazoa > Chordata > Mammalia > Primates > Hominidae > Homo > Homo sapiens. The sequence goes on along the minus strand of NC_000012.12, from coordinate 101,724,696 downwards.
TGACTGAGTCATCATTAATACAAATTATACACTATCCTCAAGGGCCATACACATAAAAAGGGTTCCTTACATCTAGCATAAAATGGTCTGAGAATCCTGTATTTAGTAGCACTGTCTATTCTGTTTTGTTTCCTCAATATTAGCTGACAATTCTCGATGCAATAAAGTGCCCACCTTTGCTAGTACTAACCCCATCTAATTTTCCTGTTACTTGCTGTAAACTGGGAATAAAGTCTTTGGGCAGAGTAAAGTGGTTTTTGGCATCTTTGTACTGGTATTTTGGGGGAGAAAAATATAGCTATTTTTAGGTACACAGTTGTGTTTCCAAGAATCCAGGTTGTTGGAAACCTGGCCTATAGATATGTGGCCATTTCTACACACAATATAATATTATTCACAGCTTAGAAGAAGTAATTTTAAATACTCAGAAACATTTATTGTATATATTGTATAGACTAGATCTTTTTTTTTTTTTTTTGAGACACAGTCTCGCTGTGTCACCCAGGCTGGAGTGCAGTGGCATGATCTCGGCTCACCGCAACCTCTGCCTCCCAGGTTCAAGTGATTTGCCTGCCTCAGCCTCCTGAGTAGCTGGGATTACAGGGATGCACCACCACGCCTGGCTAATTTTTTGTATTTTTTGGTACAGACAGAGTTTTACCATGTTGGCCAGGTTGGTCTCAAACTCTTGACCTCAAATGATCCGTCCACCTTGGCCTCCCAAAGTGCTGGGATTACAGGCGTGAGTCACCACGCCTGGCCTAGACTAGATCTTGAGGCTACTGATAGCTCACTGAAATAGCTCTTAAGCATTGTTAAAAAATAAATAAAATGGAGAAAAATACTTACCATTGCCATCCATAGAACAACATATTCGTCTATAAAGTTATTAAAGTACTGGTCTAAAAACAAAAGACCTGGCCCCAAAAAGACAGTGTCTTGAAGATATAGTTCACTTTTGGTCATGTGAGCTACCTATAAAAAAATTAAACAAAATAATTTTACTATTAAGTTTTAAATGTGTTAGCTTTTACGACAGAATTAATTATAACTTTAATTCAGTATTAAAACAGACCATTTAATCTCACATTTAAGAATACTTTTCTACACCTTCTCAAATTCACAACTGGGTAGCTTATTAAAGTTTCCAGTGTTTAAATTTCTTGATATCAGAAAGTTGTAAATGATAACTACAGCTAAACAATTTAACTGAATATAACTCTTATCACAGTTTTGCTTGGAGCACAAATAGCTAATTATTATGATTTTACACTACAAAAGAAAACCTATACATTTTATGAAATAATTTCCAGCTTTGTGTTTGACGACTAAGTATATTATTTATATCATGAATAATAAAAATTTCTTACCACTAATTTTTGTGAGACTTTAGCAAAGACACATCCAAACATTAGGATATAAAGACAAGGATGCTTTTCAAACACATCAGTTGCTGACTTTTTATAGATCATTATTGCCAGTATAATAATTAGTCCTATGTGGAGTCCAGGTGACAAGACACTGGTGCCCTAAGGGATAAAGCAGAAAATCAGTATCACATTTTAACACTGCATTTATTACAATGTAGACATTTTCTGACCATCTATTTTGTGCAAGAGGCCTAAAGAACAGTGTGATGTAGTGTATGGCCTACAGGAGTATACAAACCTGAGTTGTGCTTTCCAAGGTTTCATAGAACCTGAGGGTGACAGAGACATAATACAGTGCCACAGATGTCTGATTCCAGTTTGATATTCACACACGTTTTAAACTGGCTAAAAATTAATGCAGTTTATTCTATATCAACTTTTACTACATCGAAGGCAGTCCACATGTGGATTGCCAAATTAACATAATTTTGTGGAGATACTGAAATAGAGCTTATTCTGCCAATTCTACAAAATATCACTGATGAAGAAGAGTAAGAATAGTTTAGTTCTATTCAGGTTTCCTTCTTTTTTCCTATTTTCTTTTTTTTTTTTTTTTTTTAATTTTTTGTGTTTTTAGTAGAGACAGGGTTTCCCCATGTTGCCCAGGCCAGTCTCAAACTCCCGGGCTCAAGCGATCCTCCCAGCCTCAGCTTCTCAAAGTGCTGGGATTACAGGCGAGAGCCACCACACCCAGCTTATCCTAGTTTCTTTCTACACCAACATCCCCACCTCCTTTCTTTTTGCATTCAGACTGCAAATGTTCTTTTATGTAAAATTGTAAAATCCAGACCATTACATTTTTATCTATGTGAATTAGTATCCTCTCGGCACTGCTTATCCTAAATAAAATATTGAAATAAATTTGGTATTGAGGTTATTAAATCTATAACCAATTTAAATGGGTTCACAAGAACAGCTTTACTCTTGTTTATTAAGTTTACATGTTTTAAGTTAGAACTTACTATAAAATTACAGTAATACCATATTATAAAATTATATACATGACACTGTATAGTAATAAATTATAAAAATCTAATAGTGCTTTATATTATGATTCTTAAATCTCATTCAAGAAAAAAAATCTGCTCCTAAAAAAGTTGGAAAAATACCAGTTTAAGAGTTTGAAACCAACCACTTCCTAACTTGTGTTTAAGTCATCCTTCAAACATCTAACAGTTTTTTTAATGAAAATATTCTTTTTTTTTTTTGAGATGGAATCTAGCTCTGTCACCCAGGCTTAAGTGCAGTGGCATGATCTTGCCTTACTGCAACCTCCGCCTCCCAGGTTCAATCGATTTTCCTGCCTCAGCCTCCTGAGTAGCTGGGATTACAGGTGCCCGCCACTAAGCCCAGCTAATTTTTGTATTTTTAGTAGAGACAGGGTTTCATTGTGTTGGCCAGACTGGTCTTGAACTCCTGACCTAATGATCTGCCCGCCTCGGCCTCCCAAAGTGCTGGGATTACAAGCGTGAGCCACCGCATCTGGTCAAAAATATTCTTTAGAGTAGACAATGATCATTACTACATCTTGTTTTCTTCAATGGAACTTAACGTTCCAACTATTGTTCTATGTTATCATCCACAGTCAAGCAACATGTATTCCTAAGCACAGTACTATACTGAGATCAACTGACAAAACACCTCAAAAAATGACAACTTTTCCAAATATATCAGAACTTATATTTCTAGATGAATTGTATACTTTGCTTTTGAATTATGTATATAAAGTGTATTCATAAATATTGACAATTTGTCAATTATGAGGATCCCTTTGAAATTGTCTCGAAAGTCTACTTACACGTCTTTTAAAAGAATGAGACTTTTTTTTACTAAAAATGCTATATCTAATGTTTAATATCTTATTAGACCTTGCTCCAAATGACTTTAAAGGATAGAAATTTTGAACTATACAACAAAAGAAATTAAAGTGAATATGCTATAGTTTAAAGCAATCCTAAAAAGGCATTCTTTTTTTTTTTGAAACAGAGTCTCGCTCTGTCACCCAGGCTGGAGTGCAGTGGCACCGTCTCAGCTTACTGCAACCGCCGCCTCCTGGTTCAAGCAATTGTCCTGCCTCAGCCTCCCAAGTAGCTAGCTGGATTTACAAAAGCATGGCCACCATGCCCAGCTAATTTTTTTGTATTTTTGGTAGCGACAGGGTTTCACCATGTTGGCCAGGCTGGTCTCGAACTCTTGACCTCAAGTGATCCACCTGCCTCGGCCTCCAAAATTGCTAGGATTACAAGCATGAGCCACTGTGCCCGGCCCTGAAAAAGGCATTATAACAATGGTTTGGTATAAGATGGTATCACTGGAATAAGTACTTGTCTTCTTCTGTTCAACTACCTTGAAAATGACAATAGGCTTTTTAAAAACATAGGTGTTATATTTGTTTAAAAAGTTTGCAGGAATCCCAACTCTTGCCCACTTAAAAGTACTGAAGTTTTAAAAAACAAATGTGAAAAAATACAAAAGCATTATATTTAATACTTGCATGAGCAAGGTGTAAAGAACACAAGCACAAAGTATACCCACTTAAGAATTAAAGTTAAAATTTTACCTTTTGAAATATTAGAATAGTTCTTTTAAATATATTTCAGTGAAATTTCAATAAAATTTACTTGATGAGTAATAAATCCCCCCATATGTGAAACCATTGACCTCTGGCCACTTTCCTGCTTTCAATCAGGAACTCATACATTCCCTACCCTTTCTCCTCTCTGCTATTAGTTCAAGGCACAAAATGCAGGAAAACAAATGGCAACTCTTAATTATGTGCAGTAATGAAACTAGATGTCAGAAAAGTCTATGCAGAGCAAGCTTGTAGAAAGAGGAAAATATCAGTTTAAACTGTTTTTAAAATGCTTTTGTACTATGTGCCTAAAATGAATTCTTTAAGATACTTAGTTTCCTTCCCCATTCTTGAACTTTGGCATATTTTAATCTTTTTATAACTGGTGATAAGAAAATGTATCATAAAATTGACACTGAATGATGAAATTATTGCCTTACTGCTATAGTGGATCCATTCTTGCCAACACCACCATGGAGGATAACATGGAAATAATTTGAACAGGAAAATATTACTCCACCTAGAAATCCAAGAACTGGAAGGATCTTCAATTTTATTTCTAGAATAGGAATCTTTAGGGGTAGAAGAAAGAAACAATTAAGACAACAGAATTTTGGTTTTTTATTAAATAATAAAGAAACATAATGATAAGCCCTGTACAATAAGCTATCCTTTTTCTTGTGATCAAACCTTAACTTCTGGAATATAATCCAAAGTGATAACTTAAAAACTTTTTTTTAACTTTTTTTTTTAGTTTTTAAATTTTTATTATTTTTTGTAGACTAGCCAAGTACAGTAGTGAGGGGGGAAAAGAGAAGAACAAGGAGTTTGACCTGTAACTGACTGTGAGCAATCAATTGAGATAACTGACTACCATTGGACCAGCCTAAAGTGACTTTTTTTTGAAACTGCTTTCTTCATAAGTGAAAGATGAATCCACCAAACCAGCTTAGTCTGTTTATATAACTATGACTAAATGTTTAATCTCATAAGATTTCATCTGACTTAAACATGAAAAAGGATAGTTCATTTGAATTTAGTAGCTTCTAAAAAGTAGCATCACAGGAAAGGGAGACACCATGATTTGCATCATAAATGTAACAAATATCATGATGTGTATGCAAGCAAAACATCTGTGTAGTTAATATCCAGGATTAAATCTCTAGCAATATATTTACCTGTTGGTCAACTGCTGTTCAAGAAAACTTCCAAAGGCAGCAAAGGATTTAAAAAACAGTAACAATGAATTGCCAGAAGCTAGAGGCTACTATGTTTAGAAAATAGACTGAAATAATGTACCAAAATTTGTGGAAACTACAGGTTAATAATTAAATTTAGAAAACCTGAATCAAAAGTAAGCATTCTTGTTGGTAAGAATAAGCAGGTATGTTTTCTTCCTACGATATTGCCAAAACATTGAGTGAAACAATTTTAAGATTCAATTCCAAATTTAAGACAACCACACCTGACTTAATAACTAGAGTTGTCTAACTGCTTCTAGGTCTACATTTACCTTCTTTTTTTTTTTTTTTTTTTTTCTTGAGACGAGTCTCTTGTCGCCCAGGGCTGGAGTGCAGTGGCCCAATCTTGGCTCACTGCAACCTCTGCCTCCCAGGTTCAAGTGATTCTCCTGCCTCAGCCTCCCGAGTAGCTGGGATTACAGGTGCCCATCACCACACCCGGCTAATTTGTGTATTTTTAGCAGAGACAGGGTTTTGCCATGTTGGCCAGGCTGGTCTTTAACTCTTGACCTCAGGTGATCTGCCCGTACATTTACCTTCTTACGGGCACAACCTGAACAGTTACTACAAAAAACGCATAGCATCCCTCTGTTATCTTGTATGGGCCTATAGTAGCATATCCTTGATTCTATTTACTCTTACATGATGAGAGGGAATATGAATGTATTGAAGAATCTATCACTACTACTTAAAAACATGCCCAAAGTCTATTTCGGAGCCTACTGACAAATGATAATTGGCAATTCTGATACTAAATGCTACAGGGAAATCTTTTTTTTTTTTTTTTTTAAAGATGGGGTCTTGCTGTGTCACTCAGGCAGGAGTGTAGTCAGTGGCATGATAATGGCTCATTGCAGCCTTGAACTCCTGGGTTCAGTTGACCCTCCTGCCTCAGCCTCCTGAGTAGCTGGGACTACAGGTGCATGCCACCATGCCTGGCTAAAGTTTTACAGAATTTTTGTAGAGGCAAGGTCTTGCTAAGTTACCCAGGCTGGTCTTGAACTCCTGGCCTCATACTGTGTTTTTAATGGACTTAATTTTTTAGAGTGGTTTTAGGTTTGCAACAAAATTTGAGTGGAAAAGTATATAGCCACCCCTCCCTCTGCCAACAACATCCTACACCAGCGTGGTACGTTTGTTACAACTGGTGAACCTACATTGACACGTCATTATCACCCAAAGTTCATAGTTTACATTAGAGTTCAATCTTGGTGTTACACATTCTGTGTGCTATGACGAATGTATAATGACATGTAGCCACCATTTAGTATCATACAAAATAGTTTTACTGCCCTAAAAATTCTCTGTGCTTCACCTATTCATCCCTTCTTCCTCCAACCCATGGTAACTTCTGATCCTTTTACTGTCTCCATAATTTTGCCTTTTTAAAGAATGTCATATAGTTGGAATCACACAATATGCAGACTTTTCAGATTGGCTTCTTTCTCTTAGTAACAAACATTTAAGGTTCCTCCATAACTTCTTGGAACTCCATAAGTTCCTCGCATAACTTCTTTTCATGGCTTGATAGCTCATTTCTTTTTAGCATTAGTTTATCCAGCTAAGATGAAGGACATCTTAGTTGCTTTCAAATTTTGGCAATTATGAATAAAGCTGCTGTAAACATTTGTGTACAGGTTTTTGTGTGGACATAAGTTTTCAAATCATTTAGGTAAATAACAAGGAGTGTGACTGCTGATCATGTTTACCACAAAACTATGTTTAGTTTTGTATCACTTACTATTTTTACTAGATATATAGCTTAGTGATTACATACAGTCTGGAATCAGTCTGTTTAATTCCTAGCTCCAGCACTTCTCATGTGTCCTTGGACAAATTACTTAATCACCCTAAGACTTATTTATAAAGCATAATACTAATAATATCTATTTTATAGGATTGTTCTGAGGGGCAGATAAAACTGAGGGGCAGATGGTGAATGTTTAGGAACATAAGTATTGAATGACTGTTAGTTGTTGACTATTGATATCCTTATTATTATTATTCTTAACACTATGAGCAGAAAGTGTGAGTCAGTTAGCCAGTATGGTGGACTTACGTTGTGGTAACAGGACAACTGTTTCTTCAGAAATGTTCTTCTTTTGCAAAAAAGCTTGAATTTATGACAGTGGCCTCCTAAGAGCCAACTTTTATGAAACTACTGAGGTCACCAAGCAGGCAGAAAATAAAAACATTCCTTAATATGGGAATCTTCACCTCAAAGTAGATTATAAAAATGCAAATTAACTACTTTCCTAATATTGAGTGACAAGTTTTAAATGTAAAACATTTTACTGGATTTATTTTTAAAATATTTATTTTATTTCACCCTGGAAAAAGTTATTCCAATGTGTGTTTTTTGTTGTTGTTTTTGTTTTATTTAGTATTAGGGAAATGAGGTTGTCTTCTTCTATGTGGCAATATACTCAAGCATAGGAGGAAATGCCATAAGGTATATAGGATAATACACATTATAAAATGAAGAAAAAAATGTTAAGAAATGGAACAAATATTAAATACACCAATTAAAAAAAAAAAATTAAATACAATGCCAAGGATTTTTGAAGAAAATTAACAATGCAATACTTTTTCCTAAATATTTGAAAAGTACTTAAATATAAATTTAAATATTCAGATTTACCGTATAGTCCCACATTGTTGCTCCTCCAAATGCAGACAACACAAAGACAATCACTAAAGCTATCTGAATTTCAGTTACATCCACTCTAAAGAGGAAGGACAAAGAATAGATAAGGTGTTTGTAAATAAAATTCCTGAATATGGAGGTTCATCACATATTAAATAGCAAAGATGTAAAAATCTCTGTAGGCTTAGTTTATTTTTACCTTTACTTCCATTATTGAATTATCAGTTGACTACACTGTTAAGTTAAAAAAGTTACAGAACAACATGTGCTCACACATAGGTAACGGTATATGCAGAGGGAAAAAAATATATACCATATATCAAATTGCTAATAGTTATCACTGATGTTATAAAGACTTTTATTTTCTAATTTATGAACTCCTGTAAAGTCTGAAGTTTTTTCACAATAATTACCCACTACTTGTGTACATAAGGAAAAATTATAATAAAAACAACCATATGATTTAAGGCAAATTTAAATACTCCCAGGTCAATTTCACTTAAAAAGCAGGGAAAATTCCAATAGTCTTCTTTATTGAGGTACTAATAGTCACTGTAGTTTTTTTAGTTTCCATAGACATTTTTCCCCTAGTAAATATGCTTAAATTTCTCAAAAAACCACTAACCAATCAGCATCAGTCCCTCTAGTCTGCATTCCCCTGAAGCTGTCACTCTCTCTCCTATGCTCCACGAATAGGCTCACTGAAAATTAGTCAACATTTGTAATTTTCTCCTCTCTTCACGTTTGTTGCTTAACACACTCTAGTCTGGCTTTTGGCCCCATTATTCTACTAAAATTGTTTAAGGTAAATTGACCTTCAATTTTCAATTCCAATTAAAGGATACAAATCTAAGGGATACATTTCATTAATTATCTTGCATAACTTCTTTACAATATTTAAGATGCTGATCATACCCTCTTTCTTGAAAAGCTCTGCTGTGTTTTTATCTATTCCATGTTCTCTCCTGATTTTCCTACCTTGCTGGAGCTCTTCTCACGCTCCTTCCTAGACTGCCTCTTCATTCATATCTTAAATGATGCTTTCAGAATTCCATCTGGAATTCTTATAGTCTATGAACAATTTTATCTATACTTAAAACTACCATCTATATGCTAATGACTTCTAAATCCTTATCTCCAATCTACATTTTTTCCTGAGCTGTAGATTTTTATATCTGTCTACATACTTTACATCTCTGCCTGGATGCCCCAATGTCTTTAGATGGAGGTAATACCCACCTTACGGGATAAATGTAAGGAATAAATAAGATAATGCCTGTGAAGCTCTTAGTACAATGCCTGAAACATGTAAGTGCTCGATAGGTGGTAAATACAATTATTCCATAATTGAGAATCAACTGCCTGAAGCCTGCCCTCTGCTAAATGATCCATAGTTTTAAGCTTCTCCTATCATTTATCATTAGAGAGTTTTTTCAGAGCTACTGTTTCTCCTTTTCAGCAATAAAGTGGGGCTAAAAAGAATCAGTAGGCATGGGAAGCCAAAGCCAAAATGAGCAAATGACAAAGTTCTTAAAAGGATCAGACCGAGAGGGAACTATATGAAAAAGAGGAACAGAGAATAGTATTCCTGCTTTGTGCACTATTTCCTGGTCTCTAAGAAAGAGGCAACAGAGGCAGATAATACTATCTAATGTTTAGCACTAGCATTTACAAGGTGCTTTTACATTATCTCACCAATTGCCTACCACAGTTGAGAGTCTCACAATTACCTGATGCTGGTGACTGTTGTCAAGGCGGGTCCCCTTTCTGTGCACATGAAGATTCGACCAAAAAAGGACCTTAGACTCCACACTGCATTATTTTATTATATGAATCAAATGCTTATTTAAGTACTGCATATCCCTTTTCTATATTATTCAGGTCCCTTAATTTTCTTTTAATCCTCTCTATTGTAAACTTGGGCTAATGATTAAGTTGGAGAAGAGGAGAAGAAAAATAAAATTATTATCAAATAATGTAACTATTTATAACATGCAGAGTACCTAAAAGACTTAAGGTGTAGCATTTATGAGTACTCCGACGAATTAATTTAAGTTACTGATTGAAGATTTGTTCTCCTTATTATCGATGAATGACATAACAGATTGTGCAAATGAATTCAATTATATTTTTTAATGTACAACTTAAAAAGCATACTTACTTTCCAAATCTCAACATGCCTGAAACATAAGTCTGCCAATGAGCGCAATAAAACACAAACATCCCAATAAAAGAGCAGAAAAAAAACCAGTCAGGATAAGTTCCTAAGCGAGCGGCAATTGAAGCTCCCACTGCCATAAATACTGAAAGAAACAAAGTTTAAGAATCATTAAGAATTAAAAATAATTTATGAAATAATTGCCCTATGCTGTTTAGAAATACAGAGCTCTAAGGAAATAATCATGGCATTAAAATAAAGTACACTTATCAAAATGAATTCTTGACATACTTTTTAAACAACTCCATACATTTGCTCCCAAATGTATATCCATCCAAAAAACTGACCAAACAGCTCAGTTCATTTTATTTTTAAGGTATCATAAAAAAATAAAAAACTCCACTAATTTACCTGTGGAAAGAGAGTCACAGCCATGGTCAAAGAGCTCCCCTAAAGGGGAACAAGAGTTTGTTCTTCTGGCTTGTTTCCCATCAATAGCATCCAGTGACTGGTAAATAAAAAGTCCCAGTGCACATAAAAGGTATGTCCAGTATGGTGCCTATAAAAAATGTAAATAAAATAAAGATTGTTAAGTGATAATAAGCTTTCTGAAAATAGCTCAACCTAAGGCTTCACACTTTGTAGCACCCCGTGTGTTATAAAGAACATTTCTAACCCTCATTCTACAGATGCGAATTAAATTGAGAAATCAAATTAACTGCTTTAAGTCATCTAGGTAGAGGGTCACAGAAGTCCACAATGTAAGAAACACAAAGTTAAACAACTGAGTAAGGATTAGGATCCTGATCTTGATTCTTACATCCATGGCTCTTTTAATATAATACTATGCATTATGCCACAGATTTGAAATTACTCAGTTAAATTTTTGCTGTGAAAAAAGACCTTAGGGGCCAACTGCCAACCTCTGCTTCCATTCACAATGGAGTATCAGGGACTAGATTTGCTCTCCCACCTTATATAACTAGAAAGGCAATAAAATATATTTTTAAAAAAACAAAAAACAAAAAACAGTTTTCAAACATTACAGGCAGTGCAGGCTTGTGATCCCTCACAGAAGGGAAACAAATGAGATGAGCCCTGCGACTGCTCCAGCTAACTTCCCAGAGTCAGTTTCCAGGCCACAGTGCAGGTCCCATGACCAGAACAGAGTCCAGCAATCATGCTGTGTTTAAGAGAAACACAAAGTTCAGGAAGGTCAAGGCAATTAGGATTTGTGAGGCAGAGTGCCTGAGAGGACAGAGCTGCACAGAGAGAGGAGCATAAGTTGTGGACGTCTTACGGAAGGGTATCTTTCCGTCTTCGGCTGAGAACTCATCTGTGCCTGAATGAGATGAAACTAACAAAGGCCAGGGAGAGAAGCACTGCAATGTTGAAGGTCAGACAATTCTCAAAGCTCATACATGGCTGGGACATTCATGTTCCCACCAGGCAAAGCAGAAAGCCTCATTAATACTTGGGGCATTGGGTAAAGTTCTCAGAAGTGTACTGCCTTACCAGCAGGCATAAATTAACCCTAGACTGAAGGCTTCTCTGGACAGCCCTAACAAAACTTAAAATCCAGCCTCAAAAGGATCCAAGTAATTCCTGGCAACTTAACTACAGCCATCATAAAGTACATCTTAGGGGAAAAAAATCTAGTATCCCAAAGGTAAAATTCACAAGGTTTGGCATTCAGTAAAAAATTACCAGTCATGCAAAGAAGCAGGAGAATATAATTGACAACTAGAAGTAAAATCCATATAATCAGAATACAATCAGAATCAATATGAACAGAAGTAATAGAATTAGCAGATGAGGATATCAAAATAGTTATTATAAATATGCTCCACATGTTCAAGAAAGTAGAGGAAAACAGGAAAATTATAAACAGAAATGGAAGAAAAGACTCAAGTGAAATCTCCAGAAATGAAAATTACAATATTTGAATTGTAAAATAAACTGGGTGAGATTAACAGCATATTAAACACCACAGAAGAAAAGATCAATAAGCATGTACCAATGGAAACTATCCAAAATGACGAAAGAAAAACGACTAAAAATAATTGAACTGTGCATCGGCGAGTGGTGGGACAACAGAAAGCAGTCTAGCACATATGTAACTAGAGTCTTAGAAAGAGAAAAGAGCGGATGGGGCACGAAAAATATAAGAAGAAATAAATGATGAAAAATGTCCAAAGTTGATGAAATCTATAAACCTACATGTCCAAGAAGCTCAACAAACCCCAAACAGAATAAATATTTTTTAAACACCCATCAAGGCACATCGTAATTAAATCAATGAAAACTAGTAGTAAGCAGAAAATCACAGTCCAGGTTCGGCGGCTCACACCTATAATCCTAGCACTTTGGGAGGCCAAGGTGGGCAGATTGCTTAAGCCCAGGGGTTCAAGACCAGCCTGGGCAACATGGTGAACCCCATCTCTACAAAAGATATAAAAATTAGCCTGGTGCGGCGGTGTACACTTGTAGTCCCAGCTACTCAGGAGGCTGAGGTGGGAGGATCACCCAAGCCTGGGGAAGTCGAGGGTGCAGTGAGCAGTGAGTGCCACTGTACTCCAGCCTGGGTGACAGAGCGAGACCCTGTCTTGAAAAATAAAATAAATAAAATATCATATTCAGTTCCAGTGAGCACGTTCTTAAAAGTTTATCTTGGAAACTGTGAAACAATTTAAGAAAGGGCAAACAAAACTAAGCAGTCATCACGACAGTACAAAAATGAAAAACAACACATCCCACCCAGAATCTTTTGAAAGAATCCCAAAGTGTCTTACAGAGAACAATTCTGTTAACCTAGTAAATTCTTTTCAAACTAGTAAATTCTTTTTTAAAGATAAATTTTATTATGTATACAACATGATGTTATGGGATATGTAGATAGATGGAAACGGTACTAAACTGAAGCAAATTAACATATCCATCATCTCACATAGTTACCCATTTTTTTGTTTTTGTGGCAAGAGCAGCTAAAATCTATTCATTTTACAGTTCAATTTTTTTAACCTATACCCCTCAGGTTGTACATAAGATCTCTAGACCTGCTCATCTTGCAAAGCTGTAATGTATCCTTTGACCTGCCTCTTCCCATTTCCTCCCCTTTATGCCCCTCTGCTCCTGATAACCAGTTTCATTCTCTATCTCTGAATTTTTTTTTCAGATTCTGTGTATACGCGAGATCAAGATCATACCATATTTCTCTTTCTGTGTCTGGCTTATTTCACTTAGCATAATGTCTCCCAGGCTCATCCATGTTGTGGTAAATGGCAAGATTTTGTTCTTTAGGGCTCAGTAATATTCCATTGTGCATACTACAGTTTCTTTATCCATTCATATGTTAACAGACACTTAGGCTGTTTCTGTATTTTGGCTATTGTGAATAATGCTACAATGATCATGGGAGTGCAAGTATCTTTTTACGGCGATGATTTCATTTCCTTTGGGTATAGTTTTACAGTTTTTGTTCTTATATTTAGGTATTTTATCCATTTTGAGTTTATTTTTGTATACAGTGTAATATAAGGTCCAATTTCATTCTTTTGGCCTATGGAAATCATTTTCCCAGCATTATTTATTGAAGAGACTATCCTTTCCCCATTGTGTCCTCTTGGGGCCCTTATCAAAAATTAGTTGACCATATCAAACTAGCAAATTCTTACCCATTTTTTCTACTATGAAAAATTGTTTTTAATTTTGATGATTGAAGGAAAGCAAAGTTACACGTCAAACATATGTAAAATTGGACATTGAAGTTATTAAAATTTCTGTAATGACAAAATGTCAGAGGGATCTTCCATTTCTCTATGTAACTCTTTATACTGAAAATCTGGATCTTCTCAAGGAGAACTCTAAAAGTCAACATTGAAAGCTTAATTCTGACCTCTGATCTGAGAAACTAGCTACAGGCAGGTCTCATGGTCAGGTATTAACAGAAATTCATACTGAAATAAATTTGATTAACCCTTACACCACAACTGGTGGTGACTCTACCCCAAATTATATCCCGCTCTTAATTTAGAAAAGGGAAATGAAGACTGTTCACCAGTTTAAAAGTGCTTCATTAGGATACTAGAGGCGTTTAAATAGGGAGAGACTGGGAATGTAAACAGAGAAGAGAGGAAGTCTAGGCAGAAACCAAAGTTTCTGACTGAAAGTGAAAGGTTTACTGGAGTCAGTGACTAGATCCATGTTCCTGGAACAGGTAATTTACAAGAGATAATATTGCAAAGGTAATGTGATCTTCAACAGTACAACAAAGGGCACTTCTTTTCTTTCCTTTTTTTGTTCTTGAGACAGGGTCTCGCTCTGTCGCCCAGGCTGGAGTGCAGTAAAGGATCTTGGCTCACTGCAACATCCGCCTCCCAGGCCCAAGTGATCCTCCCCCTCAACCTCCCAAAGTAGCTGAGATTACAGGCGCACGCCACCACACCCAGCTAAATTTTTGTATTTTTGGTAGAGACAGGGTTTTGCCATGTTGCCCAGGCCGGTCTCCAACTCCTGACCTTAAATGATCCACCTGCCTCAGCCTCCCAAAGTGCTGGGATTACAGGCGTGAGCCACCACACCCAGCTGATAAACAGCATTTCTAATGTATTATTTCAATTAATACAGAAATCCACAGAGATAGGGCAGTTATTATCATATTCTTTTTATTAAAGATGAAAGTGAAACATACGGAGGAGTGATAATTTACATCAAGGCAAGCACTTAGGCTGGGTCCAGGAACTAGATCGGGTCTTCCGACTTGCCCTTCGATGAGATTTATCCTACCACAGGCCACACAGACTGAATGGAACTTTTCACCTGAAATCTTCACAAACTCCCTATTCCATCAAACCTGCTGATAAGCACTTTCCCCCTCACACAATACACTTTCAAGTAGCAGTGAGCCACAGGAAATGGTGCCAGCCACAAGAGTCTTTCCTTTAAACCCAGAAAGGCACAATGATCTGCCAATATTTGGTTCACTCCTTTTCCAATTCTTCCCAAATCCTTCCAAGTTTTCCCAGTCTTCCCAAGGCCTCAGGAGCCAGACCTATCTTCTCTTTTTCCTTTGGTCACCACCTCCATTCCTAGGTGAAAGCGATTAAATAGGTTGCATTTTCTCACTTTTTTTCTAACTTGTTATCCCTGCAAACAGGCTGGGATTTATTTGGCCAGGCACAGCAGAACAACTTCCTTCCAGGTATCCCTTTCCAAAAATGGTACAATTATAGATTAGACTTTTTTTTTTTTTTTTTTTTTTGACACAGGTCTCACTCTGTTGCCCAGGCTGGAGTGCAGAGGCACATGTTGTAACCTCAGACTCCTGGGTTCATGCAATCCTCCCACCTCAGCCTCCTCAGTAGCTAGGACACTACAGGTGTGCACCACCATGCCTGGTTAATTTTTTAAATTTTTTGTAGAGACAGCATCTGGCTATGCTACCCAGGCTGGTCTCAAACTCCTGGCCTCAAACTATCCTTCTGCCTCAGCCTCCCAAAATGCTGGGATTATAGGCGAGTGCCACCGTGCCTAGCCAGAAGAGACTCTTCATGGAAACGGGAGCTACAGAGCCTCCCTAACTCAATTCTAGTTTTCATGTTAACTTATTTTCAAAAAAGTTAAATGTAAGGATGAAAAAGCCACCCTTGGATTATGAATTATAAAGCCATAAGCAATGTTTGTTAGAAGAGATCTATTCCAAGTAGTAGAACTTCTCTAGGTAATATTCCATTCTAACATTTAAAGTTTTTATGGCTGGATGTGGTGGTTCACACCTGTAATCCCAGCACTTTGGGAAGCCAAGGTGGGCTGATCACTTGAGGTCAGTAGTTTGAGACAAGCCTGGCCAGCATGGTAAAAATCTGTCTCTATTAAAAATCCAAAAATTAGCCAGCTGTGGTGGCATACTCCTGTAATCCCAGCTACTCAGGAGGCTGAGGCACGAGAATTGCTTGAACCCAGGAGGCAGAGGTTGAAGTGAGCCACTGCACTCCAGCTGGGGCAACAGAGTGAGACCCTGTCTCTAAATAATTAAATAAATGAATAAATACGTTTTTAATTATATAGTTTTCATAATATCTACTGTATCCAAATTTAACAATGTTACAGAACTCTTTCCAGGTCAAACACAGAGATCCACATCATTCTTTTTAATGACTGCATGGTATTCAATTATGTGGCTATATCATAATTTAAGTAATAGCTTCCCTAACAATGAATTTTACTTGATATATTAAATTTCATATAAATTTATTCTAGAAAACAAAATAACTACTAAAAATCAATCATAACCCCTTGTCATTAAAAAAAAACCCACTGATTAAAATTTAAATTGTTTTTCAATTATACACTGAAAAAGAGCTGTATAAAATACATATTTGGGAAATTTTAGCTTTTCTAGTTATTTGAATTATTCATAGGATTCTATTCATTACAGGATTAGATAAAACTAAATTATGATTTTAAAACTTCCTCAATGCTTTCTGACAACACTGTAACTATCGTATAGAAGCACAAACAAATTAAACTGACATCCTAGCCAGGAAGTCATACACTCCTACCATAGTCTCAAAGACACAAAGCTTATACTGGAAAAAAGCAAACAGCAAGTCTGATAGTCCATTAATTTATTCAATTTTCACACATGATTTACTCTTCCAGAAAACATCCAGAGGTGAACTGCACCTCTGACAAAATCCTGTATGCTCTCTGCATTCTCTGGAAAAAGGCCCATAAGTATAAGAATCTTAACGTTTCCATATTAAGAGACGGAACTACGCAGTGACTGAAGGAGAAAGATTGAGGTGAGAGAGGAGGCATCTACTTCTCTTCTTCCTTGCCCACAACCCTGTAACTCACTGAGAAACAGCACTAGTACCTTCATCTTGGTCTCCCTAATCAAAGCCACCTGCCCCCCACATACCCAATCCAAAACTCCAAAATTAAGTCTTCCCTTTTCCTTGCCTTCTCACCTTAAATATTTCATTTTCTAAGGCTGAACTGATTAAAGCACAGAGAGGGCAAGGATTGTGTCTTTCTCACTCACCCCTACATTCCCAGTACTCTAGAACATTACTCTGGCACACAGTATATGTTTAACCAATATCCCTCAATTAATGGACCAAGTGTGACAATAAAGGTGTTTGTGCAAAAATAATTTTCTATTTGTATTACAGGAGATTTAGGGGAGAGCCTTCATGGGCTTAGTTTAGGAGCACACCAAGGAGCACATGAGTTTAGGAACAGCTCTTCTGGCCACTCCTAAACTAATCTTACCACAAGCTCTTTACTCACTGATAAGAGTCTCTTTGCAGCATAACTCTCAATCACCCACCTTCATACTCCAGCTCCATTCCACCCACAAAGTCCTCTTGTTTATTTATGACTTAATACTGTCTCATGGCTTTTTCCTTTCTAAACACTCTTCTCACCCAATTCAGCAAAGCACTCATATGCCCCCTCCTTCAAGGACTGCCTGATACACCTCTTACTCCACCTACAACTTCATCTAGGGAGAAATCAAAGGACACAAACCTACCTATCTCCAGTCATTCCATTCCTACCTACTCCCTTAAAAATACACCTTCTACAAATATTTTTCAGGGTTAAAGCAGTCTTTGCAAATATATAGGCCTTCTGTTGTACAAAATATGCTCATTAGATGGTTAGTACCTCAGGTATACAAATATAAGGAACTACATGACAATGATGTTCATGACTTTATAACAATGCACTGTTTCTGTTGTCTAGTTTCCTTGATTTTAAATGATTTCACAGGTAGCAGAACAAATTTAAAAAGCAAAGCTTTGAAATTATCATCTTTAGTTAATGAAAGTAAAGATCTAATTTAACCAAGGGAAGTAATTCCACATAAGTCATTAATTGTTTCATAATTATAGCCTCCCATTTTTTCAAATAAGAGTTGTGTAATTCCATTTTCTGTTGCTATAACAGAATACTAGACACTGGGTAATTTATAAAGAAAAGACTTATTTGGCTCATGGTTCTGGAGCCTGGGAAGCCCAAGAGCATGGCACTGGCATCAGGTGAAAGCTGCATGCTGAGATCCACTGAACTCACTGGACAAATTTCACTTACAGCCTCAAAATACTGATTTTTCTGGAACATGTTCTTAGGTCTTCTCTAAATGAAAATGGTAGACTAGATAGTTTCTGAGGTATGTTTCAGCTCTAGATCGATGTGATGTCATTTGTATGTGGCCCTATCTTTCATATTAGAATGTGATCCTCTCATGGGCATGAGACACGTATTCTATTTTTCTTTCTTTTTTTTTTTTCTTGAGACAGAGTCTCACTCTGTCGCCCAGGCTGGAGTGCAGTGGTGTAATCTTCGCTCACTGCAACCTCCGCCTCCCAGGTTCAAGTGATTCTCCTGCCTCAGCCTCCTGAGTAGCTGGGATTACAGATGTGCACCACCACACCTGGCTAGTTTTTGTATTTTTAGTAGAGATGGGGTTTCACCATGTTGGTCAGGCTGGTCTCAAACTCCTGACCTTGAGATCCACCCACCTAGGCCTCCCAAAGTCCTGGGATTACAGGCATGAGTCACCGCACCCAGCCACGTATTCTATTTTTAAAAATCTTCTGTAGGAGCTAAATACGTAGATGATGAAAATCAGGCTGGGTGTGGTAGCTCACCACTTTGGAAGGCTGAGGCGGGCAGATCACTTGAGGCCAGGAGTTCAAGACCAGCCTGGCCAACATAGTGAAACCCCGTCTCTACTAAAAATACAAAAATTAGCCGGGCGTGGGGGTGCATGCCTGTAATCCCAGCTACTTGGGAGGCTGAGGGGGGAGGATCACTTGAGGACAGTAGGCCAAGGTTGCAGTGAGCCAAGTGAGACCCTATCTCAAAAACAAACAAACAAACAAACAAAACAAAAAAGCAATGGGAAGAATACATGCCCCAGGTTTTTCTTGCAGAGTGGTTAGGGGCATAGACTCTAGACTCTACTTGCACCCACATTTGCTCTGCTACTTACTGGCTAAATGAGTTGGATGAATCACTTTACAGTGCCTTAGTCTCTCCATTTGAAAATGGTAATAATCATTGCTCCTCTCTCATTGTGAAAATTAAATGACTTATCACATGTAAAATGTTTATAAAAGTGCTGGGCATATGGAAGGAGCTCAGTATTTGTTACTGTTACTGTTATTACTGATACTCCATCAGATAATTTTAGGTGATCTGTAGGTAAACTTTTCAATTGAATGTTTATGTTTATTTTAATATATTTTGAAAAAATTTAATGTATTTTGAAAAACAGGGCCAGGTGCGGTGGCTCATGCCTGTAATCCCAGCACTTTGGGAGGCTGAGGTGGGTGGATCACCCGAGGTCAGGAGTTCGAGCCCAGCCTGACCAACATAGTGAAACCCCATCTCTACTAAAAACACAAAATTAGCCAGGCATGGTGGTGCACACCTGTAATCCCAGCTGCTTGGGAGGCTGAGGGGGGAGGATCACTTGAGGACAGTAGGCCAAGGTTGCAGTGAGCCAAGTGAGACCCTATCTCAAAAACAAACAAACAAACAAACAAAACAAAAAAGCAATGGGAAGAATACATGCCCCAGGTTTTTCTTGCAGAGTGGTTAGGGGCATAGACTCTAGACTCTACTTGCACCCACATTTGCTCTGCTACTTACTGGCTAAATGAGTTGGATGAATCACTTTACAGTGCCTTAGTCTCTCCATTTGAAAATGGTAATAATCATTGCTCCTCTCTCATTGTGAAAATTAAATGACTTATCACATGTAAAATGTTTATAAAAGTGCTGGGCATATGGAAGGAGCTCAGTATTTGTTACTGTTACTGTTATTACTGATACTCCATCAGATAATTTTAGGTGATCTGTAGGTAAACTTTTCAATTGAATGTTTATGTTTATTTTAATATATTTTGAAAAAATTTAATGTATTTTGAAAAACAGGGCCAGGTGCGGTGGCTCATGCCTGTAATCCCAGCACTTTGGGAGGCTGAGGTGGGTGGATCACCCGAGGTCAGGAGTTCGAGCCCAGCCTGACCAACATAGTGAAACCCCATCTCTACTAAAAACACAAAATTAGCCAGGCATGGTGGTGCACACCTGTAATCCCAGCTGCTTGGGAGGCTGAGGCAGGAGAATCACTTGAACCCAGGAGGCGGAGGTAGCAGTGAGCCAAGGTTGCACCACTGCACTCCAGCCTGGGCAACAAGAGCGAAACTCCATCTCAAAAAAAAAAAAAAGAAAAATAGCATATCATATCTATGATTTTATAAATATTAAGTCAGAGTAAGAGTCTAAGTTTTTAAAAGAGTTGATTTAAAGTTGACATAAAGAAAAATAGTAAATAAAAGCAAGTATAGATAATATATAAAAGAAAAAATCTTCCCAAACTAGGAAATACTAGAACTATACAATGTTCATTACGTAAATTTTTATACTGAAAAAAAACAAAAACAAAACAAAAAAACCTCTTTGCTTGAAATGGCCTTGGATGAATTGACATCTATGCAGAAGGGAATTAGATAACCAATAACCATTAGGTCAGCTGGTAACAAGAAGATTTCAATTATCCAAACATTGACTTCTTTCTTCATAAAAATAGAAACTGCATTTCTAAGACATAGGAAGAAAGGACATTAGAAGACATATTGTGCATATGTGAAAAACATGTAATGCGAGTATGCTGTTAAAGGTAGACTTTCTACCCAGACAGGTGACTCTTAAGATTTTTTTTTTCATTTCATTATTCCAGGGATCACAAGAGATTCTACGATTTTTAAAAGAGAATTTATGGAGTTTCTAATAGACTGCTAACCTGACTCTGGAAGACATAAGAAGTAGAAATGACTGATTGCTCCATTCCTGCAACTGCTCTAACCCAATAAGTGCCTAAGATGTGCTTATGACATTGTTTACTGGGAGCCTGTGATGGGGAGGGTGCTTCTTTGTTTACGGAGGGAGGGTTCCCACCTGAGGCCTGGGGAGGCTCCAGAGGAGCCTTGGTGGTCAGAAAAGGTAAAACCACTCTCTGCCAAGCCAATGAGGAAGGCCCTAGGGGCTCACTGCTTTCGACCCAGACCTTTGGTCTTGGCTCAGTTTAGGAACCAGCATTTGAGAAGAGCACATCCATTTTTAGGAAATTAGGCAGGTTATAAGCTGCGGCAAAGGAAACCAGACAGACATCGCACATAAATGCAGTTAAACCAGCACTTCAGGGCCAATGGGGTTTTCTCATGACCTGATAAATCTGTACTTTGAAAGCTGGCCTTTATTTTTATATTCAGTGTGAATCATTTTGGTTTTCTTTCTTCTTTAATACTTATTAGGGTTCTTGTTGAAAATGCCAGCCTGTCACTGTGCTAAGGGGAACAAAAAGAGAGAGGGGTGTGAAGAGAATTCCCCTGAGGCCAAATCTATCATCCACATCAACTGTACTGGGTTGCTTCTGTTCTGTTCTTCAACTTCGCAAAACCCAAGTGGTCTGGTTGTAGCCTTCTACCCCAATCAAATGCACCAGGAGGAAAATTCAAAGCTTCTTCTAAATACCACGATGCCACGTTTTATCCACACTTGAACCAGAATTTGAAAGGAGAAACAGTTTTATTCGTTAGGAATTAAGTATAGTGAAGCCATAGGAATCAAGGGAAGCTACCTCCACATTATCTGAAGAGTCTCCTTCTAGATGGCCGGGGACTAAGGGTGAGGCAGGGAGGCACCATGGCTGCAGAAGTTAAGGAGACATTCATTCTCACAGTCCTGCAAAGGCCTCCTTAAATTTTGAGTCCTGGCTTGCCTCACCCTAAGTCCCTCCCTGCTTCTATCTCCTGGAAATCTGGAGTTCACATTTTGTTTTAATGAGAGAGGTCACGCCCTTACAAGAGTCCTGCCTTAATAAATGATGCTTGAAAAGTTACTGAGCTGGTTTAAAAAAAGTGGGAGTAAAAGAGTGCTTAAAAAGGAAATATACTAGATCTCAAAGAAATCAAACCTATAAAAAAAAGTCTGAGTAGGAATCTAAAGGTTATTTCCTTTTCTTTCTATTATTCCCCCCAAAATAACTCTATAATATGTAATACAAAGGCAATATGTAGT